>NC_000004.12:31835795-32168202 GCF_000001405.40 Homo sapiens | reverse complement strand
AGGATGCCATAATGAAGACAGACCTCTAGAATAAGTGAGATATCACTGCTTTTTCCAAGTCAATCTGCTATTTCATGGGAATCTTCTATTCACAATTAGACTGAAAAATAGCTAATGATCATTAAATAGTGTTTTGATTATGTTGAATCAAATCAAGTTTTAATAAAGAAGAATGGCAAAGACCATACAATAAATGTATTGCATATGAATAACGACAAAAGGAAATCGGGAGATTTGCTCTGTAATAAGAGTTGCTTTTAAACATGAGAAGGGAAATGAATTAAATGTATACTAAAGGCCACCAAGGAATTTAACTAGGAGGAAAGTGGAACATTAGGAGGAGCTTAATTTTAATTTCACATAAGTAACAGGTTTTCAATAGAAAAGCTGTTTAAAATAATAAGTACTGCCATGGAATGCAGTAAAATTTTAGTCATTAATGTTTCCATT
The DNA here is from genome assembly GCF_000001405.40 of Homo sapiens. Taxonomy (NCBI): domain Eukaryota; kingdom Metazoa; phylum Chordata; class Mammalia; order Primates; family Hominidae; genus Homo; species Homo sapiens. The sequence continues at coordinate 32,167,752 of NC_000004.12, read as the reverse complement.
CATCCCTTTATCAATTAATATTTATGGAATGTCAGCTGATAACAAGAAATGATGAGAATAAAATACAGTAGTTTTGCTTCTCCAGAATCTTATAGCTTAGTAGTGGTGATAATCACATACAATAGATATCCAGAAATTGAAATAATATATTAAATATATATATATATATATATATATAGAAGAATATGCACAGTCACTTTGTAGCCAGATAGCATGGTGTCAATTCCCAGCTTAACCATCTGCTAACCTTTAGAGAAGTTAAAGATTCTTTTGAGCTTCTATGTCTCATTTGTATAACTGGGATGACAAAATTCATTATAAAGTAAAATGTTGAAAGTTAACGTGCTTTGCACAGAGACTGGGATATAGAAAGCAAAAATCAGTACCTATTTTATGGAAAAGAGAATCACTGATATGAATCTTGAAAGATGAGGAAAATTTTAACAAAGAAAAAAGAGCATTGTAGGCAGAGGAAGTACTATGGGCAAAGGCAAGCAGGAGTGAGAGCTCAGGATGCACTGAGAAATAGAACATATAAAATTATCAGAAAACTGTGAAGACAGCAGTCATCTAAAATAGATGTACCATTTTGTGACATATATTTTATATATATATAAAATAAAGTTTTCACAATCATAGTCTGTAACAAAGGCAAGTAATCGGAGAACACAGAAGAGTCTTCTTTTACAATATTAGCTTAATATGTTGTTTAACTTAAAATATCGATGCTATGTTCAATTTGAAAAGCAAAATTTGTAAAGAAATATTAGCCAAGTCATGTATTAGATGCTTTGACATATTTCAAGAAATCTTAAACATATTCATGACATCATGCTTGGCAGAAATACTGTTTGTATTATTATATGTTCATCAAATAATTACATATTAGGATAAGAACAATATGTATAACTTCAATGATGCACACTTAAAAGAACTCGATGCAAGAGCTTACCCATAAAATGAGTATTTATGGCATTTACTACTCTAAGGTAACAAGTATTATAATAATAACCACCATTTCATGAGATCACTATATAATTATTTAGTGATATATAATTATATATGTATATACATATACATATATTTGTGTGTGTGTGTGTGTGTGTGTGTGTAAGACTGATAGTCATAAATCACTATGAAAATATATATGAAAATAACCTCATATATATTTTAGTTTCAGTATCGGTACTGAGTTTATGGTGGATAATTCAGGCACTCTCAATTTCGTTCATTGCTATTTCTTCATTGCTCAAAACAGATCCTGGACTTTTGCAAGTGCCAAGAAATAGATGCTGAATGAGCAATTCAATTATATAAAGAGGGCTCATCCCTTAATTTACCACAAGTCTGATCCAGCATGACAATCTCCAGGTTACAACCAATGCAGAATTAATGTATAAATGATGACCGATGTTCATTCAGTTTAACTTCCTGCTGCATTTGGGAAATCAGCAGAATATAGGCATTTCTATAATAATTTTATATGCATTCCATAAAATGTTATCACTTCTAGGTACTAATGTGGAAATTATTTCTAGACCCACAGGATCCCCTCAATATATTTTTAAAAATATTTGAATAGGAGGATATCCATCTCTGGCTTGACATGTTCTCATGTGAGTTAAAATAAATTTGGGAAAGTAGGTCAAAGGAGGGAATGTGACAGAATTACAAAATAATAAATATATGTAAGTTCTGTGTTGTACAATACCCTAGTCCTATTTAAGAAATGAACTGTTGATTCAGTGATGATTTTCTAAATATTAATAAATGGTACTCCTTCGGTGAGTATCTAAGCTACGTGGATTTTATTTTGCATTGTTATCTACTGACCCTTACAGAACTTTTGATTAGAATCATTATACCACAAAATTGAAGATTCAGTGAACATGAATTTCCAGCATATGGCTTGAATGTTTTTTTTTTACTCCTTGTGTTTATTAACATACAAAATTGCTGATAAAAAAGAATATAGTCTGAGGAAATTCCCATGAGTTGGTTAGCAAGAAGTATTTAGAAACAGATGGAAAAATGGAAGAAAAATATGGACATTTGGCAATATTTTCTCTTTTATTCCATTTCAGATATGCATACACACAAAAACTGATGGAAACATATGTTCACAGATATTAAATAATTTCTCTGACTTATTATACACTTCTAATTTCATATATAAGGAATAAAATAGGGAAGTATCACTCATAATAGAAATAACTTTGACTAGTATCGTAAAGTATTCTTTCAGAGAAAGAGAGAACCCAGGCTTTTCATAGAAGCTGAGACTGTAGAGTTTATAGGTGGTTCCTGAAAGGTGCCTGGGTGGGCTCTTGATGCATAATGGTGAACAGCATCCAGAGCAAAGGTATAATTAAGAATCGAGAGACTATATTTCAAAAAATCAAAAGTGATGGCTTGTGAGTAGGGACAGTCAAAAATATGGATATATTCTAAATTAAAATCTCTACAAATAAGGGCACTAAAAAAATAGTGAGCAGATTCAGAAGGGCAAACAAGAGAGGAAACTAAGAAAGAATTGTTTGGCTGGGCTTGGTGGCTCACACCTGTAATCTCAGCACTTTGGAGGCCGAGGTGGGTGGATCCCTTGATGTCAGGAGTTTGAGACCAGCCTGACCAATATGGCGAAACCCTGTCTTTACTAAAAATACAAAAATTAGCCGGGGTCATGGCAGACATCTGTAGCCCAGCTGCTCGGGAGGCTGAGGCATGAGAATCACTTGAACCCAGGAGGCAGAGGTTGCAGTGAGCCATTATTGCACCACTGCACTCCAGCCTGGGTGACAGAGTGAGACCCTGTCTCAAAAATAAAATAAAATAAACAGTTGTTTGAAATAATGTATGCAGTGGGAGAACACGTTATCCACAGAGTACTCATGTTCTTTCAAGTGATATTCCAGTTCCATGACATTCTTCAGAAAAAAATAAAATGTGTCAATAAATGAAAGAAAATTTTGTCTTCTCCAAACAAAGTGAGGCAAAAAGGAAGAGGAATTTTTTTCATCTATAAGGAAAAGTAGAAACAAAAAGTACTTAATATGCAAGAAGGCATCGTCAATGGTACACCAAATTAAGTCATTGTTTGACTTTCATTCAGACAACACAATCATTAGCTTTTGTGGTCTCTGTTAGGTTGACCATCTTGCATATTAACTTAGAAGGTTGCATTGGTTTGGGATGTGATATTGAGATTATCTCCCCTTTGCTAATGATTAAGATGTCAAGTAATGTGAATACAGAAATAGCTAAAAAGGACTTTTTTATTGTTCAGATAAGAATGAGGATATTTTAAGATCTCATATCTATAGTAATAATTTTTTTCAACTGAAATATTGATTTGCCATGTTGTGGGATATACAGTTGTCCCTCAGTATTTGCCAGGGTTTAGTTTCGGGACGTCCTGATTATACCAAAATCTGGATACTCAAATCCTGCAGTTGACTGGGTAAAACCCCCCTGTATGAAAATCCACCTATATGAAAAACATATTCGGCCTCTGTATATATGGTGTTTACATCCCACAAATACTATAGTTTTGATCTGCATTTGGTTGCAGATGTGAAATCCTTAGATACAGAGGACTGGCTGTATTTACTGAAAAAAATTCTGCGTGTAAGTGGACTCATGCAGTGTAAACCCATGTTGTTGAAGGGTCAACTGTATTTTTATTCATGGCAGCCAGCCCACATTGTGAGAATATACTGGTACAGAATAAATAAAAATTAATAAATGGAAAATGACCAAAATAATCAATCTCTTTTAATTTTGTGGGAGAAGTAAAACCAATCAGTCAGCCAAACAAAAAAAAATACCTTTGTCTTTCTGGGGGAGCAATAGCTGCCAAACAAACCTGAATGTCACTCTGACCTCCAATAGAATAAACTCAAATAGAATAGTAGATTCTGAGCTTTCCTGGGTTTAACAGCCACTGTTCTGACTCCTTATAAAGGACTAGTAAGGCCTTTTTCCTTTCAAATTTATTTATAAAATGCCTACACCATTGAGTTCAGGAACAGATCACTTGGTAAAGACCCTAGGCCTCACAAAGCAATGATGTCCCAGTGACATTATCTCTCTGTCTTGTCTTGTAATTAGTTACTCTAATGTGTGATGAAAGCTTAATTTTGTTGTCTAGGATAATAAGAATAAACACAAAGTAAAGGACACCTAAAATATACAATCTTTTGCCAGACAATACAAATTAGATATAAACTAGAAAGTGAAATGATCATACGCTGTATATGGGAACAGTGTAAATGTAGATCATGAAGTCATTTGATGATAGTTCAAGCCAGGGCATACCTTGTTTAACATCTTTCGGATGTATTTAACTTTTAGTGTTGGCTTTATATAATCATTAAGACTCTGAGGAAGTTACTTATTCAGTTATACTCTTTCAAAACTCTCTAGATGTTGCCTAATTTCCCTACTTCTCTTTATTGAAAAAGTATTGAAGCACTTCTTGAAAGAGATGTCTATCCTCACTGCTTGCATATTCTTGCCTCCCATTCTTTCTTGAATCCATACCAGTGAGTTGTTTGTGCCTATTCCTCCACAGGAACTATTCTGATCGATATCAGTTCTGAGTCTTCCTGCATTTCAGCTGTTATCATTGTCAATGGTTTTTCAGATTTCCCTCTTGAAACACTCTGCTCCTGGTTTCTAAGAATCCACGCTTGCAGAGTCTTCCAGAGTATTTTTCAGTATTCTTTTATTATTCCTCTTTCTTACCTCCCAATATTAAGATGCCGAATGGCTCAGACTATGGACTAAACTTGTTTTGTTTATTTACACTCAGTTCTCAAATTTCATTTGACTGCTGATGATTTTCCAAAATGCATTAATAGCCCAGATCTCTCCACTTAAATCAAGATACATATATTTAATTCCATTGAATGAAAAATAATCTCAAAACAGAAATATTAATTTTACTAACCAAATCAGTTTTTTCCAAGTGTTTGCCATCTCAATTTATTCATTTTTGCTCAGTTAAATTTTTCCATTAATTTTTTCAATGCATGCTATGTTATCCAGTCAAAAGTATTTCTTTTGTCACTCTCTTCACCATCTTTATCCTGATATTTATACTTCAAGGCACTTATTGCTATTGTCATAATTTTATATTTATTAATTTATTTGTTTACTCTCTTATCCTTCATAACACATAAACTCTGAGGACAAAAGTGTTTGCTTTCTATTTGACTATTTCACCAATGCCTAAAACACTGGCAGTTGAGTGTTTTTCTGATTGAAAGAATGAATATACTCTACAGTTATATGCAGTTTTTACTCCAGCATATATAAGAATATCTCATATTCTGAGAGAATCTACCATTATATGATCTTGGTAGAATCAGGATCTGTAATGCAACTAGGGAAACTTTACTTTGTACACTCTCCTTAGATGACCAGTGTTTTATTCAAGGATATTGAAATGAAAGGAAATAATGAACAATTACAGGCTATTTGAGAAATCATTAACTCTGCAGAGAAAGTGTTAATTATGCCCAATTGTGTTAGTGGCCCTGTGAGTCTGGCTGGGTTATTAGTGGTAAAGAGCATCAGCTGTGTCTGCCTACAAAGCCAAACCTACTACCTACCTCATCAAAATAGACTGCCCTATTTTTCTACCCCTGATTCTTAGTACACCTAAATCCTGCTGCTTATTTAACTAAAGTTCATCTCTCACTCAGAACATAGAACCCCGGTTGTTATACATGTTCTTCAGGAATGTTGATATGGCAATTATTAGAAAGACCCCAACTCATACCTATGAAGTCAGAATTTCCATTTGAGTTCATATAACTGTCTCTAAGATTGGATTAAATAAATCTCAAAGTAAGTATCTGGTCTACAAAACTGCTTTGAAACAAATATACTATTATTGTTCCTGTTTATTAAAAGTTTAAGTGATTTCCTTAGAATTGCACAGATAATGGAAGGCACAGATGTTTATCTAGGACATAAATGTGCAAAGTGCTTTTTTACCCACAATTTTGTGAATAATTTATCATTAATTCAATTTTAGTTAAAATTTTACAGGCTGAGGCTCAAAGAACTTTTAGGAAGTTGCCTTAGCTTTCAGAATGTGTAAGTTGTAGAGCCTTAATTTGATCTCAGGTCTTTCGCAAGCACACTCACTCTTAACTCACCCGGAGTGAGTCAAGGCTGCTTATCTCCATCTCTTCCCAGCAATCACCAGCACGACTTAGGAAGAAAAATCTGAATTAAAACTTCAAATCTTGACACATACAATATTTTTTAATATCATTGGCAGTTTTTCCCCTAATTTAGAAAACTGAAACAGGCTCAGACTTGTTGAGTGAGAATTCAACAGCTTATTATTTCTTTGAGGCTATTTTCTTCCTAAAATTTCTGTCACTGTAGGAACTGAGCAGCCTCACAAAATGCTGACATTAAACAAAGAGAGCCAATTTTCAAAGAGAGCTGTTGAAGTATTCTGAGGTAGGACTTTCCTATCAGTTAAAGTCTAGAAGTTATTTTCAATTCATAGAATTTAGTTCGAAGGAAAGAAATGTGCACTACTTAATACTAAGGGTAAGGGCAAATAAAAACATGATCTCATCAAAATTCTGAATAAGATAAACCTTCCACTACATTTTCTTCTATTAACTTCAAAATTATTTTTTCTGCTTTCATTTTTTTCTCTTCCTTTTAAACACCTCGGTTTCAGTGCTTAAAGTGATATAACATTTAACATGATTGATACAGTGTCCAGCATAAAGTAAATTATCAATAAATATCACCTATTATTATTTTATTAGCCCTCATTGAAGGATATATTATCTCTGCTAAAAGCCAACTCTCTTAGAATTTTGATTAATAGTATATTAGTTCAATCATAGTGGTGTCATAATAAATAAAAAGAAGAGAACGTAACAGGAGAGAATAAAACTTGATTTAAGCCAAAACTATTCTGAAGTTATTTATATAACCAATATTTTATAATGGTATAAAATATTGGTATAATATTGGTTTATGCCATTATAAAATATTGGTTATATAAAGAGTCACTTTCACTTATGGGTCAGGCTGATTGGATATTAATAAGCAATTAATTTCCTGTAATTTGGTTCATTAATCCACAAATGACAGTGATATTTTTAGAATGACATTGTCTTAAAAATAGATCCATCACGTTCATTTGAAAAGGAGAAAGGAAGGAAGGAAGACAGGGAGGGAAGGAAGGAGAGAAGGAGGAAGGAAGGGATGTAGGGAAGGAAAGAGCAAGGGAAGGAGAGAAAGAAGGAGGGAGAAATAGAAGTTCATACTCCAGAATGTATCTTAGGGGACTCCTCTTGCTTTCCTAGGCTAATTCTGTTTGCTATAGTTTTGTCTTAAATTTGTATGTTTATAGTCTTCTGAAGAAGATTTGGATGATTAGCTATAGATTTAAATTCTACATGTCCTTTTCTCTACCTCAATTAATCCAGAGCTCCACCACAGAAAATCAACAATTGATTATTTATAATTGTTATAATATAAAATAGTATGTGTCATAATCTTGTATCAGGTAAAGTCAGCATATTAAAGTGGTAATCTATATATTTCAAAAGTGACTGGAAGCAGTTAAGATAACTATTTGAAGCCCAGCTAGTACCAGACTTTTTAAAAAGGAAGGGGTTAGTCAAGTTTTACTCCCATATAGCCTTAGTCTCATTTCATGATTTAATTTTGTAGAGGGAAACTTAGCTATTGTTTACCTATGTCAACCTCAAAAGTTTGGGGAAATTTGAATGCAGACAAAGATCAGTGATTAGACAATAGAAACAATTGAAATTGCAACTAAGCTGGCACGGCGGCTTATGCCTGTAGTCCCAGCACTTTGGGAGGCCGAGTTTGAGTGGATCACCTGAGGTCAGGAGTTCGAGACCAGCCTGGACAACATGGTGAAACTCCATCTCTACTAAAAATATAAAAATTAGCCAGGCGTGGTGGTGGGCACCTGTAATCCCAGCTACTTGGGAGGCTGAGGCAGGAGAATTGCTTGAACCCGGGAGGCAGAGGTTGCAGTGAGCTAAGGTTGCACCACTGTACTCCAGCCTGGGTGACAGAGTGAGATTCAACCACACACACACACACACACACACAAAATTAAATTGCAACTAAAAGTAAATATATGTAGTTCTACAGATACACAGTGGCTATAAACGTGAAATAATCACTCTTTTAATCACTCTTTTAAGTATCTTCCAAGATGTATAAAACAAAAGACAAAAACAAGACTGTGTTGCTTAAACATTTTCCGAAAACTGAATACAGGAAAAAAAACATTAATTGAAAATATGCGCTAATGTTTACAAAACTGAGAAACTGGGACTGCTTAGGATTTTTGTACCTTTCATCACTGGTGGCATGATTCTTTATCCCATAAATCGTCCTACCTCCAAATGATATGTGCCTCATGGTCTTTCTTTTGTTATCACTTCCCTCCTACCTAGGTAGTTAGCACAACTTCAAATACCAATTCACTCTGTCCTTGAAGAATTTCTCCTACTTGCTGTGCTTATAAAAAGTCATTATGGAACACTTTGGAGTAATCCCAAGTTTTAGACATAATGAGAGAGAACAGGTGCACAGAGAATGAGAAGAATTTATTATGCACATTATTGGATTTTTTTTTGATAGAGTGAGTCTAATTGGTTAGATCCATCAAAATAAAGCCCAGTATCATATTAGATGACTTATCTCTACATATTTTAAAAGGTGAAAAAAGGAGTGTGGATGAGTGAGTTGTGCAAAAGTCTAGCAGTGTAATGTCTGTGAGGTGTTACCTCTGTATTTACTAATTAGTCTTGTGACTTTGGAACGTGACAGTATTTCTGCCTCTATTTTTCTTAATGTGCTTGTTAAAAAGAAGGGATATGTGGTGAATTAAAATGGGTAAAAATACAAATTCAAAATATAAGTTTTAATCAAAGTGATATGATTAAATAAACAATGATTAAGCACAGTTTTTCCTATGTGGAAATATACTGCTGTAAATTATGCATATATGGGAAACCTGAGGAATTTCTATTTCTTTTATAATCTCAAATATTATGTTAAGTGTTACATAAATATGTATACCATAGAAATACAAAATTTCAAATGCAATATATCAGAAATAATATAAAGGTATTTTTTGGCCATCTGCAACTCAGTTATGTATTCATCTTATGAAATAACCTAAAAGTATAAAACCATTTCATGAATAAAAATTTAGATATGCAGAGCTATTGAAATTACTAAAATATTCAGAATTCATTTTGATTTCCCTTGAAGGTACACATATAATTTTATAATAAAATTGCTTTTGACTACCTAAAGATGATGTTTTCATGCAGAAAATTTCTTCTGTTAGAAAAATTAATGTTAATGAGTTTATTTTGAAAATGCTTAAATGTTTGGTTATTAAGTAGACTTTTGGATGTAATTTTCAGAAAAAAGAATAGTGCATAGTGACCTCCTTGAATACATAAACCTTTTGGCATTAGTTGTTTTGATTATTTATTATTGTAATAATTTTGTTCTCTCATCCATAAAGCCTAAGCAAAAATACAAAACGTTTTTACTTTTAAATAGTATTTTATATATACATACACAACAACAACAAAACAGCAGAAACAAACTTAGAGTGTAAAAGTTAGATATACCTGAAGGAGCCCAGTGGCAAAAGCCAGGCATTTGTAGATATCAACTGGTTCAGGTCCTGGCTGTGCACATATTTGATGTATGATCTTGGGCCTCTTGCAAAAACTGTCTATGCTTCACTGTTTTTTCTAACATAAAAACATTGGAGGAAAAATGTAATATTGATAATGCTTTCCTCATAGGGTTATTGTAAGTCTTAAATAATATAATCCATAAATGTGAAACACAGTGCCTGGGACACAGTAATCATTTAAAAAGTATTGTTATTATTATTAGCCATTACATTTTACATACTCTCTTCATATTATTTGTCCAACAACTTTTTTACAAATAAGCAGCATTTCTTATTTTTATACATACAATCATTGGACACCATGAAAATTAAAATACTTGCTCAATTAAAATAATATAAAGTTCCATAACTGAAGCCAGAATTTCAGATTGAAATATTTAAGAAATTTTCTAATTATTGTTACTTTATTTATTCATCCATCCATTTATCTGGTCATTCATTTAAAAGAATATTTAAATGAATATTTTTGAGCAAATAATACTTCATTCTGTGTACTCTGATATGCTCTAGGAATAAAATGGATAAAATGTCTGCTTAGAAGCAATGGAGGGTAAGAAGGAAGGAAAGAAGGCAATAAACCCATAATGTAAATGGGAAGTAAATGACAGGGGAAAAATGAAAAAGGGTCTTAGTGGGGTTAGCAAAACAAATCTAAGGAATTAGAAAAAGCAATCCCAGGAATAAAATTTAAGCTGAGATTTGATGAAGTTTACCATTAGAAGTAGTAGTACTAGGCCGGCGTGGTGGCTCACGCCTGTAATCCCAGCACTTTGGGAGGCTGAGATGGGTGCATTACCTGAGGTCAGGCATTCGAGACCAGCCTGGCCAACATGGCAAAACCCCATCTCTACTAAAAAAATACAAAAAAAATTACCCAGGCATGGTGGCATGTGCCCGTAGCACCAGCTATTCAGGAGGCTGAGGCAGGAGAATTGCTTGAATCCGGGAGGTGGAGGTTGCAGTGAGCTGAGATTGTGCCATTGCACTCCAGCCTGGGCAACAAGAGCAAAACTCTGTCACACACACACACACACACACACACACACACACACACACAAAACAAACAAACAAAAACAACAACAACAAAAAACAAAGTGGTAGTATTAGTAATAATACTACCGTAAAATGAAGTTTTTGAAAACTTCCCACACTCCAGTATCTATGCTAGTAAGAAGCTGAATGGAGATTTAAACCAACACATTTTCAATAATATTCCTCCAGCAATGGGAGACAGAAGTAGAACAAAGAATCCCATGAGTTCCAGGCAGAGGAAAAGATATGTAAGAGATAAGGAAGGGGCTAGTTTGTTTAGTACCCTCTGAACCAGGTTAAGAAGTTTGAGTCTAATCTATGAGTGAGAACATGCGGTGTTTGGTTTTTTGTCCTTGCAATAGTTTGCTGAGAATGATGGTTTCCAGCTTCATCCATGTCCCTACAAAGGACATTAACTCATCATTTTTTATGGCTGCATAGTATTCCATGGTGTATATGTGCCACATTTTCTTAATCCAGTCTATGCTTGTTGGACATTTGGGTTGGTTCCAAGTCTTTGCTATTGTGAGTAGTGCCACAATAAACATACGTGTGCATGTGTCTTTATAGCAGCGTGATTTATATTCCTTTGGGTATATACCCAGTAATGAACAATGAGAACACTTGGACACAGGAAAGCGAACATCGCACACCAGGGCCTGTTGTGGGGAGGGAGGAGGGGAGAGGGGGGAGGGATAGCATTAGGAGATATACCTAATGTAAATGACGAGTTAATGAGTGCAGCACACCAACATGGCACATGAATACAGATGTAACAAACCTGCACGTTGTGCACATGTACCCTAGAACTTAAACTATAATTAAAAAATATATATATAAAGAAGTTTGAGTCTAACCTAAGGAGTATGGAAAGACAAAGTAGAATTTAAAGTGCAGGAATAATGATCTGGTTTGGAGTTTTGGAATGTCACACAGATTCCAAGGAAAAGAGACAAGTGGTGGACTATATAGAATTTGAGGTGAGGTATGATTGGATAGCACTTACTGATACTGAGATGAGATAGATTCTGGCAATGGTGGTAGAACTGGTTAATATTAATATTCCACAAAGAAACATAGAATCAATGTGATTCTGGAGTCAGGGATGACTCCTGGTTTAGATGTGAATAAGAACAGCACGATGCTTGAGCAAAATGCAGAGATAAAGGATTTAATTTTAAATACATTGAATTAAACATACATTTAAGCTCAGTAAGGTATTTGCTATTATTATGTTTACATTTATGATGATGGTGACGATGATGGTGCTGGTGATGATGACAACATTTATTTGGAGCAAACCCTGTGCCAGGAACTGTTCTTCACATGCAGCAAGTCATCTAGATTCCCCATTGAGTAAAATAAACATGTTAAAAACATTATAATGGATATAACTCATAATACAGTGATTAGTCAGCCAATCAGCAAATGTTAAAGATAGATTTCTTAACACCAAGATAGTTCTGTGTTGAAGATGAAAGACGGTAGGAGCTTAAACTAGGCAATTAAACTTATATGGTGAGGAGAAAACACAAAACAAAACAAAAAACAGCTGGGTGCAGTGGCTTGTACCTGTAATCCCAGCTACTCAGGAGGCTGAGATGGATGAATTGCTTGAAGCCAGGAGTTCAAGACCAGCCAGGGTGACAGAGCAAGACCTTGTCTCTAAAAAGAATAAATAAATAAATAAATAAATAAATAAATAAATAAATAAAATGGACTATAGCAGAAGCTAGCAACACCAATATTTATGGGAAGAATCCAGAAAGAAGCTTATGAGCATGAGATTGAGAAGCTGTATCCAAAGAGCATTTTAAAGTTACTGAGTAAGCAACACTGTCAAATGTGTTTAAACATAAAGTTTTAAATGTTTTCCATTGGGGAGAACAACGGGTTACTTTCTAAAGACTTCTTGTAGTTGAGAGAGAAATATAATAAAAGTAAGTTTAAACACTGATTCAAAAATTTAACTTTGAAGAGAAAGTAATAAATCAGTATCTAGAAACCAAAATAGGGGTTCAAAAAGTTTATTTTTAGATGAGAAAAAAATTGAGCATATTTATTAGGTTGGTGCAAAAGCAATTGCAATTTTTGCCATTAAAAGTAATGGCATGCTGGCCGGGCACGGTGTCTCACGCCTGTAATCCCAGCACTTTGGGAGGCTGAGGCTGGCAGATCACGAGGTCAGGATATTGAGACCATCCTGGCTAACACAGTGAAACCCCATCTCCACTAAAAATACAAAAAATTAGCCAGGTGTGGTGGCAGGCGCCTGTAGTCCCAGCTACTAGAGTGGCATGAACTCGGAAGGCGGACCTTGCAGTGAGCCGAGATTGCACCACTGCACTCCAGCCTGGGCGACAGAGCTAGACTCCATCTCAAAAAAAAAAAAAAAAAAAAAAAAAAAAAAGAAAGTAATGGCATGCTACTGGGAAAAAGCGGAGAAGGAGCAGATACCAAACAGTTGCTGTTTTACAGTGTATTGCATTGTTATAGAGGAATGCCTCAGGCTGAGCAGTTTATAAAGAGAAGAGATTTACTTTGGCTCATCGTTCTGCAGACTGTAAAAGAAACATAGCGTCAGCATCTACTTCTGGTGAGAACCTCAGGAAGCTTAAAATCATGGCAGACAGTGGAATGCGGAACAGCCATGTCACGTGGCAGGAGAAGGAGCAAGGGAGAGAAGAAGGAGGTCCCAATCTTTTTTTAACAACCAGCTCTCACATGAACTTATCACTGGAGAGCACCAAACCATTCATAAGGGATCTGTCCCAATGACACAAACATCTCCCATTAGGCCCCACATTCAACATTGGGAATCACATATCAACATGCAATTTGGAGTGGGCAAACATCCAAACTATATAACTTGTTACTTTCTAAGACAAGATCTCTGAATTGCATGGTTAGGGAGTGGTATTCACTAAGGCAGTCGTTCTCAACTTAAGATGATTTGGCCTCATGTCTGAAAACGTTTGTCACAGCTAGGGGTGGCCGTTTGCCACTGGCATTTAGTGGTCAAAGGGTTGCTGCTAAACAATGTAAAGTGAACCCGTTAAAAAAATGCCAATAGCATCAAGGTAGAGAACCTGTACAGTAAAGGCACAGGTAGAGCCTTATAAAAGAGGAGGAGCTATTGTCCCAGGACAGAGAAGATGCGATGCTGCCTCATTTGAAGACAAAAGAATTGTTGAGGACATCTAATGACATTAATTGTAAAAATACAGACAACAGCAAATAGCTTTTAAAGAGAGTACAGAAGTAGAAGGTTAAGGAAGTGGTCCTGAATGCCACTTAGGGTTGTTAATCTGATGTTTACTGGCAGTGGTCTTAAAGTTATATATATATATATATATACACATACATACATACATACACATACATACATATATATACACACACACACATATATATACACACACATATATATGTACACATACACACACACACACACACACATATATATATACACATAAATTCAAAACCATTTAGCAATCCTGATACGTGATTTGGAAGGCTGGTAGATGGGGTTAAAATTGAATATTTTATGAAGAAATGAAATAGAAGCCGAAAAGAATGAGAGTAGGATAATCATATTGTAAAAGTTAAGCCATGAAGAATTAAGAAGAGGGAATAGCTGAAAGTTGGAAAGTCAATACTCTGGACATTATTGAACTGGTATATTGGGATTAATTGGTATTGCTATTATTTAAATGTTATTAGCCTATTGATAACCATTCATCAGATTATTACATAAATCCACATGAAGTTTTAAATTAAATGATTTATCAATTATTTGACTCATTTTGAACATTCAAATATCATTTTCTCACTCGTGAAAAGTGCAGAATTATGTAATTTAATAATACTGAAATAAATGAAATTAAGTTTGGAAAACATTATAGTTTTTAACATACATATCACAAAAATCATCTAAATGTATTTTGAGTGCTTACATTACATATTTAGGCTTATCAAAAAAAGTTAAATAATGGAAAGAAAAGAACAAAGATGAAATTCAGAGAACAGGGGAGTTTTGTCTTCTTTTGGGTTGCTTTAATTATAATTTAATATCTTTACAAAGGTAATTTGAAAAAATTGGGATTGTCAGGTAGAGGGAGAGTATTGAAGTATGATAAACACCATGTTCAAGTGTTCTGTTAGAATGTCCTTCAAAGTCTTTTTTTTTCTTTTGAAGCTTGAGTATCACATATTTTCATTCCAGAAATACATATTTACTTGCTAGGTCTTTGATGTGTATCACTGAAGTGGGGAAAATAATCCCCCTTACCCCAAAGGATGTTACATTCTTGCCAAGGCCACATATAATAAACAGATATGCAATTGTGTACATAATATGATATTAAATATGATCAATAATATTAAGGAATATAAAGCACACTAAGGAGACAGATAATAGAGTGGGACCTGCTGTTTTATGACGGATGGTCAGAGAAGGACTTTGATGAGGAACTTGATTCCTCTGTTTTGATGATGGGAAATAAGAAACTGCCTATAGGTTCATGACAGTCCCTTTTAACTTTCTTCTATAAAGCTACAAAGTTTTTCTGTTTATCTAGGGCCACAACTTGATAGTGTCTTTTTTTTTAAATATTAAAATACTTGTCCAGGTATGGTGACTCATGCCTGTAATCCTAGCATTTTGGGAGACTGAGATGGGTGGATCACTTGAGCTCAGGAGTTTGAAACTAGCCTGGTCAACACGGCAAAACCCCATCTTTACCAAAAATACAAAAATCAGCTGGGCATGGTGGTGTGCACTTGTGGTCCCAGCTACTTGGGAGGCTGAAGTGGGAGGCTGGCTTAAGCCTGGGAGGTGGAGCTTGCAGTGAGCTGAGATGGCACCACTATACTCCAGACTGGCTGACCGAGTGAGATCCCATCTCAAAATAAAAAAGCCTCTAACTTCATTAATATTAAATCAGAGATATGCAATTATTTAATTGCCACCATTTGATTTTAAAATTTAGATTACTCTAAGCCAATAGAAGATATTGAAAAATAAATGTATTTAAATTAATATTGTAAAATATGAGATTTGGCAGATAATCTGATGATGGTGCTAGCAGGTGGTGACATAAATGAATTCTCCTTGCAGAAAAGTACATTCTTAACTACCATTTGCCCTTAGAATTCCAATATACTATGAAAAGTGAGAATAACCCTCTTTGGACAAAGAAAATGGTTCTTACATAATTCTTCATCTTCAGAAATGGCATCTGTATTTGGAGTTATTATGTAAGCAATATGAATACATAAATAAACTTTAGAAATTATGATATACATTTTCAAAAATAATGTACAACATATAATAAAAACATTTTTCTCTTCTCAGTTAATTAAGTTTGTAGCCAAAGCGAATACACATTTTTTCCTGTAACAGAATAAAATGAAAAGACTAAGAGAATGCACAGAATACCATACAATGGACTAGTATAAGAGTTATCTCTGGGTAAGTAGGGTTAACTTTGTATGGGAGGTATAACAGCAAAACCACTGTGTTGCTCATTTATGAATTAAAAAAATATAGAATGCCTTCTATGTGCAAAGCATGGTAAGAGTTACTACTTATACATTGGCGTATATATAGTCCTTATTTTCATACATTTTATATATTTCTTTTTTTTTGAGATGAAGTTTCGCTCTTGTTGCCCAGGCTGGAGTGCAACGGCATGATCTTGGCTCACTGCAACCTCTGCCTCCTGGGTTGAAGCGATTCTCCTGCCTCAGCCTCATGAGTAGCTGGGATTACAGGCATGCGCCACCACGCCCAGCTAATTTTGTATTTTTAGTAGAGGCGGGGCTTCTCCATGTTGTTCAGGCTGGTCTTGAACTCAGGTCGTCAGGTGATCCGCCCACCATGGCCTCCCAAAGTGCTGGGATTACAGGCATGAGCCACCACACCCAGCCAATTTTATGTATTTCCAAGTGCAAAAGAAAAATACGAAGATAATTTAAACTAGTACGTGAACAGCTTTAGTTTATATTTTAAAATATATGTTACCTCTAATATGGTTAAACTGATGTGTATGTGTGTGTTTCTAGAAGTTAGATATAAGATGGTTAATACAAGCTAGAAATGATACTGCCCTGGATGTTCGTAGTAGTAGTAGAAATGGAAGGTAGTACAAGGATTGCAAAGATATTTTTGAAGACTTGTTCATAGAAGTAATGAGACTCAGAGATAACGAGGAATCAGAGATGAGTTCTAGGTTTCAGGTTTGAGCACATGATATATGGTTATGCATTTAATTAAATAGGGAATAAAAGGGAAATGGAAAAATTTCTGCGATGAGGACAAGTGTCGTTTTAGTTTTGAAATACTGTATGTTTATTCATAGTGACAGAAAGGAATGGGCTGAAGGACTTGGAGTAGGCAGTGGAATCTCATGGGCAAGGAACTCCAGAGGTGCAAAGGCTGGACACACAGAAGCTCACTGATACGTGACTGAGTTTTAGCCATTTTGCTTCCAGGGTAGTCTGTGTAATCCTTCAAGGGCAAAATGCTCATTTCTAAGGACCAACCAAACCAAATTCATCAAGCCTCCCAAGGTTATCCAATAAAAGTTTGTTAGTTAGGGACAGGAACAGCTAGCTGCCCTTAAGCACTTAATCGCCTTGGAACTAACTGTGAGTTGTGCTGTGAAAAAAGTTTTTAAAGAGTCCATTGCTAAAAAACCTTTTTTTCCAAAACATTGAAATCTGAATTTACAGTAATGTAAATAGTAAAACTTTGATGTCAGACTTGCCATTTTCACTACTCTTCAACAAGTTCAGGCTTCAGTAGTTAGTTCAGAATGCACTTTTACAAGAATTACCTTCCAAAGTCAAAAGAATACAAATAGTTTAAAGGGGTTTATTCCTCGAGAATATTTTTATTCTTATGCGCATTTGTTTCAAGTTTTAACTTGTATGAACCTCTCATAAAACAACTGGTTTTTATGAATACACTGATAAGGACAGCTCATTCCTGTTCTTGCCACAGCAAAAATTCAGCCGCTCAAGGCTCCTGCTGGCTGCAACAAAGATTGAACATCCACTTTAAATGCCCTTACATTTTTATCCATTAATTTATATTTTCTTATCTCAAAGATTTTTCCGAGGGAGTCTTTCTTGTCTATGTGGGCAAAAGTGAACAATCATATAGCTATCAAAGACCACCATTCTTCATCTTTCTGAATTGTCTATTTTACCAGAATAAAAATTTATTTGATAATAGAACCTGCCTCTGCAAAGCATGATTTCACAACGCTGTTAAGTGTACCTTTAAAAGTAAGGAAGCTCCCCAAATTACAACTAAATGATCAAACAGAAAGACAATACAACAAAATACGATAATAATCTTTTTTCTTCAATACAATTTTACACAGCCAAACAATTGGTAGGACATGGTTTGAATCTCTATGAGGATTCATAGCCAGGTTCCACTATTAATATGAAGTAGAAAAAAAATAAAATGAAATTATTCCTATTATCTTCTTTCATAAAACAGTAATTCATTTAAAAAGCCTCATGTATATTATGTGCTCTCCAAATATGTTCTTCATTTTAGCTATGAGATTGTCCATTTCCCAGCTGAAAAATACAGATTCTGATGTTAAACCTTGCCATGTCCCTAAAAACTCTATTGGCTTTGTAGTTTAGAGTAACTCCAGGTGAACTAGATTGCTGGACATGTTACAAATAATATTGCTTTTATACGTTTGATTTAATGTTGAGTATGCCTACTAAGTGGGGAGGCATAAAGGAAATCCTAAGAAAAATTTATATGAATGAGTGTATTTTTATTTCGACTTTGCAAAATTGCCTTAGATTATAAGTTTCTTACACATTTTATTTCATGATTTATTTGTGGCAGTCAGCATACATAGGGAT
The DNA here is from genome assembly GCF_000001405.40 of Homo sapiens. Taxonomy (NCBI): domain Eukaryota; kingdom Metazoa; phylum Chordata; class Mammalia; order Primates; family Hominidae; genus Homo; species Homo sapiens. The sequence goes on along the minus strand of NC_000004.12, from coordinate 32,149,082 downwards.
TTGACCAGTATTAGGGAGAATAATGATGAAGACTTACTTTCAGTTAATAAATACTTGAGTAGCTAAATGCGTGAGGCGGAGTAACACCAATCTGATAAATGTGATATTTTAGTAAAGACAGAAAAGAAAATCTACTATAAATTATGTATCATATATCTGTTTTTGTTTTGAAATTAAATCTCATTTTAAACAAAAAATAATCACTCTAATTTGGCAAGGTTATATTGAATTATTAAAAAATCTGTACTTATGAGTATATATTAAATTATTTTTTACTATATATAAATATATATTATATTATATATTAACATATTATATATAAACATATATTAATATATTATATATATTAAAAATATATACTTATGAGTGAGATAGATTTTCAGATGTCTATGTGATTTTTTTGTAGATAACAAACTATTTGGAGAAGATGACTTAAATTATTCAGGCAACACATCTTGGTTATGTACATTATTTGATTTATCAAATAATTATCAATAGTTAAATTTGTGCTATATAGAACTGATGTTAGACCGACAGGTTAAAGTAATATTCATGCCCAATAAAATACTCCTGAACTAAGTATGCTATAATGATATGAAAGATGACTTGGCAGATTTTTAGACACAGTAGGTTTCATTTGGCAAAGGAATATTCTAAGAATGTTTTTCCCCACTCCCAATAGCTCTACCAAGTCCGCTCATTTCAATTCTGAGAGTTTCAAAGTTGAGTTTAAAAAAAAGACCTACTTGGCAGCTGTTGCTATTACTCTGTCAAATAACTCACCCATTGTCTAGCTCTCAGTGGTGGTTATGTGGGAGGTCCCATAGTTTCTTTCCAGCTGTTACTTAGTCTTGGATAATGTTTTTGGTTCTGTGCAAATCCCAGCATGCAGACTGCTCCTTATAGCCTCAATAAAATTCCATTTAAGCCAAATGAATTAAAAGTTGGTATAAACAAAGTTTAGAAAAAAATAATTAAGAACTCTCTCTGAACTGGCTCATGACTTGGAAGTTTCATCTTAAATAAACCTGTCACCTTGCAGGATAAAATACCACAGGCAGATTTGCAGTAGCCTGATCCTACCTTTTGCTTTTCTGAGCAAACTCTTAAAAGAGTTAGAAGAGCTTCTACAGAAATATCTGGAGCTTAAGAGTTGGCAGCATCTGTTCAGTATGATAACAGTAGCAGTCTTCTTGGCGGCAGCCTAAACCCTAAAATCCCCAAATATACCCAAGACTGAGAATCAGAGAAAAAAGGTTGCATTAAACCATAGTTTTCAAACCTTCCGAAGGTAATCACATCTGAAAAAGAGCTGTACCCAACTCTCCCTCCTCTGTCTCTCTCTCTCTCCCCCCCCACCAACACACACACACCCCATAAAACTTACGCACACACAGTAGAGGGAAAATGAGCTGGTATAGGACAGTCAAATGCAAAGTGAAAATGAAAATAGAGTGTGGTTTTGGAAACTGACTAAACGAGACCCAGTGGTTATTTACTGAATTAATCAATGAAATGACTTTTGGATATTCAAACCAATATTGGATGAGTAATATGCTTATAAATATATATTGCATTGAAACTTTAACTTTCAGCGACTTTCCCTATTCCTATATTAATATACCTAATTTTTGTTCTCCCTTACCTGTGCTGCTAATTATCCAGCCAGATAGCCTGGGCTTTAATCTCAGCTGTGTTCCTTATTTGCTGCCTCATTCTCTCACATGTAAAATGAAGATAAGCTAAATAGCCATCTCCTTGGTTAAAACAGTGCTAAGCGCATCATAAAGACATGTAAGTGCTTTTTATTATTATTCCGCAATCATTTTTACTAGAAATTTCTGTTGTTCACTGATGTCCTATGCTTAGACGAAAACATCAGCAAATGAGCTGCAACTGGTCAAGTACAGACACATCCTGTTGTTTCCTTCTAAAATGATGCTTTTGTTCAAATAAATTAATTGACCTATTAAAATGGAAACATTTAAATCTTCCCCAAAAGACTAATGTTTTCTGGATGTTACACCTACATAAGCATTGACAAAAAACAAGGCTTTATTTCCTCTTTTTTTATTACAGCATTCATGAGTGACATACTAATGATTGTAAAGTTTTTAAAATGTAAAATAGGGAAACATCTTAAAATTTATCAAGCTCTAAGTACCAAGGTCATTGATTTCAAAGAAAAAAAAATGTCTTCTCAGAATAAGAGATTAAAAATTACTCTAGGGCCAACATATATAGAATTTAAAAAATAATTTACTATTCATGGCTTTGGGCTATTTTTAAAGTTTTTTTTTATTTTTTTCATTGTTCTATCTATTGTACTATTTAGAAACTGTTGGATGGCTCAGAAAAGGCCAGTTTCCTAAAAAGGAGGCCGATTGTATTTAATCAATATTTTAGTTATTCTCAGTCAACTGTATTTTTCAATTGCCTTAGTTACACCACAAATTGACATACAAAGACTATACAATATCTAGGATTAAGGAAACAGACATAGCAAAATTATATTTCAAGAAATATTTTCTAAAACAGAGGATATAAAGAACATAAATACATTGAAAAAAAATCCCCACATTAAAGTGGACTCTATTGGTTATCTTTGTCTAATTTGTTTCATAGGATGTGATTTAGGGTTTGAAATGTGAGGAAAGGATAATGACCATAATTTATATCATTGTTGCTAGTATTAAAATAGCAATATTTATTATTGATATGACTGGTTGGGACTAAAGCCAGCTGTCCGATCCTAAGGACCCAGGGAGAAGTGTTCCTTCTCTGTGCTTTCTGGCCGGCATGGGGGAACATATACCTGCAGGAGAAGTTAGTTTCTGGTCTCCAGGGTCCACACAAAATTCTGCAGAGGGTTAGGTGGGTAGTCTGCCCTCTCCTGGCCTTCCAGGCTGCTGTTTCCTTGTCCGCAAGGCGACCATTTCCTGACACTTCCATTTAGGCTTCATATTCTTTGTTTCTTCCCTCAAGTTCACAAAAGCTTGATTTGATATGTTCCATTTGTAAGCAAAATATCTGCACGTTGGGAAAGAATACAGAGTAGCTTCAGCACTTTGAACCAATGAGGCTTGTGATAAAGCCTTCTTGATAGCATGACTATCTGTTTGCCTGCTTGAAAATGTTGTAGAACGAAAAATGCCTATTGGTTATATTTTGAGGCACCTTCATTCCTCAAGTGTGAATGAAAAATTGCATGGTTATGCTACCTGCTGGTTTCACATACCTTAGCCATTGTAATATGTTAGCTTTCTCATAACAATATCCTTTCTTCCAAGCAATGTTACATCAAGGAGTGCATATCCTCCTTGAGTTTCAAGGTACCTTTGCTTCTCTGTGTTGGACACTGGATAGTGCTAACCTTAACCTTTTTTTCCCATTCTATAATCTTCATTGGCCTTATAATATAGATCAAATTCTCTATTAATAAAGATGCCCTGTCATCAACTACATTCTACGGCTAGGAAACTTGGTTTTGTGCCTTCTATCTATATAGCTGTCTCAAATTCTCCACAGAAATAGAATTCTCAGGTAATTTCCTAGCCTAGAAACTGAGCATTCGTGCTAAAGTTTACTGAAGTCTTTTGGTGTGGCAAAAACAGTGGTGAGTTAAGAGAAAGTACAAGGTAATGTTTACATATATAAACATTTAGTAGTTCCACCTTATCAGTCATTTTGCTTGTTGCAGTTTCACTTACCCCAGGTCAACCTTGATTCAAAAATAGGTGAGTAAGGTATTATACAATGGGGTATTTTTAAAGGGAGAGAGAGAAGGAAAGACAATGTCCATGTAAATTTTTTTATAATATTTTGTTATAATTGTTCTGTTTTATTATTAACTACTGTTGTTAATCTCTTACTGTGCCTAATTTATAAATTAAACTTTACCATAGATATGTATGTATAGGAAAAACATAGTATATGTAAGGTCTAGGCATCTACTAGGAGTCTTTTTTTTAAAATTTTATTTAAGTTCCGGGATACATGTGCAGGATGTGCAGGTTTGTTACATAGGTAACAAACCTGTTTTGTTTGCTGCACCTATCAACCCATCACCTATGTATTAAGTACCAAATGCATTATCTATTTATCCCCCTGCCCCCCGAGAGGCCCTGGTGTGTGTTGTTCCCCACCCTGTGTCTATGTGTTCTCACTGTTCAACTCCCGCATATGAGTGAGAACATGTGGTGTTTGGTTTTCTGTTCCTGTGTTAGTTTGCTGAGGATAATGGTTTCCAACTTCATCCATGCCCCTGAAAAGGACATGACCTTTGTCCTTTCTATAGCTACATAGTGTTCATGGTGTATATGTACCACATTGTCTTTATCCAGTCTATCATTGATGGGCATTTGTATTGATTCCATGTCTTTGCTGTCATGAATAGTGCTGCAATAAACATACAGGTGCATGTATCTTTATAATAGAATGATTTATATTCCTTTAGGTATATACCCAGTAATGGGATATCTGGGTCTAATGGTATTTCTGGTTCTAGATCCTTGAGGAATTGCCGCACTGTCTTCCACAGTGGTTCAATTAATTTAGATTCCCACCAACAATGTAAAAGCATTCCTATTTCTACACAGCCTCGCCAGCATCTATTGTTTCTCGACTTCTTAATAATTGCCATTCTGACTGCTGTGAGATGATATCTCATTGTGATTTTAATTTGCATTTCTCTAATGATCAGTGATGTTGAGCTTTTCTTCATAGGTTTGTTGGCCTTATGAATGCCTTCTTTTGAGAAGTGTCTGTTCATGTTCTTTGCCCACTTTTTGATAGGGATTTTTTATGTAAATTTGTATGAGTTCCTTGTAGGTTCTGAATATTAGACCTTTGTCAGATGGATAGCTTGCAAAAATTTTCTCCCATTCTGTAGGTTGTTTATTTGTCCTGACGATAGTTTCTTTTGCTGTGCAGAAGCTCTTAATTAGATCTCATTTGTCAATTTTTGCTTTTGTTACAATTGCTTTGGTGATTTAGTCATAAAATCTCTGCCCATGCCTATGTCTTGAATGGTATTGCCTAGATTTCTTTCTAGGGTTTTTACGGTTTTGTGTTTTACATTTAAGCCTTTAATACATTTGAGCTAATTTTTATACAAGCTGTAAGGAAGGGGTCCAGTTTCAAATTAGGACTCAGGATTAAGAAACTCACAAAAAACTGCACAACTACATGGAAACTGAACAACCTGGTCCTTAATGACTACTAGGTAAATAACAGTAACCAAATCAGCATGGTACTGGTACCAAAACAGATATATAGACCAATGGAACAGAACAGACGCCTCAGAAATAACGCCACACATCTACAACCATCTGATCTTTGACAAACCTGAAAAAACAAGCAATGAGGAAAGGATTCCCTGTTTAATAAATGGTGTTGGAAAAACTGGCTAGCCATACGCAGAAAGCTGAAATTGGATCTCTTCCTTACATCTTATATAAAAATTAACTCAAGATGGATTAAAGACTTAAACATAAGACCTAAAACCAGAAAAACCCTAGAAGAAAACCTAGTCAGTACAATTCAGGACACAGGCATGGAAAAAGACTTAATGACTAAAACACCAAAAGCAATGGCAACAAAAGCCAAAATTGACAAATGGGATCTCATTAAACTAAAGAGCTTCTGCACAGCAAAGAAACTATCATCAGCATGAACAGGCAACCTACAGAACGGGAGAAAATTTTTGCAATCTATTCATCTGAAAAAGGGCTAATATCCAGAATCTACAAAGAACTTAAACAAATTTACAAGAAAAAAAAGAAACAGCACCTTCAAAATGTGGGCGATGGATATGAACAGACACTTCTCAAAAGAAGACGTTTATGCATCCAACAAACATGAAAAAAAAGCTCAACATCACTGGGCATTAGAGAAACGCAAATCAAATCCACAATGACATACCATCTCATGCCAGTTAGAATAGTGATCATTATAATGTCAGGAAACAACAGATGCTGGAGAGGATGTGGAGAAATAGGAACGCTTTTACACTGTTGGTGGGAGTGTAAATTAGTTCAACCATTGTGGAAGAAAGTGTGGGGATTCCTCAATGACCTAGAATGAGAAATACCATTTGACTCAATAATCCCATTACTGGGTATATACCCAAAGGATTATAAATCCCATGCACTTATGTTTATTATGGCACTGTTCACAACAACAAAGCTTTGGAAGCAACCCATATACACCATGGAATACTATGCAGCCATAAAAATGGATGAGTTCATGTCCTTTGCAGGGACCTGGATGAGGCTGGAAACCATCATTCTCAGCAAACTAACACAAGAACAGAAAACCAAACAACACATGTTCTTACTTATAGTGGAAGTTGAACAATGAGAACACATGGATACAGGGAGGGGAACATCACACACCAGGGCCTGTCAGGGAGTGTTGGGCTGGGGGAGGGATAGCATTAGGAGAAATACCTAATGTAGATGACAGGTTGATGGGTTCATGAATCCACCATGGGACATATACCTATGTAACGAACCTGCACATTCTGCACATGTAACCCACAACTTAAAGTACAATAATAAAAAAAAAAATCCTATAATGCTTACATTAAAAACAAGTTGAATTGTGTAGTTTTCAGAATGAGTTTTTAAATGTATTTCAGATAATGCATCATAAATATCTTTAAAACATTATTGGTTCAGGAAAGTTATGTAGCACCAAATTTATCCTGGCACCTATAATAAATTTTTAATGTACCAAATGTTGTTTTGAAGACTTATCTTATCTCTTGCATGAAGCATTTCCATTTTTCTCTGAGAGTTTGAAGAAGAGGAAGTGAAGTCACTAAACAGTTCTCCTGAGGTGGAATTTACTTCCTTACAAAAATAAGCCTAATTACTCCTTGAATACAAAATTTACTGAAGTAACAAGAAGATTCATATGAGTACTCTGATATGTGAAACAGAAAATATTCAAAGTCTTATTGTCAAGAGTCCATAATTAGAATTCTCTAGACTGAATAGTCATCCTTACTAGACATAAGGATAATTTACTCATACAAGAATTTGTCCATCATTTAAATATTTTGATAGCCATAGAGCACAAAATTATGTTCAGGCTAGCAAGTGAAGTTTTGCATTATCTCTTATGGGGGATTGGTCAGCGTGATGGAAGAAGCTGTAGGGAAAGAAGCAGACCTTTTGAAATGTCAGAAGGCTCTGCAAAACTTTGGAGGAGAATAAGCTGAAGGCAGCTGTTCTCTTACCCTGAAGCAGAGGGTGAGGAGTAGGTACAAGGAAATATAAGAGAGTTTATCTAAATAGGCTTGTTTACTTATGTTGTCCAGAAACCAACTTTTGATCATCCCATTCGAGACTGCTCCCACAAGGGGGAACAACAATGTTAATTACCCACAGATTGTGTTGGTTCCAGGCTTTTGGCATTAGGTCTGTACTGAATAAAAGCAAAGAGCTCCAGCTTATTGAGACTGCTCACTCTTCGGCCACCTACTGCCGGGCAGTCCCTTAACTGCTCTTTCACTGGATACCTGTGTCTGAGTACTCCTTTCATCCGTAGCCCGGCCAGGGTCTGCGGATGGACCCAGCAATCTCTGGCGAAGGCTGAAAAAAAGACTGAAGATGGCAATCTTAAGGTTGATTTTTAAAAAGCATCCACCTACTTGTTTTAGGAAAATTTTCCGATAAATGTTGGTAACAAAAATTAATATCATACATATTATCTGTACATATATGTAAGCATGTATCATGGAGACAATATTATGAAGAATTAAGGTGATAGTTTTCCATTCTTACAGCAAACCAGATCCATCTAAAGCCATTCAATAGCATAGCTACAGTAAGTCAAGGGCAAAAACTACTTCATGAAGTCGACAGAAATAATATAAGGAATACTCTCACCCAATTAGAAAGAAAATTAAAAAAAAAAACAAAACTATTTCTGTCTAAGAGACTGGAACACAGAAAGGAAAAGTGAAAGAATAAAGTAGTCAAACATGAGAGCTCTGGTTCCCTATCAAAACACACACACACATACACACACAGGACTGGGAGATTATACAGGAGATTGAAGGTGAAATTATTAAAAGGCATTTACTAATTGCCCTTTTAGCAGAGTCCATTGTCATGCACAGCTTCTCCAAAATAAGCAGGAAGTGATTAGTTACAGAAGGAGCCTCAGATATTGCTCACAAGCCTCCTGCAGTGACTATGTGGTGTAGTTAAAGTCTAGAAATTACAAATGTTTTGTGGCCAACACGAAACTTATCTGTGAGTCATTGCCTGGGGGGCTTACTTGGACAAGGGCTGAGAGAATTACCAGTAGCTTGAACAGCTTAAGGGCGGGACCAAGTACAGAATGAAGCTCAGACTCTGAAGAATTTGCACTACTAAGGTAGGACTGAGGCAACACATCTGTGCTCTAACTCAGCAATCCCCAACCTTTTTGGCACCAGGGACCAGCTTTGTGGAAGACAATTTTTCCATGGATGGGGTGAAGGGGATGGTTTCGGGATGATTGAGCTGCATTATATTTTGTGCACTTTATTTCTATTATTATTACATTGTAATATATAATGAAATAATTACTCAACTCAGCATGATGTAGAATCAGTGGGAGCCCTGAGCTTGTTTTCCTGCAAATAGTCCAATCTGGGGGTGATGGGAGACAATTATACCCAAAATGTGTTGCTTATGTTCAGTCTACTCTGTATCTCACTTCGATTGTGGTCACTGCAGAAAATCCTGCTTCACAAAGACAGAGTGCTGGAAATGGAAGCAGGGTCCTCAGTGCTTTTGTGGCAATCTCAGGATATTCTACCTTGATTTTAATCCAGAATATATGGAGATCTGAAGTTGTATCAAACATATTTTTAAGGCCACTGTCATTTGCGATATCAAGCAGTTGGTCCTCTTCTAGCATGGCCAAAGTTGATTCACCTGGCTTATTCACATGTAAGTCACAGATCCATTCTTTCCCAGTTTGGGGGTCTTTTGTGGTTAGGTCTTTTGGCAAAGTTGATAGGTGACTATGAACCAGTTGGGAGAAAGAAGGCCCTGGCTCAGTCTCTTTGAAAATCTCTGCTAATGTTTGATACATGTCAAAAATCCCAATATTCACTCATCACCCTGATAATTCCAGTTTGGCTTTGAATGGAGCCACATTATCTGCCAACTTGAACACAGTTGTCATTCTCTCCTGAAGTGACAGATTGAGTTCCTTGAATAGGGTGAATATGTCAAACAGGTAAGCAAGTTTTGCAGCGCACTCTGTGTCACTGAAATGTGCTGCAGTGGTGACTGTTTTTCTAAAAGAAATCTTTGGAGTGGCTCTCACAACTCAAAAATTCTGGGCAGTGGTCTACCTTTAGAAGGCCTGCCTGTAATCCCAGCACTTTGGGAGGCCAAAGCCGGTGGATCACCCAAGGTCAGTAGTTCGAGACCAGCCTGGCCAATATGGTGAAACCCATCTCTACTAAAAATACAAAAATGAGCTGGGTGTGGTGGCACATGCCTATAATCCCAGCTACCGGGAGGTTGAGGCAGGAGAATCTCTTGAACCTGGGAGGCAGAGGTTGCAATGAGCAGAGATTGTGCTACTGCACTCCAGCCTGGGTGATGGAGCAAAACTCCATCTCAACCAAAAAAAAAAAAAAAAAAAAAAAAAGAAAGAAAATAAAGTCATCTCAATTCTGTTTATAAGAGAAGACGTGTGCTCTGCATCTATCTCCTCACAGAGCTGCGTGAACAGACGTGAGTAAGGGCATGTACTTTAATGTGGTTGATCATTTTAATCACATCCTGAAACACGTTATTAAGTTCAGGTGACATTTTTTGGCTAGCCAGCACTTCTCTATGGATGACACACTGTGTAGACTCACATTCAGAAGCAACCTCTTTGATGCAAGTAATGAAACCAGAAAGCCATCCATAGCAGCCGCTTCATCCACGCATATGCCAACACAAAATGGTCAATTCAGTTTTCCTGATATGTAATTATTCAAATAATTGAATAGTTCCGCAGCTGTGGTGTTGATTGGCACCAAAAGTGTACATAACATATCCTCATCCTCCTGAGAAATATGTCACACAAAAACAAGCATTGTTGCCTTGTTGTCAACATCAGTAAACTCGTCAACCTGGATTGCGTACCACAGTGACTCATTAATCCTCTCTAACAATTGTGCCTCATTATCCTCTGCTATTTCATCGATTTGTCTAGTTATGGTGCTAGCTGAAAGAGGAACATGTGCCACCTTTAGAACTGCAGTCACTCCTAAAAGTTCACGGCAAACGTCCTTAGGAGCAGGTGGGGTTAACTCTTCACCAGTAGTAAAGGGCTTCTTAGCTTTAGCAATGTGGTTAGCCACTAAGAGTGATGCTCTTTCTGCAGATGCATTTGATGAAGTGGTGGTCTTCAATAATTGCAGTTTTTCTTTGTGTTCACATTTTTTTTTCTTTTGAAAAACTCCAAGGGCCTCTCTTTTAATACAGGGTGCTTAGACTCCATGTGGCAAAGCAATTTTGAAGGTTTCATGGCTTCCTTGGATAGCCAGTCACAACACAGAATACAAAGCAGAGAATGTGAATCACCTTTTGCAAATAACCCATATTTTAAGTAGGACTCTTGGAATTTTCTTTTAAATGTAGATATCTTTTTGTTGGCACTCTTAAAGTCCTCTGCTGCCTCATCATTGGATTTTTCTCTCTTTTCAAAGAAGCTCTCTGGTGACATTTGTTTTTTACTTATTCTGGCTAGGGTTAGCTTGAGGGCTTACCAATTCTATGACTGAGACAAGTGCACAGTGCAGGAATGAGGCACAGGTGAAAGTGGTAAATAAAATAATGGGTGGACCATGTGCAGACTAAAATAAGTATTGAATTCTGACTTAAAGCCTGCCACCAGAGGCAACTTGTCACTTGCAACTCAGTGATAGAATTTTGATATGAGTCTGCAAGCAATTGATTTATTATGGTCTCTGTATAGTCAAACCTCTCCGCCAATGCTAATCTGTATTTGCAGCCACCCCCCAGCATGAGCATCACCACCTCCGCTCCACCTCAGATCATCAAGCAGAAGATTCTCATAAGGAGTGGGCAACCTAGATCCCTCATATGAGAAGTACACAGTAGGGTTTGTACTCCTATGAGAATCTAATGCCACTGCTGATCTGAAAGGAGGCGGAGCTCAGATGGCAATGCAGCCAATGGGAAGTAGCTGTAAATACAGATGAAGCTTCCCTTAATGGCCCATTGCTTACCTCCTGGTGTGCGCCCTGGTTTCTAACACGCCATGGATTGGTACAACTTTATGGCCCAAGGGTTGGACACCCCTGCTATAACTAAGAATTACTCATCCATACTTCAATAGTGAACTGAGGCAGAGCAGTCAGTGGCTAGTTAGATTAAAGGCATCTCTCAGAGAGAAGGCCCAGAAGATGAAATATAGCCACTGTTCTCCTTGATGATAGAACTGTGACCCCTATCTCATGCCTACCAACCCAAGCCTTCATTTTCCCTGGGACATGAAGTCCCATTTACCCCTACATGAAATATAGGCCTATATTTTGTTCATTAACCTGTGTTCTTGTAACACTGCAGAAGTGTTATCTTGACTAGTAGGGAAGATGTGTTCTATAGGGTCATTCAGGCCCCTGGTTCTTCCATCTTTAGGCACCTCAATTCCCTAAACTGTCAGGATATCGTCTTTATCTACATATTTGAAACAAGGTTTCAAACCATTATGCTTTTTAGCTCAAAAGACGGGGAAAGAAGGGTTTGAAGTCCAACAATTTCCCTTAAAAAAAGGTGATACTGTAAGTTGCACACATCATTTTATGCATGCCGCATGGAGAAATATGGGATGCAAGCAGGCTATGGAATCTAGCTTCTAAGGTACGTTGCCATATTACCACATAATTCTATTACAATGGAAGAAAAAGAAAAAAGCAACCAATTTGAGTAAAAGTTGCTAGTCTACCATACGTAATTCTTGTCAAGAAGACTGAGTTTGTAAAGGATGAAGTTTCTACCACTACCACAGCAATTCTATATCCCTGCCTTTCTTCACTATCTAGCAAGATGATGGATTTACAGAACATTGCACTGGCTATATCAACTAAGAAAAAGCTACATTTCAGTTTCTGATTTTATTGAAATAATGAAAATCTGTGTCTATTACATATATATTCTATTAGACTGCATGTTTAAATTAATTGTGTTTCTTGGTGTATTATATTTCTTGAGACTATAATACCATTTCCATATCATGGTCTGAGATTCCTGCATGATTATTGGTGTGAACTGAATGTTTGTGACCCCTTCCAAATTCATATGTTGATGTGCTAATTTTCTGTGAGTTGGTATTTGGAGGTTGTGTTTTGGGGAGGTAATTAGGTTTAGATGAAATCATGAAGGAGGAGCCCTCATTATGAGATTAGTGCCTTTATAATAAAAGAAAGAGACCGTGCTTCCTTCTGTTTCCACTAGGTGTGTACACAACATGAAGGTGGCCATCTGCAAGCCAAAAAGAGAGCCTTTACCAGAACCTGACCATTGCTGGCACCCCAATCCTGGATGATCCAGCCTCTAGAACTATGAGAAATAAATTTCTGCTGTTCAAGCAACCCAGTCTAAGATATTTTTGTTGTAGCAGCCTGAACTGCCTAAAGAAACTGTGGTCTTGTAAATTTCTCCAACATCATCTCAAATCACTCTCCGAATTGCTCTTGTCCAGGCATGTAGGTCTCCCTGTGTTCCCAGAGCATGAGAATTCACTTCCTTCCCCAGAGGCTCTGAACTCTCTATCTCCTCTGTCTTAATCATACTCTAGTTCTTCACCTACCTGGCTCCTTCTCATCCTTCAGGTATCTTACATAGCACCTCCAGAATGAGCAACACATTTCATGACCATTCTGTCTAAAACCATACCTTTCCTGTTTACTCAGTTACCATAATTAATGATTTTATTTCCTTCACTAAACTTTTCACAATCTGTAACTGTTTTATTTTTAATTATTTAATAGGGCATTGCTTGTCTCCAACATATAAATATAAGTTTCATAACTGTGTAAGTATCTTCTGTGTCTTTGTCACCCTGCTATTCTTTCTGCCAATTACAGTGCATGACACAAAGTGTTATTTAAAAATATTTGTTGAATGAGTGAATTGTATGGATAAGCTCTTAGAAAAACAAATATACAGGTATGTGCATGTGTGTACTGTGAGTTAATCATACTATTTCTCAATAAGTAGACCAAAAGAATCTTATTTACAGAACTCTAAGGCATTTTTTCACAAGTATTGCTAACTTATGACTATAAAACACCATGTTGTTGCCCTTGAGTCATTATGCAATCCAGCTAAAAGTGGATTGCTCTAAACCAACAGTTTTACATTCTGTTCCATACTCAAAGAGAACATATGCCATAGTAACCCTGTCTTTAAGCAAATTTGTGTTGTTTTATATTAGTTCTTGGATTTTATTTTTATGTTTCTTTGAAGGAGTTCGAAGGAGCAAATTTCCATAAAGATGGGGCTTAAATTACTATAGCATCAGTAACTACTCTTCAGACTACATGATAAGCAGCATGATTGAGAAGAAATGTTATTATGTTGTCCTATAGAATAGTGTAATATAGTTTTTCTAATGAGTAGTCAGATTTCCTGCATGTTTAATGACCTCAGGCAAGTGAGGAAAACTCGCAAAGACTTCAGTTTCTTCATCTACAATAGTGAGAATAATGCAGCCCCAATATCTTAGAATTGGTGTGAAGAGCTTCAACTGACACTGTAAATGTTGCCTTGCTTAAACTTACTAAAAACTATATTAGCTAGAAATGATAATCTCCATTCTACGGATGAGAAAATTGAAGCTCATAAAGGTTAAATGCCCTACTGTCACATAGGTGGTGGAAAGCAAAACCAATTTGTTTTCAACATACTCACATTTTTGTGTCCCTAATTAGAATTCTTTATTTAATAATTATTTCATTTTAGATAATTTGGCAATAAGCACCATGGAATAAGTCTTTGAATTTTTTTTATCTTATTTGAAATTATTGGTGTGTTGGTAGTTAAGCCAGTGAGGATGAGGATAGGAGAAAATGAGAAAAGAAAGAGAGAAATGTGGGAGAAAGTCAGATAAGAATGTCTGAAGTGCTAATGATGTCGTATGTTTTAGCAAAATTAGACAAGTAAGTCGTCTCTGTTTCTTTTATTTCACTAAAATGCCCAAGTAATAGAACCTTAGTAATAATTTTTCATGTATTTTTAAGATACATGAAGAAGTCAGTGGAGTGTGTGAGAGAATATCTGCTGTATTATATTTACTTTTTGTTACAAATGAAAGATAGTATTTCAACTCCAATTATGCGGGATGGGAAAAAGCTTTGTCTATTCCACTCTCTTGCTTTCAAAAAAAATACTCTGGAGCAAAATTTGAGACTCTCATTCCTCTATAGTTTTCTATATCCATTTTTCTTTCATTCTTGCTATCTCACTAGAAGCCAAAAGTTACTAATTGAAAAGAATATAAAGTTTTGAGAGCATTAGAGGTGAAAGCTATTTCAATTACTATTTTTGCTGCTTTAACATACTTCCAGTTATGAATGAGTCTGTACGTTAATGTTGTTAAATAAAAAGTGTCTATTTCAGAAACATAATCAGCATATTTTACAAATAACAGACCCAGAGTACAATAGACATTTAAAGTAAATGTTAAGTTGATCCATAAAAAAAAAAATTTTTAGATTTTTCTCTTTATTAATATTCTCTCCCTTTGGCACTACTAGGGTGTTCTGTTCAATTTGAACATCATCATTTAAGATTTAATAATATCCACCCTTTATCGGTTTCTCCTCTCACACATGCGTATAAAAATAACTTACTCGTCTCTTGTCCTGCAACCGCTCTGGCTTAACTCCCTAACATCACTGTGCACGAGGATGCAAGATAGGTTCTTACAAGGTAACTGCTTCACCTTTTTCTGCCTCTCACCTCCAAAAGGGCACCAGAGGCAAATTGAACATTGAGTTATCAAAGATAAGTAATTTATTTTCCAAATAGTTCTCTATGGGAAGAGAGGAGCCTGCCTCTTACATTCATTTGAAGGGCTTATGGCTGTGTGATTCTCTTTCAGCACTCCCCACAGAGAAGCCCTGGGTAGCAGCTTATCTTCCCTGTCCTTGAGAGCAGCATCCAGTCAAGTTGGTTCAAAAGAAAACTACTCACATGCCTATTGTGCTGTTGAATTGCATAGAATTGGATCCTTAAACAATGTTAGTTGATTGCCTTTTGATGAATTTGTCTAAGTTCCTCACATTTTTTTGTCTCCTCATATAACTGGAAATATACATATATTTTGTTGCATATATATATATAATATATATATAAATTATATATAATATATATATATATAAAACCAAGGATCTTAAGGAATTGTTGTTTTTTTAAAAAAAAATCTTAAAAATTAGTAAGGTAGCAAAAAGAAAACCGAAGATTCTGAGACACACAAACAAACAAACAAACAACAATGCAGCTAGTCCATTGTTCTATTCCCCATGTCTGAAAGTGATCTATCTACAGGAAAATTACTCTGGTCATCATTTCAGTAAATGAGAAAGGAGCCATGGGAAAGAGGATTTACTCCACTGTGTTGCCATAGAATACAGCATAACCACCTACAATGAAACTTCAGCAGCTAAGACTGCTCGCACAACAATAACTTACAATGTGATTGCACAACTCACCAAAAATGTCCAAAACAACAGCACTAATAGCTGCTCCAGGCAATCAGCTCTAGAGAGGAATAACCAGTTATGTTTTTGTTTTTGCAGAGATGGCTTTGTTGCTTCCTTGAGGCTACATTTGTAAAAAATATTCTGACCACACTCCACCTATCTGAAATATGCCAGAACACCTGTCAATAAAGGGCAGAGTTTAAACTATGGTGATGTATATTGATTGAATATACAGCTTTGTTTCCGATTAGCTTGCTTCATTGGCCTAATTACTTTATCTTTCTAAGTCTGAATGTTATTTTTGTCACTTAAAAATAGATTTACCTTATAAAATTGGCATATTCTGGGGATTTCAAAAATGTCTTCACATAGAAATAATTTATAACCATTACTATGAGTTTCAATTTTTGAATCTTCTTGTTTTATTGATTATTACTTGTTGGAAATTTAATAACCATTCTTAAATTTACATTAGCCAAATTAAGCAATTAACTTTACTTTGAGAATGACCAACAATGAAAACATAACAAAACCAAACAAAAAACTAAACTGACAGTAGCTAGTAATAATAGGTTACACAAAATAGAAGTGTTTGTTTTTTCTTCTCATTCATAGAAATTTAATATAGAAAAAGAAAATTTAGGGCTAAAATTGCAGCTCCTAGAAGGCCAGGCCCTTTCTATATTGTTTGCTCTATTACCTTTAAAAAACATAATTTTAATAATAGTAATAGCAAATATGTTTTTACTATTTCCTATGGGCCATGAACATAGTAAACAGCTTTACTTATAGCTCACTTAACACTCAAAATAATCAGAATACTATTCCAATTTTACATATGGAGTTACTAAGACACAGATAACACATATGCAGTTGACCCTTGAACATCATGGGTTTGAAATGTGTCAGTCTACCCACAAATACATTATTAAAAATAAGTATATTGGAAAATGTGGGGGAGCATTTGTGACAATTTGAAAAGAAAACTTACCAAAAGTTAGGTATGTCATGAATGCATAAAGTATGTCTAGATAATAATTGATTTTACCATTTTGCTACCATGAAATTTACACAAATTTGCTACCATGAAATACACACAAATCTATTACAAAAAGTTAAAGTTATCAAAATTATGCACACACTTACAGACCATACATGGTGTCATTTGCAGTCAAGAGAAATGTAAATGAAA
This sequence comes from Homo sapiens, assembly GCF_000001405.40. Classification (NCBI taxonomy): domain Eukaryota; kingdom Metazoa; phylum Chordata; class Mammalia; order Primates; family Hominidae; genus Homo; species Homo sapiens. The sequence continues at coordinate 32,132,157 of NC_000004.12, read as the reverse complement.
GTAAAGATGCATAAAACATACCTGCATAAAATTAACTGTAGTGTGTACTGTTGTACTATAATAAATTCATAGCCACCTCCTGTTGCTATTGTGGTAAGCTCAAGTGTTAAATGTGCTTAAAACATCTGCCATGTGATCCTCATCATCTCTGTGTGAGCCATTCATCTCTTCATTAAATTGCGTATAGCAGTGAAAAGTGATATCTCATGGTTCTTGTGTATTTTTCATTGTATTTAGTATAATACTTTAAACCTTGAGTAATACCATGGGACCCATATGAAGTGTCACTAGTAATGCTGAAAGTGCTCCCAAGAATCAAAGTCATGACAGAACAAGAAAAGTTTGAATTGCCTTATATGTACCACAGATTGAGATCTTCAGCTGAGATTGCCCACAATTTCAAGATCAATGAAGCCAACACAAAGACCATTGTAAAAAGGAAAAGGAAATTTATGAAGCCTGTGCTGCAGCTACACCAGCATGTGTGAAAACCTTGCACATTTTGTGAAACACCTTTACATTTTGTATTGAAAATGCAGCTTTCATGTTGGTGAAGGATTGCTATAAGAAAGATGTACCTATTTTACTCTAACATGATTTGAGAAAAAGTAAAGTCATTATATGACAATTTAAAGCAAAAAGGAAGCTGGAGAAATTAATGCCAGCTAAGGATGGTTTGATAAGTTTAGAAAAAGATTAGGCTAAATAATGTCAAGATAAGTGCAGCAGCTTCTGCTGACCAAGAGGCAGTAAATAAGAAAATCACCAAGGAGAAGGATATCTGCCTGAACAGATTTTTAATGCAGAAGAAAGTGACCTGTTCTGGGTGTGGAGTGGGGGGAAGGCACAAAGAACATTCATTAATAAGGAAGATAAGTGAGAACCAGAATTTAAGGCAGAAAGGGATAGGCTAACTCTGCTGTTTTGTGCAAATATAGTCAGGTTTATAATTAGGACTGCCCTTATCTATAAAGCTACTAAATCCGAAGCCCTGAAGGAAAAAAATATACACACCAGCTTCCAGTCATTTGTTTGTATTACAAGCAGACCTGGACAATAAGAACACTTTTTCTGGATAGGCTCCCATTGATGTTTTGTCCCTGAAATCAGGAAGTACCCTGCCAGTAAGGAAATGCCTTTTAAAGTTTTTTTTGATATTATACCATGATTTTGGCCACTGAGAACCCCCTTGAGTTCAGTATCAAAAGCGTTAAAGTAGTCTATTTGCCATGAAACACATGGCTTTAATTCAGCCTCTAATTAAAAGTCATAAGGACCTTTACGGTTCATTATACATGGTACTCTATGGAAACAGTTGTCATCACTATGGAAGAGAACCCTGAAAGAGAGAACATCATAAAAGTCTGGAAGGATTACACTATTGAAGATGTTGTCCTTCTTATAGAAAAAGCTGTGAAAGCCATAAAGCCTAAAACAATAAATTCTTGCTGGAGAAAACTGTCCAAGTGTTGTGCATGACTCACAGAATTGTCAACAGAGACAATTAAGAAAATCATGAAAGTGATGCTGGATATGGCAAAACAAGGTAGGGGATAAAAAGTTTCAAGATATGAATCTTGGGGAAATTCAAGAGCTAGCAGACAGCATACAAAATAAATTAATTAATTTAATTTAATTTAATTCCGGTGCTCACTTCTCTTCCTTACTGATAGAGATGAGTGCTTTCAGACTAGTGTCAGATGGTGAGGAAAAAGATGTAGAATTAGCAGTACCAAAACACAAACTGACAATTACATAATCTACCAGAGGGTTCTGATTACTCAAGACTGCTTTTGCCTTTTTTTAGGATATGGACTTTTGTATTATTTGGGCACTGAAACTGAAGGACATGGTGGAAGAAGGATTGGTATCATATAGAAATATTGTTAGAGAAAAAAAACGAAAAAAATGTCCGGCAGAAATTGCAATGTATTTCCATAAATCTACACTGAGTATGCACACCTGTCTTGCTTTCCCTTTCACTTCCTTCACCTCTTTCTCCTCTGCCACTACTGTGACAAGACCAAGCCCTCTTCCTCCTCTTTCTCAGCCATCTGATGGCCATCCTAGCCATGTCCATCAACATGAAGATGATGAGGATGAAGACCTTTATGATAATCAACTTCCACTTAATGAATAGTAAGTATATTTTCTTTTCCTTATGATTGTCTTAATAATATTTTGTTTTCTCTAGTTCACTTTATTGTAAGAATACAGTATTTAATACATACAACACACAAAACATGTGTTAATTGACTTTTTCTTATTGAAAAACCTTCTAGTCAACAGTAGGCTATGAGTAGTTAAGATTTTCAGGGTCAAATATGATATGTAGATTTTCAAATGCATAGGAGGTAGGCACCCCTTACCCCTATGTTGTTCAAGGGCCAACTTTATTGTCCAAGATCACGCAATCCAAATATTTGTCTTGGCTAAAGCTGCCACATCGGCATTCAAGCAAACAAGAAGGAAGGACACAAGGAAACGCATGATTTTAGGACACTAATTAGAATCCAATGCAATATTATCACAGTGACCTCAACTTAGTAACAAGTAATACTTTGTTGCAAAGTGTACTGGGTAATGTAGTCTTTATTCTGAGAGACTATGTGCCTAGTTAAAATGCTGGAAGTTTCCTATTAAGGAAGAATGGATGTTGGAGAACCACAGGCTATTTCTGTTACATGGATGCATGCACTTCTATTAGATTTTGTCTACATGGATATAAGATATTCTTTATTCAAGCCTACTTTTTAAAATTCTCCTCCTGGAATAGTCCTCCTGCTTATAGCAGATCTTAGTCAATCATTTCCAGAAGGTGAAGGCATTGTGTATTCCACACAAAATATTTTCTTCAAATCATCAAATCAGGCCTCCCTCAAAGTCCTTTCTACTAGTAATTTTAATTTTTAATTTGTTAGGCTAGAAAAGCTAATCTTTTTTCAGACAAGTTCAGAAACTTGGAATGTCTGATCTGTCATTTATTATATATGTTGAAAGTATATAGCATTTCCCAGGCACTTTTTACAGATACTAGTCTTGAACAGATAAATAAGACAAGTCCCTATTTTCACAGATGTTACACTCTAGTGGGGTCAGGGGGTGGAGGAACCAAACAAAATTGTAAGAAAGAAATAATTTGAATTCCTATATTGTTTGCTGAGTGGTTAATATATGCTGTATCTCCTACTTTTAAGAAAGTTAAAATTTATGTGAGAAATAAATATATAGGATTACAAAATAAGTGTAGGTTTCAATTAATAACATAAGTGACCATCATTGTAGGTAGTGCCAAGAACTGCAAAGGGTCTGAGATTTTACTCCCCTTGCAAACCGAGAAGTTTCCTGCCACAGTTTCACAGATCGTGGTACAAAACACGAGACTCTTGTGTCAGAGACAAATGTCATTGCTATTTATAGAACAAGAGGCAGCATGAGATAGACCTTCACATCAATTAACTCTTGCTTCCAAATACTATATAGGTGATCTGGAGTGACCTAGGTCATTATTGTATACACAGTGGATTTGTGTCACAAATGAATAATCCCAAGTTTAGGAAGGTCCAGTTCTTTAAAAGGCCTGCTACCAGACTGCGCACCATTTGCCTTGAAATGGAACATTGTCTTTGTTATATTGGTTAGGGAATAAATATCTCTGCTCTGGAAAGAGACACTTTTTCTATCTTATGAGACAGTTTGCTACACAAACATCTTTGAAGAGATAGCCTAGAATAGCAGCTGATTCAAAATATGCAGAAACCTTGTCTCCCATAGAGAATTGTCTCCCCAAAGATACATGAGACCACAGAATGAAACATTGAGCTGTGTTTGCATAATCAAAGTGGTGCAGGCATTTAAACAACCAAAACACAAGATCAGTATTTTATTCCAGATACATAAAATGAGCATGTTTACGGTATATTATAAGAGATGATGTGAATGAATAGTAAAGAGAGCTTTAAGTGCATTACAGAAACCATACTTCATTCTGAAGAATTCATGAAGCCAGTTAAACAGGCAACATGTATAGTGAAAGCAAAATTTGGGGAAATTTTATAATGAACTTGCTAGAGTGAAATCATCACCATGGATTATGGTCAGAGATGTGTTGCACAGGGAGAATCCACTGACTACATAAGAGCAAAGAAGATAAATACATGCAATGTATTTCCAGTGTCCTAAGCTTAAATAACCATGGAAATTATGGCCCTATAAGGAGAAACAACTAACTCAGAAAGACTTGTTATACAGCTGGAAGAATTAGGCTGATTTGAACTATGTTTAATTTAATCTAGTCTGAAAATATGTAAGTAGAAAATACCCAATAGGAAGTAAGAAATGTGTGATTATAAAAATGTGTTGAAATTGAGCTTTTAGGGGATATGAAACCGTGGTAGCCTTAGTGGTGAGTTTGGTACCAAAGTAAAATCTCAGACCCTTCGCTGGTCTTAAAAAAGTTGTCAATGTTTTTTTCTTGTAAATTTGTTGGAGTTCATTGTAGATTCTGGATATTAGCCCTTTGTCAGATGAGTAGGTTGCAAAAATTTTCTCGCATTTTGTAGGTTGCCTGTTAACTCTGATGGTAGTTTCTTTTGCTGTGCAGAAGCTCTTTAGTTTAATTAGATCCCATTTGTCAATGTTGGCTTTTGTTGCCATTGCTTTTGGTGTTTTAGACATGAAGTCCTTGCCCATGCCTATGTCCTGAATGGTAATGCCTAGATTTTCTTCTACAGTTTTTATGGTTTTAGGTCTGATGTTTAAGTCTTTAATCCATCTCGAATTGATTTTTGTATAAGGTGTAAGGAAGGGATTCAATTTCAGCTTTCTACATATGGCTAGCCAGTTAAGAAAAAAACAAACAACCCCATCAGAAAGTGGGCGAAGGACATGAACAGATGCTTCTCAAAAGAAGACATTTATGCAGCCAAAAAACACATGAAAAAATGCTCCTCATCACTGGCCATCAGAGAAATGCAAATCAAAACCACAATGAGATACCATCTCACACCAGTTAGAATGGCAATCATTAAAAAGTCAGGAAACAACAGGTGCTGGAGAGGATGTGGAGAAATAGGAACACTTTCACACTGTTGGTGGGACTGTAAACTAGTTCAACCATTGTGGAAGTCAGTGTGGCGATTCCTCAGGGATGTAGAACTAGAAATACCATTTGACCCAGCCATCCCATTACTGGGTATATACCCAAAGGACTATAAATCATGCTGCTATAAAGACACATTCACACGTATGTTTATTGCGGCATTATTCACAATAGCAAAGACTTGGAACCAACCCAAATGTCCAACAATGATAGACTGGATTAAGAAAATGTGGCACATATACACCATGGAATACTATGCAGCCATAAAAAATGATGAGTTCATGTCCTTTGTAGGGACATGGATGAAATTGGAAATCATCATTCTCAGTAAACTATCACAAGAACAAAAAACCAAACACCGCATATTCTCACTCATAGGTGGGAATTGAACAATGAGATCACATGGACACAGGAAGGGGAATATCACAGGTGGGGTGGGGGGAGGGGGGAGGGATAGCATTGGGAGATATACCTAATGCTAGATGACGAGTTAGTGGGTGCAGCGCACCAGCATGGCACATGTATACATATGTAACTAACCTGCACAATGTGCACATGTACCCTAAAACTTAAAAGTATAATAAAAAATTAATTAATTAATTAATTTAAAAAAAAAGTTGTCAATGTTGAATTGGAAGGGGTACTGAGAGCCTAAGTAATTTCAAGAATGAGAGTATTCTGTACAAATTGAAAACACTTTCTGCCAAAGAAGGCATTTATTTTCTTGTAATTGTTAATAAGTTGCTATATTTCACAGACCTGAACTCTAGTTTCAATCTGAAAAAATAAAATAAAATTATGCTGTATCTAGTCTGGCAAATAACAGCCGTCAGTTTTTTGTTGTCCAAGAGCATGTAAATACACTGGATTCAGTTAATTAGTAAACTAAACCTTCCTTGTCTAAAAAGACCCTGAATATTTCTTCATTGCTTTATATACTGTGTGGAGTTATATGAAAATTTAAGGAAGATTTAATTATAATTCGAGTTAGTTGAGTGGCACAGAATACACTTTTGCTTTTCCCTCTGGCAGTTCATATATTCATTCCTTCACCCAAACACTTACTTATACAAAAAATGTCTTTCTATCAACAAATGTGCTGGGATGCATTTTGCTAGGTATATATGATACACGAATGAATCAACAAAGTTCGTATCTTGCTTCTTGTGAAGAGTCCTTACGTTGCACCTCAGGTCTAGTAAATGAAACAGTTTGGTTGTGCCTAAACACTTGTCATAACTACCTCAGGCAAGGTTCTTAGCTACAAGCAGCATATACCAAATCTAGCTGACTTAAATAGAGAACGCATTTATTAAAAGGATTGACAGGAACTACCGTCATTCTAGGAAGGCTGAAAACCAAGGCAAGAGCACAGGCAGAAACAAGGAACCCGAGTGGCTGGAGCCACAGCCAAATGTGAACATGTAAACTGAGGACAGTGTATTTTTCAGATCTGTTTCCTGAGTCTGGAGTAGCCCCTGTCAAGAGCCAAGTACATAATGATGTCACTGGCCAGGCCCTATGGATACGTTTACATATCTTGCCACAAGGCATCTCGTGTGCCCTCATGCTTGACCAAGGCCCATGGCACCCCCATCCTTCTGTTACAATTTCCTGATGTGTTCTAATTTTAGTCTTTGCCTGATCCTGCTCCAACACTCTACAATTGGGACTACTCACAAAATTAGCAAATGTAGAAAATAGCCACTCATTGACAAATCCAATGTTTAGATGTTTTGTCTTACACTCCTAAATTAAAATTAAAGCAGCAGTTAACCTTTTTTAGATATTTTGGAGTGTCTAATAAATTCTTGAGGAATTAGATGTGTTTGGGGAATAAAATAGTGAAGACAAATCCTTGCAGTTAGTCACTGTCTGGGGGAAGAAGCTATATAAAAGCTATCAATACTATAACGTACATTCTCACGGAGTTTTGTGTAAAGTATTATAAGAACACAGATGAGAGAATAATTCTGCTTGCAGTAGGCAAGAGAAACTTCAGAAAAAGAGATGCTTCCAGTTATCAAAATATAATTTATACACAAACATAATTTCTCTACTTGTTCAGAGTATGGGTATTTCACTGGGTTTCCACTAAAACATGTATATTTAATTTTTGGTACTTCACAGGGTTAAAGTAGTAAACCATATCCCAATGAACATAATTTGGCTAGCTGCAAACAGCATCCCCGAATCTACAGTCATATGGCATATTGGTCCTATGTTCCCGAGGCCCTAGGCTACACAATAAATTTTCTTAATATTACAGTTGTTGGAATGATAAGGGAAAATAACATGTAACCAGAAAATAGAATCCTAAAAGCTGTTTTTAACGTACCAAGGAAACATATTCTGGAAATGAATTCTTTATCTTTGAGATTTAATCTGCCTGGGGTACATTCTTGGGGAGAGCGGAAGACAAGACAAAGGTAGACATAAATGAAAAAGCATTCAAAAGTTTATATTTTAAGCTTTCCATTTGATATTTAAAGGTGTCGTAGATATTTTTGTGAGCTCTCCCTGTGTGAGCAGAATACATCAGCCTGGTTGCCTGTGGAATGGAGCAAACAGCTCAGCAGTGCTCTCAGCAAGGATCACGCATTTTCACATCATTTAGAGTGTGGGGCCACAAACCCAAAAATGTCACCCACCCTTGGCATCTCCATTAACAGGAGACATTTTATTTGTTTAGTTTTAATTTCACGAAGCAGAATTCCTGAAATAATGGTTTTATCAGCATGTAGACAGATTCCTACAGGGACTGGGACACCTGCTTCAAACTACCTCATTAGCCTAACTCATCTTCTCACTCTGAGCGTGTATTGACCTCTTTTTCTTTCAGGAATGTGAAATATCTGTCTGTTGTGAAATATTTTCTCATCACTCTTTGCTTTCACTGAAAGAGAAATCTTGATTTTTCTGCTGTTGAAAATCATTGCTTTGGATTATAGAACTACCACTAAGAAGGTCCCTATAAAAATATAAATATACAAGAAAATCTAAAATTACAGAAGTGCTTTCCTAGAAACGTTTCACTCACCAATAAATTGCAGGGTATATGCCTCAAGAATAAATGTAAGAATAATTGTATGGATAAATAGATGAATGAAAATTAGTTGGCTATAACTTTAGATAGCAAAGGCTAGGATGACTGGAGAATGAGACTCAGGACACATCCGATTTCTACATTGTAAATATTGGTGAAATAGTTTTCCAGAAATCGTAGGCTCAGATGATGTATTAAAATTGGAAGCAAGCCAAGACATAGACAATTTGTCACAAAGAAATGAGCTACATAAAAAAAGATAAGTCCCCTGTTTTGACAGTATGTACCAAAGAATTACAGTGCGTTGTGTGTATGCATGTGCTCAGGCACATACGTTCACGTGTGTTTAAAAATAGAGCCAATGTGTTTTGCTTACAGGTGTAAGTCAATAAGTCCCAAAAGGCTGTGAGCAGATCCCTGCAATTCCCTGCTAATATCCTATTAATATCTTCAACAAATACTTTACTCCCCTGATTTAAAAAAAAATAAGTTATACAAAAACACTATCCTGATGTTAAGGATTATCTGGCAATTCAGATGAATGCATACACTGATGATTAGTTATTTGATTAGATTTTTGAGCCTGATTTCCCTTGCCATAGACAGCAGCTTCTGAAAAAGCCCAGGAATGAAAATTAATTGTACAAATTAAGATTCATAAGGAGATCTAGGGCAAGTACTTTATCTACATTATATGGACCATCTCTGTTGAGCCTTGCTTTAGTTACCTATCGCAATAGAGCAAATTACCCCTCAGAACTTAGCAGATGGAAAGAGCAAACAATAATTACCTCACAATTGAGGAGCAGCATAGCTGGGTTTTTCTGAATTAGGGTCTATCATGAAGTTATAGTCTAGAGGGTCATCAGAAGGTTCAACTTGGGGAGAATCCACTTCCAAATTTGTTCAGCATAGTAATAGAAGGCCTGTTTTTCAAAAGAAGCTATCGGCAGCAGACCTTAGTTCCTCACCACATGGGCCTTTCCTGAGTCTGCCTGTGTGTCTTTATGACATGATAGATAGCTGGCATTCCCCAGAGTGGGAATGATGAGTGAGGATATAGACATAAATATCATATACCTCTATAAAATAAGGGAGGCTATTACAAAAGGGTGCAATGGAGAGCTATAAAATTAATCTATAATAGTTAAGATTGAACAATAATAGAAAAAAAGGAAAAGTTATAGAAAGCATAATGCAGCTTGACTTGTCAAATACAATAAAATTTAAATAGTCATATTTTCAAAAGAATAAGTGGAATCCCAGAGTCTTACTTGATGTGAAATAAAAAAGCGATAGTAAGCAATATGTACTCGCTCTGTATTAGGGAAATTTTGCTGCATAACGAACTACCCTGGCTGGGCGTGGAGCCTCCCACTTTGGCAGGTTGAGATGGGAGGATTGCTTGAGGAGAGGAGTTCAGGACCAGCCTGGGCAACACAGTGAGACCCTATGTCTACAAAAAATAAAAATAAAATGAAATACAAACTGCTTCTAAAATGAGAGTCTTAAGCAACCTTTATTTTCTTCAAAATTCTCTGGCTAGACTACAAAGGTTTTTTTGGTCTAAACCAACTGTGCTGATTTCTATGCCCAGCCGCAAGCCAGGCTGGTATAGAATGGTGTTTTTCCCATGTCTAGTTGTTGATTGATGTTATCTAGGTTGACAAGGATGGCTTGGCTAAGTGTCTCTCATCATCCAGATAGCTAGCCTAGACTCACTCATTTTATAATAGCTATGTGCTTTCCATGAGAAGAAAGAGAGAGGAAACCTCAGTTTCAAGGTTCTTTTCCAATGTATGCTGGCATCAACATTGCATTTGTCACTGTCCTTTTCTCAAAGTGAGCTCTGTGAACTTTATCTCTTAAAGTGAGATGCTATAAAGTCACATTGTGAAGGGTCTGCAACCAGGGATGTAGAAGACTGGTTACTAATTTTGCAATTAATACACTTTTCAATTATTATTCGCCCCAATTCATTGTTTCTTGAAATAATTTAAGAGCATTAATAATCTTATTTTGGTGAACGGTATACCCCAATCCAATAGAGACTGAAATAAAAGCTTGCATGCTGTAATTGAATTGAAAAAAATCATTCCAAGGAGCAGGAGATAAATGGGAGAAAGCCAGACAGGAAGCAGAAAAAGCCATTACAGTGGCTTTATTATGGAATTATTTAGTTGATGCACTGAGGGCAACTGAGGCTTGATCCCACCAGGACCGTCCAAGGAAACATGCAGAATGGGGAAGGAAAAAGGAGGGAAGGAAAAAAAGAAGGGAGGTTTTTCACCAACCATCACATTCTCATAATTCAGCAGCTACTCCATAGCATGTTAACTACCTCATACTCCCAGGTCATTCTGTCATTAATAAGTGGGTTTCCTTATGTGTGAACCTCAGTAGAGTTAGAAAACCTCCAAGACAGAAAGTGAGAAACACATAGCACAGCTGAGGGGCTGGTTACTGCACAAATGCCTGGAGGAAAATATGGACCAAGAATTCTGTGGGCTACCAAAAATTTCCAATCAGTACTTGAGGAAAGTTATCATTTTGCTTAGAGAAACTACAAAACTCATTATACATGCTGTCTCACTTAACCCCTACTAAAAACATCTGATATACAGAAAAATTAAGTAACTTGCTCAAAGCTATTAATACAAAATTAGTTAGTGAAGAAGTGGGATTTGAAGATAGCTTTCTAACACCAAAGTCTGTGGGCTATTTTTTTTTTTTTGACAGGATCTTACTCTGTTACCCAGGTTGGAATGCAGTGGCATGAGCATAGCTTACTGCAGCCTCGAACTCTGGGGCTCAAGTGATCATCCCATATCAGCTTCCTGAGTAGCTGGGACTATAGGCATGTGTCACCATGCTTGGCTAATTTTTTACTTCTTCTAGAGATAGTTTGTTGCTATGCTGACCAGGCCGGTCTCGAACTCCTGTCCTCAAGCTTTTCTCCCGCCTTGACCTCCTGAAGTGCTGAAATTATAGGTGTGGGCCACCATGACTGACCAAAAGTCTGATTTTTCAAAGTGCTTTACGTCCTATAATTCTTGGCTCATGTGTTTGTGTGTGTGTGTGTGTGTGTGTGGTTTCTTTTTTGGTAGAGATGAGTTGGGGATGACCAGGCACTGATGGAGACTGCACATTCTTTGACATCACTCTATGATGGGATATAGTGTATCTGTTATAATCCACTCATTCTAAAAAAAAAAAAAAAAAACTACTTAGGGACTTTCCATAATGCAACATGGGAGGATATGCAGCCATACAAGAGCAAAGTGACATTAACTGGATGGAAGTTTTCTCATCAGACTGAAGTTGGCTGATAGTGTTTTCTTTCAGGCCACAAAATGCCTGTTCCCTTCTTCATTACATTCTCAGGTAAGAAGGCAGGAAAAAAAAATAAGGGAATGGGTAATATTTTAAGAGGTGCTGGGAATATTCCATTTAAATAAAAATTGTATTTTTATGGTTGTACCCTGGCTTACTCACAAATTCATCAATCAGAACTCTCTATTAATTATCATTTCATCAAATCTTTCAGTAAAAATGATGATGACTGATGAGCATACTGATGTCTCTAATATATTGTGAGTCCATAAAAATACTTCAAGATTATCATTGCAATGAAATCACACTCACTATAGTTTTATCATTGGTTTTATTAAGTTTGGAAAATTACTGGTTCATATACAATATATATGATAATTTCATTAACACTAAGATTTGATTAAAAAGAAAATTTTATTCCTCCGCTTTGCAATAAAACTGAGACTTACTCTAGAAGCAGTTAAGTGTATATGTGTTGCTTCCTGGGATGAACAAAGTTGGTCAAATAAAGAAACCTACTGAATTTTACTGCTGTCTCATAAAGAGTGTATATAGCACCCATAAAGAATATGGTGGGAAAGTAAATTATTTACTGTGAGAACCTTGGCTGTGAAATCATTTATATACCACTAAGGGATTTGCATACAGTGGAGGAAGGAGAGCCTGAGAATTACATTTCTATGCATTTTTCCACTTTTTCCATCTGAGTATAAGGCATTAAGCTTCTTAGGTTTTAGATACAGAATAAAAATCTCTATCACAAAATTTCTGGGGGATAATTGCTGAAGGGATTTCTGATATTTTAAAATTTAATTGTGGTGTTCTTTGTTCTTTAAACAATATAATGGACTTTCTATAACTCTCAGTGTGTTTAAAAGCACTTTATTACCAGGCACTTTATGTGTATTCTGTGTAATTTGAAATATTATTAAACATCTGCCACTGTGGTTCTTAGAGTGTCCACTGAGCCCGACTTGCATAAGAAACATATAGAAAGATCATGCCACTGGGAAATCTACTATGGCTAAGATTCCTTAAACCATTTAATAATACTCTATAAACAGTCTAACGTTCTTAGAGAGTAAGAAATTCTTAGGAAAGAAAACAAAACCATTTTGACAACTAGAGTACCTCTTCACTGAAAAGTAGAATGTCAATCATTTTTGCTTTTTTAAGCCACTAAATGGTAATGTCTTGGCACAGTTGAGATAAAGCAGCAAAGAAACACCTTTATAAATTTTTGAAGCCCATCTTTTTACACAGCACAATAGAGTTCAAAAATGTGTTCACTTGCATTATACCGCCTCAACTACAAAGCAAACACAGGCATTAGAAATAGACAATATCACCATTCTCATTTCACAATTGGAAAAGCAGACACTCGGAGAGGAAAAATGACTTTTCCAAAGTCACACGGAGAGGTAAGAGAAAAACTGGAACTGGAATGTTAAAATTTCATTCTGTGCATTATTTACTCAATATTCCCCGATTTTGCCCTGAATGTACAGAGAAGACAGGGTGCTTTCTATTTCTTGCTCTCTCTGTTACTGTAAAATCTCTCTGGTGGTCCAAAGTGTCATTGCTCTGAGGCTAATCAAACCTAGGTGAGAGATTTTTGAAATAGATTTATTTTCTTAAAACTTTGAGTTATTTTCGGTGAAACCCCATCTCTACTAAAAATACAAAAAACTAGCCGGGCTTGGTGGAGGGCGTCTGTACTCCCAGCTACTCCGGAGGCTGAGGCAGGAGAATGGCGTGAACCTGGGAGGCGGAGCTTGCAGTGAGCCGAGATTGCGCCACCGCACTCCAGCTTGGGCGACAGAGCGAGACTCCGTCTCAAAAAAAAAAAAGAAAAACTTTGCGTTATTTTTTACCTGTAACTTTATGTCATTTCATGCACATTGCACTGTGGGAATAAACAAGAGTAAGATATCAGTAACTTTTGATTATACATGTGCTAGTATCAGAATAGCAAAAAACAAACTTGTGGCTTTTGTTGTCATGACAGTAAATGACCCATTTTAGATATCCAGATGACTGATTTAGGGCACTACAGACAGAAAAATTAATTTTATGTAAATTTCCAAACTAGCATCTATTATTACAGCTGGAATGCAGAGCTGTGATATTTAGGTATCCTGAGAATAGCCATACTATCGTATTTGAGGGAATCTCTACTGCCCCCCTCTACTTCTCCCTCCCCCCTCCACTCTTCTCAAGCCAGACCTTTTTTAAAAATAACTTACTGTAATAAGTCTTTTGCTTTTTTTTATTTCTTACGATAAATTTCATTTTGCTTTTTTAAAGTTACCTGCCATTTTCTCAGGAGACTATAAAGTAAGATTGGTAGTATACATTTTAAAGTTGGACTGAAAATTGTCAAGCTAATAAGGAAGCATACTCATCAGTGATGTATTCTAGGCAATTCTTTTTTTTCACATATTATTAAAAAAAGAGTCCAGGGGTCTTCCCAAGGTCATGGGTCAAGTTAATAATACACTTTGGACTTGATACCAAATTATCTAACCTCTAGGAACACTTCTTTTCTCTCTATACTATGAAGGCATTTATAATCATCAAACACAAATTGTGCATCAGGAAGCGTTATTAGTTTAAAAGTAATTTTTAAGCCAAGAAAGGAATAGCTATGAAAATGTTCAGTAAGTCTGGTGAATTACACTCAGAAAATTGCTAGCAATCATGGTGGCTAACAACCAGAATGAAATCAAACTATGTACCAGGCTTTCTATGGAGTCATATTGTCATTGCTGCCTTTGGACACTGGATGTAGCTAATGTCTCTCCTTCCCTAGAATGAGCATTCTAATGCTGGGAACCCAAATCCAAAATACGTTGGCTTTTTCAGCTTTAATCATGTAAGACTGCTGGTCTTTCATCAAAACTTCCTAAATGTAAAAAATATTACTTTCGTGAAAGAAAATGCTAAGCACCAATAAAAAGAAATGAGAATTATCTATACATTGGAGATATATTAGCAAATGAAAGAAATAGTAATTCCTAAAACACTAAAGGATTTATTTGACTACCTACCTCGAAACTATGTGATGTTTTTTCATAACAAATTTAGCTTTTTATTATAATTTTTTATTTAAATCATGTATCTTCTCAAAGAAAAACCTATCAGATATAGCTAATAGTTTTTATTCTCTTTAAACAAGTTAAGAACACTGATATTCATTGAGTTCCCCAAATTTGAGCAGGTTTAAACTGAAATTGCTAATGGAGAAATTTTGATATTATGAAAGATGAATGTAACACCAGGCGATGTAATGGCATTTTATCTTTGTTTCTCAAAATCAAATATGCAAATACACATATGAAAATAATAGTATGCTTTTTGAGTTTTGAAGCCATCAAAAATTCAAGTAATTATTATGAAAAAGATATGATAAAAATAACTTTTGCTTCATATGTGTTTTTTTCCTTATTAGGTTGTTACATACTTGTAGGCAATATTTGCTTCTCTGTAATTGGACCAATACAAATATAAAATGTATTTACAAGTGGTTTTTTTTTTTTTTTTTGCAATTCCTTTAGGAAATATCAAAATGTGCACAATAAATAAATACAATTTTGTCAATTAAAAATAAAATTTTAAAAGTATATATGAAAGGAGTTCTCAATGTATCTTGCTGTTTCCCAAAGTCTATTGCTTTGTTTATGAATAAGGATAAACATAAAAATAATTGAATGTATAAACTTATCTCCATATATATGCTATGGTGTTTCATCTTACTATAAAATATTATATGCTCAGTAGATGGATATCAGTTCAACCACATTTAATATTTGGCATTCTGTAGCAACTTCTTCAAGACTGGCAGTGGACAAAAAAAGTTTTAGTCTTTATGAGAAGTTTTCACAGTAAACATTTATTTTTTTCATTAAAGTTACATCACATTTACTTGTGTAGCCCAAGTCAAATGTACACTCATACTTTCTCAGATATAAATTGGAAAAAAAAAAAAAAACTAGAGAGACAGAGAGAAAGAAGGTGTATGAACTAGCTTTTACTTAACCAACTAATGCTCAAGGTCCCCATTCTCCCTGGAAATGCTTACAGCAGAGAAAACTCTCTTTGCTAGAAGATCAGTCCCATGCTCGCAGAGTAAGATTTTTATTCTCAAACCTCTTTATGCCAGTTATGCTTGTTATTGTGATAAAATAACCCAATTATGGCTCACGCCGGTAACGCCAGCACTTTGGGAGGCCGAGGCGGGCTGATCACGAGGTCAGGAGTTTGAGACCAGCCTGGCCAACGTGGTGAAACCTCATCTCTACAAAAAATACAAAAATTAGCCAGCCATGGTGGTGGGCGCCTGTAATCCAAGCTACTTGGGAGGCTGAGACAGAAGAATCACTTGAACCCGGGAGGTGGAGTTTGCGTGAGCTGAGATTATGCCATTGCACTCCAGCCTGGTTGACAAGAGCAAGACTCCATCTCAAAAAAATAAATTAATTAATTAAATAACCCAATTAAATATTATGTAAACCTGTAAAATATGAGTTTGCAATAAAGGTGATTTTTATGTCCATGAAATTAAAGGTTTTTGGAGGACTTAAGGCTATAAAAGAACAAAGATGAATTTTTGGATGGGATGAATGTCAAAGTGTGGAATATATAATAATCAAGAAGTTTCTACTCTCAAATTGCTTTGTAATGTCTAAGTGTGAACCCCACCATAAATAAACTCATACTAGAAAGGGTAGAGGGGCATTTTGGACTGAATTGTTTGCAAAACTTCGAATATGAAATTATATACCAGCAGACTAAAATAGGGAAGAAAGGGAACCTTTGTTCCATATCCAAAGTTTGAAGAATAAATGCATAATATGATTACGTTAATGTATTTAAGAGATGGTTAAAAGTAATGAAATGTTTGATTTTTACTTAAATCTTGGTAAGCTTGTACAAACTTAAGCGTAGTTCTCGTTTGAATTCTAATAAGTGGGACACCTTCATGTACTACTGAAGTGCCATTTCTATGATGTTTATGCATTCTTACACATATTTTGGATACAGCAAATAATTTATGTATATTTATAAGATGTATATATTTTTCTTAATCCTGTTTACTTTAAACTTAAAATGGTATTTAATAATATATGTATAAATTATTTATGTAGTAATATAAACAACCTTTTGCATATTTATTAGTTTTCTTCAAATTTGGAAAATAATTTAGAAAAAATAGCATGGCCTATTGAAAAGAAGAACTCATAAATTAATCTTTAGTTCCCCAAAAGTTAAAAATGAGCATATTGGACACAAATGAGCATATTGGACACAAACCATGTGTTTGTTATGTACAATTACTATTAATTTTAGATTTTTAAATATTTGATATATCTGTATCTGATATTTACATATACATATATAATCTATAATTTCCCCAACACGCATTTGTTTGTATAATTCTATTAGCTTAGTAACTTTACTGCTCTCTGTCCTCTTTTTCCACACCTTTACAATACAGAATAAATAGGTTTTTGTGAGAACTGAGCCAATTAATATATGAAAACCACAAACAAACAGAATGCTAAGTTTTCACATATTTTATCAATACTCTAAATACTGTTAACTAAGTGATACTGAAAACTGTATTTAAATTCTACTACATAATTAAATGATTCTTGTTAAGCTACCCTTGAATACAGAAAAGGAAAAAATATATATTACTATTTTGATAAATACTGTGATTATAAAATGGCTGCTTTTCCTTATATGTGTAAAATCTCATTCTGTTTTCATAATTCTTTAAATTGACTCTTTTAACAATCTAGGAATACAGTAAGTCACTGGAATATTTTATATCATAGATTTATTGCATGGTAGTTTATTTTTTACCTGATACACTAACAACAAATTATAATAGATGAATAAAGCACAAAGTTATATTTTTCCAAATATAAGTATATACACATTATTTGGCAATGTTGCACTACATAAAGTGGCTCATACCCTCAATTTTAGCCTTATGTTATGCTCTCATTGTGTTAACTGGATATAATTATTAAGTTGAGTTCTTTCGATTTTTGTGTTTCCCCAAACTTATAGAATCAATAACAGAAAGATTATATTTTGTTTTTCATAACTATATTATAATAAAAGAAGCAATACAACATCTAATGGAAATATAATTAAAATTCTTATATTCACTAAAACAAAATTAAGATTTACACATATACAATACCATTTCTAAATGAATATGTACATTATTGCAAACGTAAAGAAAGAGTCCATAAACTGCTGGTGGGATTATAAAATGTAACAAGTTTTCTGAAGAAGGATTTAGCCAGATGTACAAATATTTTTATGTGCCTATATATGTGTGTGAATATATATATATAACATATATATACACACAAATGTATGCGCATATATATTTAAATCCCCTTTTAAGAATGATCCTCAAGAAGTGTTTAGAAAATTCTAAAAATATATGAATAAATTTGATAATTGAAGCATTAGTTAAAATGGTGATAAATTTAAAATTACCAAATCTTTCAAAACTTTGAAATTAATTACAAATTATGGTCCATTTAAATACTGGTGTACTATGCATTCATTAAAATTATGTTTCTGCAAAATAAGCATAGGAATATTAACCCCTCTATAATATGCCATTATAAATGTGATAAAGCCTCAAATTAATTATATATATGAATAGATATACTTTTATAAAACTATATTATATATATCAGATATATAAACATATAGTTTATGTATCCTAATAAACTCTATGGATTTTAGAGAACTGCACACAATCAATAAAATGTTGAATAGTATTCTTATATTAACTACATACAAGTTTCTGGAGAAATGAGCTTTAGCTAGGAAAGTAAAAGAAACCAAGATAAATAATGCAAACTATTGACTTAGTCCACATATCTTACCAATGGATTTTTGTCATGAATGTCATCTGGCTGTTGATATTTTGTACAGAAGACTTGAATTGCAATTTTTAGTGATGAAAGCTATTTTTATTCCTGTTAAATTATACTTTTATGATTACAATTGACATCATTTTGTGTGAAACAAAGTGGAGTGATATAGCCAATTTCACAAATGTAGTTATGTCCTGCCTGGTAGAAACAAATACTTTGTTAAGTGAATAGTAGGGACACATCAAAACTCAGGATAATTGATCATGATAATTTATATCTGTTGAAATTTAGTTCTGATTTATCTTTTTATAACCAAATAAGAAAAAATTAACTATAACTTCAAATATAGAAAGTAGTCCCTCTACACTTAACTTACTCAGTTTTAACATTTTACAAAAATGAAAGGTTAAAATATTCTACTTCCAAGAACAGAATGAGTATACAGAATTTTAATAATTAAATAAATTAATTTTTGCTTTATGTCTTTGACTTCAAGAATTATTGCTTTATAGAATCCATTCACTTATTAATTTTTAAAAGATTGACCCAGAATTTGGTGTTAAATATGCAATAATTGCAAATTAGTGAAAAGCTTTGGACAGTGAGTCATTCTGCTAGCATGAATCTCTAGAGAAGGTCCAACTGGCTACACCTGCAGAGCCTGAGTGACTGCACCATAGTCTAGGGAATGAGTCTCAGCATGTTAGAATGAGAGGCATCTATTTGACATGAATAGAACCACCATGACAAAATTTATCTGACTGGGGAACAAAAATAAAAGGAAAATGGATTTGTTTATAATAAGAAATATAGCTGCTAAGGAAGCACTCCAGAGATGGCAAATTCATTTAATATCTGTAGATGAATTTCCACATTTCTCCTATGATTCATTGTGTATTGACATGCAAATATTAGTTCTAGAGGCCAGTTTCCTCATTTCCAAAATCTGGGAAATCTTCAGTGTAGTCTCTCCCTCATTCCCTATAATGTGATATTCCCTTCCTTCTCCTCCTCCAAAGAGAGAAAAAACAAAATATTGTTGACAAGTGTATTCAATTGCATTATGCCTCAGAGTCCATTTTGCCTGGCTTGTGTTTCCTCCAGTTTTTAGACGTATTGTCCCTGTGGATGCCTTTATTCCAGCGTGAAGAATGGCTATTCCACCTTCGCAGTGTCATTTCAGAATCTGTGGCAATCAACTAGCTTATCTTCATGTCCTGGGATTAACGTTCCTCACATAGGGCAGTCCTATAAGCTCCCAGTACAGAAGTAACACAATTCCCCTTGACACTCACTTTTTAAAACCTTTTGGAAAATTCTTCATCTTTATTAATAAAGCTTGAGATTTTGGATCAGTTCACATTTAAGGTATTCTTTTTCTATTTAATTTTAAAACAATGCATATTCTGAAAGCAAAATCAACTGTACATTATTTATATTCTGTTAAAAAAATGTCAATGGGGCTGGGTGCAGTGGCTCATGCCTGTAATCCCAGCACTTTAGGGGATCTGAGGCGGGTGGATTACCTGAGGTCAGGAGTTTGAGACAGCCTAACCAACATGGTGAAACCCCGTCACTACTAAAAATACTAAATTAGCCGGGCATGGTGGCACATGCCTGTAATCTCAGCTACTTGGGAGGCTGAGGCAGGAGAATCACTTGAACCAGGAGGCAGAGATTGCAGTGAGCAGAGATGGTGCCACTGCACTCCAGCCTGGCCAACAAGAGTGAAACTCTGTCTCAAAAAAGAAAGAAAGAAAAAAAAGTCAATGGCATTGATATTCTAATTTAATGAATTCTTTGTCTTTAATAAAATATTTTGGTTTTAGAGGCAACAAAATGTACAGCATATTATCAAAGTTTGTCAAATCATGGGCACTACAAAATGTTCAAGTATTTATTGTTTTTTAAGGCTTTTCTTAAATAAATCTTGGCTAAAAATCTTTTCATATTTCTCTATTAGTGGTCAAGGTCTAAGAAAAATGTTAAAGTTATCAATAACTTCTCTTTGTTGGTGGGGCATGCTTACTAGTCATTTGAAAACAGCACTAACAAGCCCACTGCAATCTCTCATACTAATATTTTTTTATTTGTATTAAGATGTGGATAAAATGTCAACACCATGCACAGTAAAGCATTCAGAATATGTAAAGAATTTCAACTTGTAACTCATTTTTTCACGATGAAATATTCAAAGTCTAAAGTGAACATTTAGTCTTTCTTTTGTAATATGTTAAATATGTTCAAAATGATATAAACAGTATCAATGTGCAAGGTAATACTAACCTCATAATCAATCTTACTGTGGCTAATATGGAGATAGTACATGTGATCTCAATGGATGTTTTTTCAACTGAAAAAAAAGGAATGGAAATTGCAATTGTACATCTTATGAGTTGTCTAACAGAAAACTTCTTTTGCAATTAGTATGGAATTATGCCATGAATGTAGGAAACACTAACTGCATAGTTTTCAATAAAACAACTTTTTTCTGTGAGTTCATCCAAAGGGATTTACATCATAGAGTAAGGTAAAATAAAAGAAACCACACTTTATTGTTAGGTGATGTTATGGCCCCAATGTCACAGAATCCTATTAAGTTACACGAGATCATGGTGGAAGATTCTTTCAGCCTGATATAAGTAATCTAATCAGCCCAATATCAGAGCACACCATTCTCCCAGGCAAATTCTGTAAAAGATTTTCCTAAGAATGTCCTAAAATTGTTCTCTAGAAAACTGTCAAAAGCCACAACAATTCTATTGTGCTTCCTCATATCGTTACATGCATGTTCCTTTCTCAGGGTCTTTGCTCTTGCCCATCTCTCCCCTGAAATATCTGTCCCTTACATTTCTTTATGTCTTAGTTTTTTCACTCTCTTCAGGCCCTGACTCAAATTTTACCAACTCAGATGTATTTTCCTAACTCTTCTGTCTAAATTCATCAATGTTCTCTACCTCTTTAAAGTCATTATTCCCCTTCTCTTAATCTTCTCTTAGTTATATTTACAACCACCTAAGACTTTATGTATTTCATTTATTTATCACTAACTTTGCTCCTTATAGAATGATAGCTCCTAGACAAGGACAGAGATTCTAGGTTATATCTCCAGATAACACAATATACTGGACAGTAGAATTTATATATGAGACTTACCTGAGAGTCACCAGCTTGCAGCCAACACTGTGAACTTGGGTAGGTCAATTTTCACAGTATATGGCACATAACAGTTATTCAATAAATACTTTGTAATGGGTGAATTAATTGCTCCCTTTTATTTTTAAAGAATGTTTTATTGGAAAAGCAATGCATGCATCTTTATAGAAAACTTCCCTCTTCAAAAGAAAGTATGTGTTTTTTTCAGAACTAGCTCGTATCTTTAGGCATGTATATGCATAAGTATGTAGATGTATATGTATATTTTAACATTTTTGTAAACAAAAGGGAACATACTAAAACAAATTAGCAATACATCTTAGAAATTAACATAAGATATCTATTATGCTTTCTAATAGGAACAATATAACTTATTATTTCTGTGGATGATTCATAAATTGATCTATCTAGGACTCCTTTATGAAAACATAATATACTTTTATTAATGCATAATATTTAACTGTTGTATAATTTTAGATGCAATAGCCCTTTTTGCAGAGGTAGAGAACAGTGACGATTTTAAATTGAATGGAGAAGACTCTCTGAGTTGGTGATACTTGAGTCAATATCTGAATTAAACAAGAGACCAAGACAAGAAGCAATTTAAGAGATGGATATTCCAGAAGTGGGAACAGCAAGTGAAGAGGTCCTGAGACAGGAAAACACCTCTAATATGTTCAACAATAGCAGGGTAGCTGTTGCCAGTTTTTATGAGAAAAAAGTTGGAACAATCCTAGGAAATTACAAGGTATGTGTCTGGGAGAATTACATCTTAATTTTTAAAAAAATGGCTTCCAGCACCATCCATGTCCCTATAAACCATTATCCTCAGCAAACTAACACACGAACAGAAAACCAAACATCCCATGTTTTCATTTGTAAGTGGGAGCTGAACAAAGAGAACACATGGACACAGGGAGAGGAACATCACACACTGCGGCCTTCCGGGGCAGGGACAAGTGGGGAGGGAGAGCATCAGGATAAATAGCTAATGCATGCTGGGCTTAATACCTAGATGATGGTTCGATAGGTGCAGTAAACCACCATGGCATACATTTACCTATGTAACATATCTTCATGTCCTGTACATGTATGTCAGAACAAGATACAATTAAATTACATTTAACAAAAGAAGAAAGAAATAGCACGCTAAAATGTATTGTAAATAGAACACTGATTCATTTAAAAAAATTACTTGGTTTAGGAAAATTATTTTAAAAATGCACAAACAGTACAATGTACTGCTTTTCAGCTATCTTGCCATTTTCTTAAAAATATAGTATTTTGGGCAAAATGATTTCTGCAGTCTCCTCCTTGGCTGATAGTGTATAAATGAATAACCATATTAAGTAAAGGAATGTGAAGTTCTAACTTTTCATGAAAATAAAATGAAGAAATGAATAGCCCAAGTTCATTGTGGGAGTTAGTGGCAGAGATGGGAGTTTCTAAGAAGAGTCTGTGAACTCTGTCACTAGCTAAATTATGAGAGCATTTAGGTATTTGATTATACTTAGATGCATCCATTTCTACAGGAATGACCTCAGTCAGCCTTGCCTCTTGATGGACACTGCCAGATTTGCCTTTGAGAATCTCTAGTTTCCAGGTACCTCAAGCTAACACATTCTCTTGTAATAAGCAAGTCTTCTCTACACTTTTTTTTTCGTTTTTTTGAGATGGAGTCTTGCTTTGTCACCAGCCTGGAGTGCAGTGGCAGGATCTTGGCTCACTGCAACCTCCGCCTCCCGGGTTCAAGCGATTCTCCTGCCTCAGCCTCCCAAGTAGCTGGGATTACGGCCGCCCGCCACCATGCGAGGCTAATTTTTTTGTATTTTTAGTAGAGATGGGGTTTCACCATGTTGGCCAGGATGGTCTCGATCTCCTGACCTTGTGAACCACCCGCCTCAGCCTCCCAAAGTGCTGGGATTACAGGCGTGAGCCACCGCCCCCGGCCCTCTACACTTTCAAGTGAACAGCTTGCCTGGTCACTCTGATAGACTGAAAAATGTGGATGGAGAAAAAGGTGACTAAACCATTATCTGCCCAGGACTTTCTATCAAGTTTCTTGGGGCAGGTATACTCAGGAGATGCAAGTATTGACTTGGGACCATTATGGCTACTACACAGAAAAGTCTGTGCAGAGTGTGAAAAGAGAGAAAGTCCCATGACATTGTTTGTACCATTGGATCCAGCCACCCCAAACTCTACCATATGGATTTTGGTGATTCCAGGATCCATAAAAACTGGAAACTCCTGGAAACTCTTTCCTTTCTCCTTCCTTCCTTCTTTCCTCCCTCCCTCCCTCCCTTCCTTCCTTCCTTCCCTCCTTCATTCCTTTCCCCCTTCCTTCCTTCCTTCCTTGCTGATAGACTGAAAAATGTGGATGGAGAAAAAGCTGACTAAACCATTATCTGCCTAGGACTTTTTATCAAGTTTCTTGGGGCAGGTATACTCAGGAGATGCAAGTATTGACTTGCATCTTCCTTCCTCCCTCCCTCCCTTCCTTCCTTCCTTCTTCTCTACCTCCCTCTCTCTCTTTCTTTTGGCTTCAGTTATTTTTAATTGAATTTTTGTCAATTTATAACACAGAACCGAAGTGTCCCATACAAATTGTTTAATCTAATATTTAATTTAGCCTCATATCTATCTTATATCTTGTACTAAGAATAATTTCCAGAAAATAAATACTGCCAGATAATAAAATAAATTCACTCAGGATACAATCTATTCTTAGTCATCTAGATATATTTTTTCTGTCATTTTAATGTGATTTTTTGATATCTCATTGACATTAATCCTAGAAGCCTGTTTTACCTCTCTTATTACCAAATTGTTGAGGAAAGATTCACAGTAAGTAACTTGATAGCATTTGCTAAATAATTTATACATATCTAAATTTAATATTTATTAGAAACGTTGTAAGTGCAAGGCCCTGTGCTTGGTACTGAGGGTAAAAATGTGTAGCCTTTCACCTCAATTGTTTGCTGGTGTTCAACGAAGAGACTTTTATTATTATAGTGTTAGAAAGTAGAGTAATGTGGAAAAATGGATTGCTAGAATAAAAAATGAAAGGATGAAAGTTTATTGAATAATTGTTGGGTATATTCAAAGATCCACTCTAAGAAAGCTAAAATGCTAATTCTCTACTAGTTGATATTCCAACCCAAAGATGTGGGATAAAGTTTCTGAAAGAGAAATGAAAGCAAGACACATGTTTTTAAACGGAGTACTTTGTGGAAAGTACTTTACTGTATCCAGTAAAGACTGTGTTGCATTCCCACTGCTCCCAATTCATAATTCAGGACATAATTTCTCACCAGTAGAAGGCTTTACATGGTCTTCTTTCCTTGATTTATCCTGGCATTCTCCCATATTGATATGATAATATTTATAAGATGCAAATCTTAACCTATCACTCCCATGTTTAAAGACTTCCAGTAGCCTCAGAGTGACCTCACGATATATTCTACATTCCTCTTCCCTGTCTGTTCAGACCCGCTATGACCATCCATTGCCCAGCATTATGCCATCTCAACACAGTTGCTTCTTTCTTCTTAGGGCATGAATACATCCTTCTTTGATGTGTCACATTTTTCTTGCTCTTTTTCTGGTCAAAGACCTTACATCATTCCAGTATTTGTTTACTGTATTTTTTTCCCATCTCACAGCTTGGCCTCACCCCCTACTGATTTCTTAAAGCCAAGGATTTAGAAAAATGATGCAGGCTACCTGCATCTCCAGGACCTGGCACTTGGAAACTACTCAATTAGCATTTGTGGAGTGGGTGAATCAGTGAATGAGTCAAAGAATGATTACTAAAAAATACTAACTTGACTTTCACCTCGGACCTTGATTCATCTCTTTGCCATTTTTAGGTTAAGCCCAGGTAGGAGAAAGAAGACACGATTTTATCATTTTTTGAGCCTTCATTTAGCTTTTACATTGAAAGGTAAATTATGTATTTTTCTTTTTTTTTCTTTTTACCTTACTTGATGCCAAAACAGCCCTAGTCACCCCTGAAAAAAGCCGAATGATTATCTACACACTTCAAAATAAAATTATTAAAAATCCTGCCTGTTTCTTAATCTGTGTTTTCAGCTCAGCAGCAGAAAATGCAAGCCTTTTGTTGTCAGCCATTTCTGCCACTGAAGATAATAGCAATGCTTGGTTAATGGATCAAGGAAAATAAAATGAACCCACCGAGTTCTGTTTTATTTATTCTGTTATGATATTTTATAGCATGCAATTTCATTTATGATACTATTTATCATTAAGTAATATGCCATAAGTGATATGACAGGGCTTGAAATATTGAGAAAATATAATATTTTTATATTTTGTTTTAACTTTGAATTTAGAGATGGAAATGCTAAGGCAACTGAAGGTAGAATTTTGGGGGGATACCAGCTCAAACAAACTGTAAGGTTTTAGAGAAAAAAACTTATTCTCAAATCCTTTCCTTTTAATAACCACATTGTTCATTAAATCAAATGAACAATTTAATTTTATTAAATAGAATTTAATTTATTTAAATAAAATAATTTTATTTTATTTAAATAGAATTTAAATCTATTTGCTAAAATAATACCAAATATCAGTGCTACTTTATGCCAAAACCAATTTTCAAAATATTCCTCTATCATTATCATTTTAAGATTACTAGGATTTCAATATATTTAAAGTAGTTTATTGTTTTCACTTTGTTGTTCACATGAGCTAACAGAAAAATCATTATTTCCTTACAATTAGCACTCTATGTCTCCATTCATGTTAATTCTCAAATTGCCTAGTTTGTTTTTACATGTAATTCACATTTGTAAAAATAATAAATTTGGCATAGAGGTAGAAAGTTCTAAAATTTATACAAGTGAAAAACGTCATTAACAATACAAACATTTGTTTTAGTCTTCTTAGTTGATCTTTTTAAACTCCCTTCTCTCAATATTTCAATGCTGTTAAAAAAATAAGAAAGAAAGGAAGCAAAAAAATAAATAAATTTTGTGGTTGAAAAGGTTATAAGCAGAATAAGAACGTTCTGCTTCTCATCTGAGTTGCCCCAACTAACCTAATAATTTTTTATTTTTGTCAAATCGGAAGAAGATTGGAGGATAGCTACAAGATGCTTAATTTTGATAAAAAATATGAAAGAGATTATTTCTCTTTCTGGCCCTCTCATTACACTTTCAGAGGCAACAATCCATACAAGATACTGTAAAATCCAACCCAGAAGGTCATCTGCTAAGTTTATTTTAGGGCTGCTGTGTTCACTTTTAATGCTATTTTCATAGAACTGTTATAAGAAGAAATATCAAAGACTATTTCTACTGATCCATCAAATGCAATTATTTTTATTTTCTACTTTTCTGGATCCCCATTCCTAATTTGAATATGGGAAACATATTACTACATTTAAAGGCTATACGGAAAACTAACCGATACAAGAAACCAGTGACAATTGATACCTATACTAATCACGCTGCGGATTGCATTCTGGACATAATTCTTCTCACAATAAAAATTAAACTATAAATTTCATCCAGTGTCTCTAGAATAGTATTTCACATGATGGAAGAGGAACAGTTATAGAAGAAAAGAACATGTATAAATGGGTGCATCCCAACTTCAACAGCCCTGTACTTCTGTCCTTATTTTTTTCCTTTAATTTTTGCTACTAGATGCTGCCTTAGCAATTCAGACTTACAAGCAATATAGCAGGGTTTTGATGCGTTCTCTTCATCCCTCCTAATAGATGAAATTTTTGACTGCATGTGAAAAGAAAATGTTAGAACTTTAGTCAGATGTTTATGAAAAATTTAGCTGTGTTACCAGTGGAGGTTGTCCAGGTTCTTGGTGTCTTGAACAAGGAACTGGACCTAACACAGAAACAAAGCAAGGAAAGAATGAAGCAGCAAAAACAGAGATTTACTGAAAATTAAATTACACTCCACAGGGTGGGAGCGGGCGTGAGCATAAAGGGCTCAGGAGTCAGGTTACAGAATTTTCTTGGGTTTAAATACCCTCTAGAGATTTCCATTGGTTACTTGGTGTACGCGCTATGTAAATGAAGAGGATAAAGTAAAGTTAAAAAGTCATTTACTTGGTGTACGCCATATGTAAATGGAGAGGATCTTTCCTGTCATAGCTGAAGTGTTTCCATTTGATTTAGTTTAAGAAGTCAGCGTGAATTGGCCTTATGTTCTCCGCCTCCAGATCCAACTCCTGCCTCAGCTGGAGATATCTAGCAGACAATTAGATAGGTGACTCTGCCCTAGATGACAAGAGTAGACCAGACTCTAAGAAAAGCAATACCTCAAACCCAAATTAGGAGTTTCTAGTTGAGAAAGTTGCCATGAATCAATACTAGAGATAACCCTGAGCTGGGGGCACATTAATTGTGCCTCCCCAAGCAAACCCCCATTATGTAAATGAGTCTTTGGGTCTTCTGGGCAAATAGATCATAATTCTCACATGTCTTATATTCCTGTAAGATCTATTTGTTAATAAGTATGTGGCAGACTGAAGAGGAAAAAAAAGAAAGGAAAAAAAAGGAAAACATTTGGCACTAAATTGACTTAAAGGAAACCAAGCTCCTGCAGTCTGAGTTTTTACCGGTTTTGTTAACTGATGAGCCTACATTGGGGCTGAATAAATACTTTTGAAAGAGTAAATATATATTTAAACTTTGTCATTTATTTAGAAAATTATCTTTATTTAGAGAAATATATTGATAGCCACTAACCCACACTTAATAACTGTAGTTTGTCATGTTTTTTAGTTTTGTTTGTTTTCTTTTATGGCTAACTTTAGAGCATCAATTAAGTGACTCTCACTTGCAAATTAGTTCAAAGAGATAAAGTGAAAAGAAATATACTGCCTCATAATTATAGGCTTCAGTTAGTATAACTGGGTTCAGTAACTTAAAAAATCATCATTTTGGCCAGGCGTGGTGGCTCACGCCTGTAATCCCAGCACTTTGGGAGGCGGAGGCGGATGGATCACGAGGTCAGGAGATCCAGACCATCCTGGCTAACACAGTGAAACCCCTTTCCACTGAAAATACAAAAAAATTAGCCGGGCGGGGTTGCAGGCGCCTGTAGTCCCAGCTACTCGGGAGGCTGAGGCAGGAGAATGGCATGAACCCCGGAGGCGGAGCTTGCAGTGAGCCGAGATTGCGCTACTGCACTCCAGCCTGGGCAACAGAGCAAGACTCCGTCTCAAAAAAAAAAAAAAAGGTCATCATTTTATTGTCTTCTCTTAGCTCTTCTACCTTTTGTGTGGCTTTCAGATGGCAGCTTCTTACAAGTTTAGGCTCCATATTTAGACCCAACATGAACAGCTTGCTTCTATTCCAACAACCCCAACAAAACTCCTACTGTATCTTCCTGATGTTTGTCAGATCACATGTCTATCCCTAATGCAAAGATGTTAGCCAGAAAAATGAAATGACTAATGGTCAGACTTGCATTATTAAAAGGAGCATGACAAAATGAGAAGGAGTTCAGAAAAAGAATGATCATGACAGATAAAGTGTAGTAATGCAACACAGTTTTATGTCTAGGATTTAAATATGTATGTGAAACAATACACTACATTCCTGGAAATATGAATAATGTGTGTCTCCCTCACTAAAGCTGATGAAAATATAACCACACTCGTGCAATCTATTTTAAATATGAATGTTTTAAAATCATATAGTTATTGTTTTCCATTGGATACCACAGAGAAGAGAATACAAATCCCAAATAAATTATAGACAAAGTAAACAAAACTAAACCAAACCTGAGAAACACTGATACATATGATCAGTTCTTTTAGTGACTTACTATAAGGTAAATTTATGTTTGATCAAGGGGTTTTATTCAAAAACTGTAATAAAATCTAAATTAAATAATATTGATATGCATGTAATTTTCATATTTATTCCATTTAAAATGTGTTTAATAAGCAATACTATGCTAGCCTTTGAGTTTATAAACCCTACTTCACTGGGAAGATGAATATGTTCTTGCAATATCTGACTAATGATGGAAAGGTAGCAACTAAATAAATAATCTGCTGTATAATATACATTTATAAAACATACTGAAAGGATTTTTAAAAAAATAATTCAGTATATTAAGTAAGAATATATATGTCACACCCAACAAATTGCAAGATGTTTGTTCATTCCAATTTTGTTCAAGTAAACTTTATTTCTTATGAACCTATATTTGGAAGGAAAAATTAAAATTTCCCCTATATTTTTGTAGTAAGTTTAAAAGGATAAAGTATTAGTTTGTCATAAGGATGAAAGTTTTGATGTAGAATGCACAGAATTGTTAATATAATGAGAAAACATTTTTCATATACTAAAAAAAAACACAACGAAATTGTTGCAAAGTTTAAGTGGTTCTATGATTAAAGCATTATTATTTGCTGAAAAGATAATAAATAAAACATTGTAATAACAAAACAAGTAGTTAGAGATGCCCCCATGAGAAGATAATATCATTTTTACAAATATTCAATTTCACATATTTTCAAAGGTCTAATAAGGAACTCTATTTTTTATCTGAATAGCTCAATAAAGATTTGATCAAGATTTTGTAGTAATCGAAAACAAAACAAAACAAAAAACAAACAAAAAAAGAGACAATAGCAACAGACACACTGGTTCTGGAACAGTTCAGTGCTTTAGCCATTGCAAGTGTTCAGCTGATAATGAATAATAAACTTCAGGTTTAAAATAAAAAGCAGATTTTTTTATGACAATTACATAATAAAAATGTTTATTTAATAGAACTTGTGGTATGTGGGCAAGTTATTCATTCATTTCCCCCACCAATAAAATAATGATATTAATGAGGTAATGATAATAATTACAATCAATGCTGATGCATTTTTTATTTAAATATGAAGTAAATTGCAAAAAAGAGAGTAATATACCTTTCTTATTTTTTCCCAAGCCAATATAGGTCCGAAAGAAGAGACTTTTTAAAAAGTTTTATTTTTTAATTTATTGGTATATGCATAATAATGACAGATTTTTAAAATCAAAAGAATGCTTTATTTATCAACCAAAATACAGGACAGCTGAAGCAATCAGCAGCTGTTGGTTGATCATCTGGAAGAATAAAAGAATGTATTTATAGGAGAAAAAATAGCATGCTATTTTCCCCAACCCATCACATAGCCTCATGTACTTGGAATTAATGCCTATAACCTGCTAAGCAATTTTGAAAATGGTTGATTGTAAATAAAATGGCATTGAAAAATAGATTGTATAAAGTTAAATTTATTATTTTCCATGCATACTGTTGTATTATAATGTTTTAATATGGATATCAGTTAAAAATAGTTAATTTATTTTAAAATGTAATATTTTAAAATACATTCTACATTGAATGTTATGGCACTTATCCAAATACAGGCTTTAATTAATAGGTGTTGGTACCATGGCCTATTTATTTATACACTTTTACAGCCACCAAATCTGCCTTCAATACTTCAATATGCAAAAAATTAAACATAAAGCTAATTGTAACCATGAAGAAAAACAAAAATAATCATATGATATATTTTAATAAACATATTTAATAAAATTTTTTATTTTAATAAAAATAAAAAAGGTGATTTCAAGATGATCATGACAGTTTAAAATTTGACTTCCTTTTATATGTATTGATTCAGATTAAAGTCCAATTTCTGCATTCATATAATTGAATTTCTGTTATGAATCAACGAGGGTGGGAAGACTGAATACATGTAGTTATATTTTCCACAAAATTAAAGTTGCACAATTACTGATATATTATTTCAGTGTTTAGGAAAACTCTTATCAATATCTTGAGATTAACAGATATTGGTTGGTTATTATAAACAAAAAACATGAAGTAAAGGATTCTAATAAATAACACAAAATATACCTTACGATGATTTTTATCTTAACTTCATATATGGAAATATACTTCCATTCACCAACATTTTAATATAAAAGCAGGGCTTATCTTTGAGGATAGGCAAATGTCTTGAATTCAAAACCACACTGCAGAATTCTTTGTGACTTTTACCATTTTATTTCATTTGCTTTCAGTGTGTTTCTCAAACTTAACTCTAGAGTATTTTAATCCCTCATTTTAATCAAGTCTTTACAAGCAGCTACTCCCTGCATGATGGACCTTACTTGTAGTCAGATGATATTACCTGTTTTTCCATGCCTCAGCAGAATCTTTTTATTAACATCTTAAAATGATTCAACTTCCATTGGTTTTAAAACTTGACCTGTGTTTCCCGTGGTCACTTTTCCTAGCACTTCTGACCTGCCACCCTCATAACTCAGTGGTTTGCATTCTTTCCACACCTCTCTCACTACCTATTCTGCCTAATATAAGACAAGTTTTATAGAGGGGAGGGAGGGAAAGCAAAATATTTTGTTTGTTTTGTTCGCTAACATATCACCTGTGTCTGGAAGAGTACCTGACACAAATTAGATATTCAATAAATATTTATGTAATGAATGAAATAATTATCTAATTTCATCATAATTTCTATGGATTAACAATAAAGTTGCTTATGCATATAAAGTTGCCAAATATTCTTCGAAGTAAAATGATTTTTACTCCTAAGACATTAACACTTTGTAATACATATTATTTTGCTTCTTTTCTTCTTAATTTTTTAGCACTAAGAATTACATTAGACATCTAAGTTGATGATAATAATGAAAGCATCTTTAATATATTCAGTAGAAACAAAAGGTTTATATCAACAAGAGGATTATTCTGGTATTAAGCTTATGATAAATAATACTCAATAAATTCATCCAGTCTTTTTCAGGGTTTATTGACAATAAACAATTCAAATATTTACTTAAATATTTGAATATTTAAATTCATAGCATTTTTGTTTTTGTTCATTAGTTATAGCACGAAGTTTGCTGTGAACTTATGTATAATAAAATCACGATAAATAAACACCTTCACTCTTTTGATTTATTTCTCCAGGGATGCAAATGGAAGTCACACATTTAATAAAGTCCTAACTTCTTGGAAGTGTAATAAAATAGAATAAGAGCTTATAATTACATTCTCTCCAGAATTTATTTTACATGCACTGAAAACAAAGCCACCCTTATTCACAAATGTTTATCTGTAAATATGAAAGAAAATAATGTGATAAAATTTAGGCTTTGAAATAAATAGAAACCGATGACTTAATAAAAGTCTCAATGACACAACCAGTGAGGTAAATACAACCTATTAGTATGTGATTCTTTTTTAAGGAAAGCAGAGAAAATAGAGTGACAGAATATTAGAAGCAATACAATTAGACAACTAAAATGTACAGAAGAGTCAAGGGGAAAAAATATACTATTTAAGCATATGATGTATTTTATAATATTTCTACCAGATCAGTATGATCTATAAAGACAATACACATTGGAACACAGACTAGGTGATGTCTATTTTTTAGTTTGAATAGTAAATATAGATATTTTATTAAATCTAGTAACCAGACTAATTCTGTAGGTGGTTATAAGAAAGAAAAAGAATTGAAAATAAGTAAGTAAACTAGCCATGTAAAAATTTTTACATGTTTTCTATACACTTCTAATATTGAGACACATATTTATTTATATTCAAAGACATATTAATAGATACATATTATCTATTAAAATATACCTCTATTTTAATATGAAATAACTCTATTTTGTTGTAAAACATGTGTCTAAAAACACAGTTGTATAATACTACAAGGGTTTAATTAAACGAACTGACCTATATTCCTCAGAGCCATAGACAAACCATTGAAGTTGTTCATCTGAGATCCATATTCAAGGTGAATTGAAAGGCATATTTTAGTTAATGCTGAGAATAATACTAAAATATGTTTCAACTCAAAATCAAATAGCTTATTTGATATCTACATGAGCCTCATATTGAGGATCTGATAAGAAATCCAATGATTTTAACACAGAGCATTAATTTTGTTTAAGAAAAGTCTAAGAAGGTAAAAAATATCTTTGAGTTTCTCAGATGTATGTTTCTGCAGCATACATATTAGCAAAGAAGCTGCAGTCTTACTATGCTTGTAACTTATGTGTTTATTTTTTGTTATTATTATTTTAAAAATCAACAAAATGTTCTGAAGACATCATATTCAAACCTAAACGAAGAAACCTAAGGTGCTCAAAAAAAAAAAAAAACCCTCAGTAATTCTGTAATAAATCTTATTTCTCTTTCTTTATGTGTGGTAAGACAAATGGTACTCGAGTCATTACCTGTATTAGTCAAAGCAAAATTAGAACAGGTAAGGGGACTACTGATAAGTAATTGCACTTGACACTATTTTTGCCTAAAATGATTGATAGCATGTCATAATGTTCATTGTTTTAGAGTTCATCATACAACTGAGCACTAGAAAACTAGAGAAAATTAAGCAGAAAAAAAAAAACATCTTTTGCATCTGGACACAATGAATAACTCTATGTTTTTAGGAAATTAGAGAAAGATCAACATATCACAAGTTTCCATAATATTGCTTTAAATGTTTTATAAGAAGCAGCAACTTTTAATATTAATATTTCAAAATTTTCAGAAAGATCTAAGCATTTACTGGAAAATGTTATTTTTCTGTACTCTTAATTGAAATTTAAAAATGTCTTTTATCACATGATAATGTAAATAAAGCGAAAAGACTAGCAACACTAGAAGTATATATTTGGTGGTTGTAAAACCACAGAGATTCATATTCAGAATACATAAAAATCCCCCACATATCAATTTCAAAATATGTGTAAGCAAAAGGAAATAGGCAAAACTTATTCAGGGTGCTTCCAGAGAAGTTTACACAGTGTGTAGTAAATATCTTCTTAAGTGTTCATGTGTAATCAGGGCAATTCAAATATAAACTCAATAAGATTTGACTTTAGAAATAAAAATGAAAGTCAAATAATCCTAAGAGTTGGGGCAAGTGGTAATCAACAAGAACCCTTTACAGTGCAGGTTGGAGTATAATAGTTTGCAACCACTGTGGAAATGTGTTGGAACATACCTTAACCCTTTTGTTTGTTTGTTTGTTTGTTTGTTTTTTTGAGACACGGTGTCATTCTTTTTGCCGAGGCTGGAGTTCAATGCTGCGAACTCGGCTCACTGCAACCTCCGCCTCCAGGGTTCAAGCGACTCTCCTGCCTCAGCCTCCTGAGTAGCTGGGATTACAAGCTTGTACCACCACGACTGGCTAATTTTGTATTTTTAGTAGAGACGGGAGCTTTGCTATGTTGGCCAGGCTGGTCTGGAATTCCTGACTTCAGGTTATCCTCCCACCTTGGTCTCCCAAAGTGCTGGGATTACAGGCGTGAGCTTCCATGCCCAGCCCAGTTTGTACTGAATACCTAGAAAAACTCCTGAATCTGTATAGAGACAAATTTCCTAGAAGAATATTTTAGAATAATAAATACTTGAAAACAATGCAACTTTTCATTGACAGAAAATCCAGTGTAATCTAATGTAGCAATGAAAGGAATATACCAATGCCTCAAAAATAATGTACAAATTTCAAAATCAGAGGTGGTACTGAGAAGTGCAGTGCTGTTGTAACAAATATCTAAAAATGTGGTAGCAGTTTGAAACTGAGTAATGGGTAGAAGCTGAAAGAGTTTTGAGGTGCATGCTAGAAAAAGCCTACGTATAGCTTTGAAGGAACTTAAAGGTGATTCTGGTGAGGGCTCAGAAATTAAAGAGGAAAGCTGTGGAGAAAGCTTTCATATTCTTAGAGTACACACAAATAACTGTATACAGAATGTTGATAGAAATATGGGTTTGAAGAGCTATTTTGGTGATATCTAAGATGGAAGTTAGTAACATGTTATTGGGCAATAGAGAAAATATTATCCTTGTTATAAAATGACAAATAGCTTGGCTGAATTGTGTTTGTGTTCTAGTGGTATTTGGAAGGTAGAACTGTGAGTGATGAAATTGGATATTTATTTGAAGAGAGTTCTAAGTACAATGTTGAAAAAGCATCTTGATTCCTCCTGACTGCTTATAGTAAAATGAGAGAATGAGAGAAGAGAGAAATAAATTGAACATGAAGATGTTAAGCAATAAGCAACTATAACTTAAAGATTTGGAAAAGTCTCAGTCTGTTCATGTTACAAAAAAAAAAAAAAAAAATGAGATTTTGGAATTCCCAGCTTCCAAAACTGTGATAAATACATTCTGGCATTTAAGCCACCCAGATTATAGTACTCTTTTTCGTAGCAGCCTAAATTGATCAAGCCAGACACATAATTACAAAATCAAATATTCAATAGAAGAGTTGAAATAAAAGTAAAAAGATATCCTCTATATCACAGAATATAAAGAAAATAAAAGTATGAGAGGGAATGAAAGAAACACAAACAGTAAATTTGAAGAATTCCAGAAAGAACTATGAAAAAAGAATAAGAATTTAAAATTTAAATAATTTTTAAAAGAACAAAAGAATTTTTTTAGAAAAATTATTTTCAAATTAAAATAATCAAAGTGTTGAAAAAACAAAGCAATAATATCAGAGAAGGAAGAAAAACAGGAAGAGAACAAGAAGGCCCCATAATGAAATATTGTGATATTGAGGATATCTTAGGATATTGACAATAACTTTAAAATTCTTAGAAAATTTATAGAAAAAAGAAGTAAAAAGAAAATTAAAACTAGTTCTAACAGTAGAACAAATTTTAGATTCCCATGAGTCTTATCAGCAACACTGGCATGTAGAAGAATATAAAATTATGCCTATATATGTCTGAGCACAAATTGTTTTAAATTAGTATTCAATACTCATCCAAACTATCAAAAATGAGAGATGCAGACATGCAAAAATCCAGAATTTATCTATCTCCTTTTGTCTCTTTTGGGCATAGTTACTCAAGGATATGAAATAAAGAAGCTAATAAAGAAAGAAGACACAAGACCGAGGAAACAATGGATTTAATCTAGAAATAGAGTAAAACAAATACCTGAAGGACAGCATTACAGTGATACTAGAGAATAACCAATGCAATTGGAGAGAAAATTTGAATAATTTTTGAGTAAAATCTAGAAAGAGGAAATCCATGGTTAGTGAGATAAGCTTAAGTTATGTTTAAGGCATATTAGGCTTTGGTAAAAAAAAATTAAAAAAGCAATTATAAACTCAAGGAAACAACATAAATTCTAATTTTTCATGGTGGTGAGCAATAGTTTTCAAAATAATATGAGAAAAAAAGCTCAGTCATAATATTTATAGTGATATTGATAATTATTGAAGATATTTAAAGACATAGTTAAAAGATGTTACTCTGAGTAATAAGATAGAAGTTTTTTTACATATTTTGTAATCTTATACTGAAAATTGATTATCTTGCTAAAAAATGCATTTTAAATTATGAAGCTGAGCTTCACTCTTAGCACTGAAAACTAAATAAAAATAGTCAAATTCCCAATTTATTTTACATATTCAGCATAATCTTGATTAAAATTACAGCAACTTACTTCATGGATATCAACAAACTGATTCTAAAGTTTATGTGGAAACGACAACAACTTAGAAGAGCTAACACCGTATTAGATAGAACAAAGTCAAAAGAATATTAGTACACAACTTCAAGGCTTACTATAAAGCTATACTGATAAAGACAGTGGTATTTGTTAAAAATTAGACAAATAGATTAATGAAATAAAATAGAGAACCTAGAAAGAAATCAACACAAAAATTGGCAATTTTTGACAAAGGAGCAAAAGTCATTAAATGGAGGAAGGATAATTTTTGCAACAACTGCTGCTTGAACAACCACACATTCAAGTGCTATCTATCTATATCTATATATCTATATCTATATGTATATCTATGTACACACACACATATATATATATAGACTTTACATATGTTATAAAAATTAACTTAAAATGAATAATAGATAAAAATGCAAATCTCAAAATTATAAAATTTCTAGAAGATATCAAAGAAAAATATCTATGTGATCTTAGGTTTGCTGATGTGTTTTAAGATACAATACCAAAAGCATGATTAATGAAAAATAATAATTAGTAAGTTTCACTCCATTGAAATTAAAAACTTCTACTGTGTAAAACACACTTGTTAGCATCAAAATGTTAATTGAATATAGGCCCTAGGGAGAAGCAACTTCACGGGCATGCAGATTAAGAGACAAAAATAGTGAAGTATGATCTTCCAGGCACACTCCACCGGAAAAAGAAAGTCTCAGATGGGTATGCATATAACTCCCTAAATACACTGTCTAATCCCAAGGGTAAGGAGAACACTGTGCATGGAGAAAATCCATCCTCAGGGAAGAATCATGAGAAAGAGGTGAGCCTATAAAGTCCCAGGATCAAGGTTAAAGGAACCTTCTTTTTCTCTCTTTGACCTTTAGGAGCCCACTTGGAACTCTTCCACGAGTTCTTTCCTTTTTTTTCCTGTTCTAAGGCCTTCTAAATAAACTTCCATTCCTGCTTTGGAACTTCCTTCAATCTCTTTTTCTGCCTTATGCCCCTCAGTCAAATTCTTTCTTCTTAGGAGACAAGGGCTGAAGTTGCTGCAGATGGGTATGAATTTGCCACCAGTAACTTGGGGTAACTTGGATCTCTTCCACCACTAAAAATATGAGTTGTTAGGAAACAGTTCAACTCATAACAGATCTGAACAGACACTTAATCAAAATTGATACAGATAACTAGTAAGCACATGAAAAAATATTCAACATGTGAAGGGTCTTCAAAGTATTTATGGAATATGTGTGGTTTGAGAAAACTCTGCATAGACCTTAATTTTTTGCATTAAAATCAACTCATATTAACTTGTTGTAACATGTCTAAACAGGATATATTTTTAGGTGCTGAGAAGGATAAGAAACTAGTTTGAAAAGAGTTCCTATCAGAGCAACATGAATTTGGCTAAAATTGAAGCCAAAACAAACATAAAATATATGCTGAAGCTTGGGTGGAAGAATAGTGAAATCACTGATTTTTTTATGAAAAGTTTATAGTACATTTTGATAATGCCCCAAATAAATCAGCAGTTTACAAATGGATAATTTATTCTAAGAAGGGATGAGATGTTGTTGAAAATGAAGCACACAGCAGCAGACATTCCATATCAATTTGCAAGAAAAAACTTAATTTTGTTTGTGCCCTAGTTGAAGAGAACCATCAATTAACTGTAGAAACAATACTCACCATCGTGGACATTTCAACTGGTTCAGCTTAAATAATTTTGACTGAAAACTTAAAAGTTGAGCAAACTGTCCACTAGATGGGTTCCAAAACCATTGTGCTCAGATTGGCTCCAGACAAGAGCAGAGAATTAATGGAAATTTTAAACAAGTATGATCAAGAACCAGAAGCAGTTCTTTGAAGAATTGTAACAGGAAATAACATAGAGCTTTATCAGTACAATCCTGAAGACAAAATACAATCAAAGTGATGGCTATCAAGAGGTGGAACTGGTCCAGTCAAAGCAAAAGTGGACTGGTTATGAACAAAGATGACAGTTTCTTGGGATGATCAGGGCAATTTGCTTGTTGACTGCTGCAAAGCCAAAGAACAATAACAGTATCTGCCTATTATGAAAGTTTTGAAAATATTAGCCACAGCTTTAGCAGAAAAATGCTC
The DNA here is from genome assembly GCF_000001405.40 of Homo sapiens. Classification (NCBI taxonomy): domain Eukaryota; kingdom Metazoa; phylum Chordata; class Mammalia; order Primates; family Hominidae; genus Homo; species Homo sapiens. The sequence continues at coordinate 32,092,986 of NC_000004.12, read as the reverse complement.
AGGAAAACATCATTAGAGAGTCTTTATTTACCATGACAATGCTCCTGCTCATTGTCTCATCAAACAATAGTAATTTTGTGAGATTTTTCAATGAGAAATCATTAGACATCCACTGAATAGTGATGATTTAGCTCCTTCTGGCTTCTTGTTCTATAATCTAAAAAATACTAAGTAAAGGATACCCATTTTTTTCAGTTAATAATGTAAAACAGGCTGGGTGCAGTGGGTTATGCCTGTAATCACAACACTTTGGGAGGCAGAGGTGGAAGGATCACTTGGGCTCAGGAATTTGAAACCAGCCTGGGCAACACAGTGATGCCCTGTCTCTATAAACAACCAGAAAATAGCCTGGCATGGTGGCATGTGCCTGTAATTCCAGCTACTTAAAGGCTGAGGTGGGAGGACAGTTTGAGCCCAGGAGTTTGAGGCTGTAGTAAGCTAGGATTGCACCACTGCACACCAGGCTGGGTGACAGAGTGAAATGTCTTCTCTAAAAAATTATAAGTTAAAAGACTGCATTGACATGGTTAAATTCTCAGGACCTTCAGTTCTTTAAGGATGTACTAAAGAGTTGGTATCATTGCTTATGAAATTGTCTTAAAATTGATGAAGCCTAGGTTGAGAAATAAAGTTATATTGTTTTTATTTTTCTGTTTTAATTCTATAGTTTAATACAAACATTTTGAAGTACACTTGTATGTGATTAGAAAAATACATATTAAAATAACAAGGAGGTATTACTACATGAAAACCAGAATGGGTAAATACCAAAATACTAACAGCATGAAATAATGGTGAGGATGCGTAGCAATAGAAACTCTCATTATTTGCTGATGGAAATGCAAAATAATGCAGCAACTTTGGAAGACACTTTATCAATTTCTTACAAAGCTAAACATAGTTTTGCCACATAATTCAACTATTTTTTTGCCTAGGTATTTACACAAATGAGTTGAAAACTTATATCCTCACACACACAAACTCCATATAAAAATATTTATAGAAGTTTCATTAGGTGCCAAAAATTGGGAGCTGTATGTCAGTTGTTGAATGGATAAATAAGCTATATCACATGCATATTATAGAATACTATTCAGCAATAGAAAAATGGATTATCAAGCCACAAAGAGTCCTGGAGGAATCATTAATGCATATTGCTAAGTGAAATAAGCCAGTCTGAAAACACTATGCACAGCATAATTTCACTATATAATAATTTAGAAAAGATAAAACTACAAAAACAGTAAAAAAATAAGTGTTTTCTAGTGTTTGGGGAAAAAGGAGAGAGGGACAAAATGGTTTTATAAGGTAATTTTTAGAGCAGTTATGCTTCTCTGTATGATACTATAATGGTGGATACATCACCTGATATATTTGACAAAACCCATAAAATTCTACATAACAGTAAACTTAATGTAAACTATGGACATTACTTAATAATAATGTATCAATATTGATTAAATTATAACAATGTATTACACTGCTGCAAGATGTTAATACAGAAAACTGAGGGTGGGAGGAGAAGGAGTATATGGGATCTTTCTGTACTTTCTCTCTGGCTGAGTTTTCTGTATACCAAAGGTTGCTCTAAAAATGATCTATTAATAAAATATGTATATATACACACATAAAAATAAAATATATATAATAAAATATACATGATAGCAGCAGGAGGCAGACAGGAATGGGTCCCCAATGAAATCTGACCTTCAAGCCAAAGACAGTTTAAAGCCTGAAAACCAAACCACAAGTCTCAGATGAATCCCTAGACCAGATTAAGAACCTCTCTTCCTTACTGGCGCACTTTCCTCTGAGTGATCCCCACCCTTCACCTGTTTTACATATACCTACCATTCTCTAATTGCTTTTTACACCGTCATGTCCATCTTTGAATGGTACCTTTCTTCAGCCTTTTTTGCACACTCACAAATCAATCAGCACGTGCTTCCTCATTATGAACCCATAAAAGCCCTGGACTCAGCCACACTTGAGGAGACTACTTGACTTCGGGTAGAGGGCTGCCCTTTTTGAGTCCCCTTTCCACTGAGAGCTGTCACTAAATAAAATTCTCCTTCATACTCATCCTTTTTGGATGTGGGACAAGAATTCAGGACCCACCAAACGTGGGTATGAAAAAGGCAGTAACACCCTTTAGCCTTCCACTAGAAGTGGGTGGTTGTCCCATGCAACGGGGGCAGCAGTGGAGCCAGGCCAGCCCAGGAGCTGCAGGCTGGAGCAGGGCAATGGTACTGAAGGAGCTGTTAACACACCCCATCCGCCAAGCTGTGGACGGCAGAATAACATCCCCTTTGTGGCTCTGGGATTTCTAGCTTTTTCAAGTTTTTCAGGTTCCCCTCATTCAGATACTGGCACCCAAGACAAAAGCAGGTTGCGGCATGCTGGCCCAGTGGTGGGCTGAGCACAGATCCCTCAACAAGTGCCGCCAGGACTTGGGGAAGAAAAGGACAGAAAATAAAAGGAGATGCCTTTTTTTCTCTACCTCACACACCCTGAATTTTTGCAGAAAGAAAGGAATTAAAGGACACATTTTCCTTCTCTTTCAGATGCATAACCAATCGTCTTCATCCTACACTCCTCTGGTGTGTATCCTGAATCACTGGGACTCAGACTCTGGAGAAAAAAACACCTCATATTCTTTTGCACAAGTGTTTGGCCAGGTTATGTTTTGCACGTAGGACAGGCTTGGTGTCAGGAAGGAGCATTAATCTCAATACCATCCTGCAGCTGGACCTTTTCTGTAAACGTGAGGGCAAATGGTCTGAGGTCCTATATTTTCAGGGTTTCTGTGCCTTAAAGAGTAATACAAACCTTTGCTGGCACTGTAGGATTGATTCAGCCCTCTTAGTGGTCATATCAAGAGAAGCTGCAAAAGTCAACCCCAAGGAACTGGAGAAACAAACCCCAGAGGTACCTCCAGCAGGGATGCCAGCTCCCTCTGGCCCTGCTCCTCTTGGCCCATCCTGTCTTCCCTATTTATGTTCTCTTTCTAGCTTGCCCCATTCTAGAAATCCTCATTTTAGCCAGGCCTCAGTCTCATTCCTGCCCCTGCAACAGATACCTGAAGAATATGGCCCCAGTAAGGTCTAGGTCCCTGTCTCTTTACAGGATTTAAGGCATATTAAGGGGGATCTTGGCAAGTTTTTAGACAACCAGGACAAATATATAGAGTTTTTCCAGAACTTAACCCAAGTATTTGAACTCTCCTGGAAGATGCTATGTTACTTTTGAATCAAACCCTGATACCACTAAGAAGCAGGCTATCCTACAAACAGCATAGAATTTTGGGGATGAGCTTTGTATCTCATATAGTGCCAAGGAAGAGGATGAGCTTCACCGAATTGGAAGAATGGCAGTACCATTGGAGTACCCTAGATGGGACCCCAGTGATGAAATGAGAGAATGGAAGAGGAAACACTTTCAGTTGTGCATGATGTATGGCTTACAAAGGACTAGAACTAAGCATCTCAGTTGCTCCAAACTATCCATAATAGACCAGGGATTAGATAAGAACCCCTCTGCCTTCTTGGAGAGGCTAAGAGAGGCATTGTTAAAGCACACCTCTCTATTTTCTGATTAAGTCAATCCTAAAAATTAAGTTTATTACTCAGGCAGCCCCTGATATCAGGAGAAAGCTACAGAAACAGGCCATGGGACCAGATAGTACTTTAGCGAACCTCCTGAAAGTGGCCACCTCAGTCCTTTACAATAGGGATAGGGAGGAGGACTGAGAGAGAGAGCAGACACAAGAAAAGGGCAGAGACTTTAATGGTCGTCTTGCAGGCTCACAAACCCCAGAATCCTTGAGATGCATCTGTTAACTGCTACAGATTTGGCAAGCCAGGCAGCGCACTTTACAAAGGAATGGCTGCCCAGACAGCAAGAGGAAACCCCCTTAACCCTGTCCAATCTGTTATGGGAAGCACTGGAGTTCAGAGTGTCACCAGAGATGCAGGTCACTGGATCCAGAGCCAGTCTCCTAAATGGTCCAGGAAGACTGATGAGTCCCAGGGCTCCTCTCTCCAGCTCCGGTGGTTCCGGACCACTGTTATAATCCAGGAGCCCTGTGTAATTCTGGAAAATGAAGGGAAGAAGGTGGACCTCCTCCTGGACACTGGAGCAGGCCTTTCAGTTCTTCTCTCCATGCAGGCCCCCACTCCTCTCTTAGCATGACCCTGAGAAGCAACTCAGGAAAGCCTTTAACATGATATTTTTCTCAACCTTTTAGTTGTAGTTGGGGAGATCTCTTATTTACCCATGGCTTTTTAATCATGCCTGAAAGCCCAACTTCTCTGTTGGATATTCTGGCTCATATGGGAACCACCATTGTTATGGCTTCAGGAAAGACTCTGTCTTCCCCTAGTGTATACTAATATTAACCCAGAAGTTTGGGCAACTCAAGGAAAATTGACCACAATGGCCATATTGGTCAGGATCTACCTTCAGGATCCCATCTCCTTTCCTAACCAGAGACAATATCCCTGAAACCAGAAGTTAGGAAAGGACTAGAAGCCATCATTGATAACACGAGGATGTAGGGCCTCCTCAAACCCTGCAACACCCCTTGTAATACCTGATATTGGGGATACAAATCCCAATGAGAATAGAGGCTGGTCCAAGACCTACACCTCATTAATGAGGCTGTGGTTCCAATTCACCTGATGGTTCCTAATCCCTAGACCCTGCTAACTCAAATACCTGAGGAAACTAAATGGTTCACAGTTCTCGGCCTAAAGGATGACTTTCTGCATATCATTAGACTCGGACTCCAGTGTTCTTTTGCATTAAAAGATCCCTCCAATCAGACCACCAAGTTAACCTGGATGGTGTTACCTCAGAAATTCCAAGACAGCCCCCTCCACCCCAGTTTGAACAGGCATTGCCAAAAAATCTCTCTGAGTTCCTTTATCTTCAGATTAAAGTTTCATAATATGTAGGTGACATTCCCCTCTTTGCCCCAACTGAGGAAGTCTCTCAGGAGGATGGTAAGGCTCTTCTTAATTTTCTGGCTAACAGAGGATATAAAGTCTCAAAATCTAAGGCTTACCTCTGTCAGACTTCAGTGAAGTACCTAGGACTAGAATTGTCAGGGGGAACAGGGCACTAGGCAAAGAAAGGATTAAGCCCATATCCTCCATTCTTCTCCCTCCCAAAAACCTGCAAGCAATTGAGGGGATTCTTGGGCATTACAGGATTCTGCAGACTATGGCTACCTGGATACCATAAAACAGCATATCCCTTATATCACCTAATAATGGAGACTTAGGCAGCTAAAACTCACTCCCTGATTTGGGAACCAGAGGCTAAAAAGGCTTTGACCAACTAAAATAAGCCTTGCTTGAGGCACCAGCCCTTAGTCTTCCCATAGAGAAGACATTCAATCCTTATGAATCAGAAAGGAAGAAAATGGCCATGGGAGTTCTAATCCAGGCCCAAGATCCAGCCCAGCAGCCTGTAGGTTACCTAAGCAAGGAGCTTGGTTTGGTTGCTAAGGATGGCGGGCCTGCCTCCAGGCAGTTGCAGTGGTGGCCTTGCTGGTATCAGAGGCTACTAATTTAACCACAGGAAATAACTGAACCGTTTATACCCCATACAATGTGGCAGGATTTCTGTCTTCTCTGTCTAATGGACAACTGCCTTCTCAAATATCAAGCTCTGCTATTAGCCTCTACAGTCCAATTAAGAACCTGTCCCACCCTAAACCCAGCCATCTTCCTTCCAGAGGAAGCTGGGAAACTTGAACATGACTGTGAACAGATAGTAGTGCAAACCTATGAAGCCAGAGAAAACCAAAATAAAAAACAAACAAACAAACAAAAAAACAGACTGGAAAGTTCTTCTGTAGAACAAGCATATTAATTTTTATACTGTTATGAAGAAATACCTGAGACTGGATAATTTATAAAGAGAAAGAGATTTAATGGATTCACAGTTTGGCCTGGCTGGGGAGGCCTCACAATCATGATGAAAGACAAAGGAGGAGCAAAGCAAAGGGATGTCTTACATGGCGGCAGACAAGAGAGTGTGTGCTGGGGAACTGTCCTTTTATAAAACCATCAGATCTCATGAGACTTATTAACTGTCAAAGGCCCAAACCTGTGAACTAGGGTCACCTCCATTCAACCCAGGGGACCCAGTACTGGTAAAGGCACTTGCTTCCCTTTCTCTCTCTCTAGGCCCAGAGTAGGTGAGAACTTACACTGTACTTTTTCTACTCCTTCAGCAGTAAAGGTCACTGGAAGAAATTATTGGATTCATTATACTCAAGTAAAGGCCTGGGAAACTGATAGAATTACCTCTGTTGACCCAGAAGGGTTCCTGAAGTACCAGGAAGCACCTCAAGCTAAAAATCACAAAAGATAAGTGCCAATAATTAACTTTCTATGAATGTCCTCTGTATGGTCTTGCCTACGCTTGCTGTTCTTACCTTCATTCTGTCCCTCACCATGAGGCATCTTGGTCAAGGACCCCTTAATCCTGAACACCCATGGGATTATCTACTCCCATAAACAGTTATCCCTCTTCTAAAGTGTAATTGTCCCTAAACAAGATTTAATCTCTTTCACCAGAATGAAACAGCTCTGGCCACAACATTGTTTTCAGAATGATTCTTGTATTTTACTTTTTATTTTTGTTATCTTGGGCACTAGATTTTTTCCTTTTAGCTCCTCTTTGTGTAATACAAATACTTGTTCTGTGAATATTTAACTTCTTTGAAAAATTTGTTTCTTCTCACCTTCAGGCCATCAAACTCCAAAAGGTCATGCAACTGGAGCCTCAAGCAATGCTTCCCATTTACTGGGGACCCTTAGGCCTCGGAGAGAGATTTAATTTCTGTCTTCCCAAACAATGCCCTGCATCAGCATAAAGCAGTTAAGAGCAGTCATTGTCCGTATCCTAATGGCAGTTAGTATTACCTCTTCAGAGGGGGGATTGATAGTAGCAGAAGGCAGATGGGGCAGGTCCCCATTGAAACCTGGCCTTCAAGCTGAAGACAGCTTAAAGCCTGAAAACCAAGCCACAAGTCTCAGATAAATCCATGGACCAGACTGAGAATCTCTCTTCCAGTGTGGCATGCTTTCCTCTGATTGATCCCTACCTTTCACCCATTTTATATATACCTACCCTTCCCTAATTGGTTTTTCACACTGTCATGTCCATCTTTGAGTGGTGCCTTTCTTTAGCCTTTTTTGGATACTCACAAACCAATCAGCACATACTCCCCCATTCTGAGTCCATAAAAACCTCAGACTCAGCCACATTTAGGGGAACTACCCTACTTCAGGTAGGGGGCTGCCCTCTTAGGATCCTCTTTCCACTGAGAGCTGTCACTCAATAAAACACTTTGCCATGCTCACCCTTTGGTTGTCAGCATAACCTAATTATTTCTGGACATGGGACAAGAACTTGAGACCTGCTGAACATGGGTATAAAAAAGGCAATAACATTGTAGTCCTTCACCCTCCACTGGCACCAGTTGGCTGCCCCACATGACAGGAAGCAGCAGCAGGGTCAGGCCAGCCCAGGAGCTATGGGCTGGAGCAGAGCAACGGGACTGAAAGAGCTGTTAAGATGCCCTCATTCACCCAGCTGCAGACAACTGGAATAACACCCACTTTGTGGCTGCAGTGTCACTGGCATCTCCATGTTTTTCAGGCACCATCATGTTCTTATCCAGTTGCTGGTGCCCAAGACAGAAACAAGTAATGGCATGCTTGGCTCAGTGGCAGGCTAAGCATTGATCCTGAAGCAAGCACGGGATCCAAGATGTAGTGCAAGCCAAGAGCAGCCTGCAACATTAAGTGGGTAGGATACATCCTGCAGCAAGCCCAGAGCCAAGCAAGGCCCTGGGCAGGGGCGTTGCCAGCTGTGGAGGTCTCCAGCAGGTGAAATAGCACTGAAAAAATCCTGCATCATATATACATAAAAGCAAATGGACATTTTAAAATAAAGTCATAAAATTAGAATAATACTACTTTTTATACAATAAAGTTTACACTAGCAAAACCTTTTCATTGATTGGTATCATACACCAACATTACATGCAGAGGTAATATAACATTTCTTAATACTATAAACCATGTGCTTATTTAATCATTTCATTATAAGTTGCTTCCACTTCTTTCATAAACATTGTGTTCTTAGTGGCTAACACCTTAACTCATTGACTTTTTTTTCTACTTGTCAAATTTTAATAAAAAATAGCTATGCTTTACCAGTTTTATTGTTATGCTAAACTTGATGAATTGAATTCAAATTCTTATCTAATCTGTTATTGTTGTTGTTGTTAACATTTGGATAATTCTAACCTGAAACTTCTACTACTTTTTTTACTAACCCTTTCTGGAGCTCCTGTAAAATACTTGTTTATTTGTGTTGGCTACTTATTAACAAAATCTAAAAAATATCAGTCATTTTTTTCATGCTGACTTTTCTTCTCTCATTTGCATATTATCACATTTTTACTTATCTCCAAAGATGAAAAAAATGCCAGTACAGAATATTTATATTGGCTTTTAATAAACTTTGCAACTTGTGTTTATATTTTCACTTATAAGACTTAATGCTTGCAATAAAATGTAAGATAGAAATAGTTATATGATGCATAACAACCTTTTGGAAAAAGACTACATATACTATGGTGATCCATAAATTCAAATGGAGCTGACTGCATAAAAGATGCAGTTTGGCAGAATGAATTTAATAAATCACAAACTAAATATCTGCTATTTTCAAGACACGCATCTAAGACATATGGATTCTTATATACTCAAGGTAAAGCAATGGAAAAAGAAATTCCATGCAAATGAATACCAAATGTGAGCAGCAGTTTCCATTTTTATATCAGATAAAATAGATTTTAAAGCAGCAACAGTTAAATTAAAAAAAAAACAGACAAAGAGGGTCATTATATAATGATAAAAGGGTCAGTTGAACAAGAATACATAACAATTTTAAATATATGTGTATCTAACTCTGGAGCTCCCAGATTTATTAAATAATTGCTACTAAACCTAAAAAAAAAAAAAGGGATAGGAAGCAACACAATGACTAGACATATCATCAAGGGAGAAAGTTAACATAGAAACACTGGATTTAAACTGCACTCTAGAGCAAACAGACCTAACAGATATTTACAGAAAATTCTACCCAAAAATCACATCATATACATCCTTCTTTTCAGAGCATGAAACATTCTCCAACATAGACCATATGATAGGACACAAAACAAGTCTCAATACATATTGAAAAATTAGAATCATATCAAGTATTTTCTCAGACCACAGTGGAATAAAACTAGAAATTATACCGAAAGGAAATCTCAAAACTATAGAAATACATGCAAATTTCAAAAAACCTGTTCTTGAATAATGTTTGGATTAATGATAAAATCAAAATAAAAATTTAGGCTGGGCAAGGTAGCTCATGCCTATAATTCCAGCAGTTTTGGAGGCCGAGGTGGTGGATCACCTGAAGTCAGGAACACAAGACCAGGCTGGTCAACATGTAAATAACCCTGTCTCTACTAAAAATACAAAACTTAGCCAGGCATAGTGTCACGTGCCTGTAATCCCAGCTACTCAGGAGGCTAAGCCAGGAGAATCGATTGAACCTAGGAGGCAGTGCGCTGAGATCTCACCACTTGCACTCCAGCCTGGATGGCAGAATGAGACTCTGTCTCAAAAAAAAAAAAAAAAAAAAGGAAATTAAAAAATTCCTTGAAGTGAATGGTAACAGTAATACAACTTATAAAAACCTCTGGGATACAACAAAAGCAGTACTAAAAGGAAAGGTTATAGTGCTGAATTCCTGCATCAAAGAATCTGAAAGATCACAAATTGACAACCTAATGTTACACCTCAAGAAACTAGAAAGATGAGAACAAACCAAACCTAAAGCTAACAGAAGAAAAGAAATACAAAAATCAGAACAGAACTAAATGAAATTGAAACCGAAAACAAAATATAAAAGATCAATAAAATAAAATTATTTTCTTTGAAAAGATAAAATTGATACGCCATTAGCCAAATTAATCAAAAAAATGAGAGACAAAATTCCAATAAGCTCAATTAAAAATGGAAAATGGAGACATTGCAATTGACACCACAGAAATACAGAAGGTCACATGAGACTACTGTGAATACATCTATGCACATAAACTAGAAAATCTGGAAAAAATGGGTAAGTTCCTGGAAATATACAACAATACTAGCTTGAATAAGGAAGAAATAAATATCATGAACAGAACTATAACAAGCAGTTAAATTTAATAAGTAATAAAAAATTTGTCAAAAGATGCCCAATTCCAGATGGATTCATGGCCATATTCTATAAGACATTCAGAAAAGAATTGGTATCAGTCCTACTGAAACTATTCCAAAAGATTAAGAAAGAGGAAATTCTCCATAACACATTCTATGAAGCCAGTATCATTTTGATGCCAAAGTCAGGAAAGGACATAACAAAAAACAGAAAACTACAGACAATATTCCTGATGAAAATAATTGAAAAATCCTCAGTAAATCACTAGCAAACTGAATCTAGCAGCACATCAAAAAGATAATTTACTATGGTCAAGTGTGTTTCATTCCAGGGATGCAGGGATGGTTCAGCTTATGCAAGTCAATAAATGTGATTTATCACAAAAACAGAATTAAAAACATAACCCGTATGATCATTTCAATAGACACAGAATATTTTATAAAATCCAGCATCCCTTTATGATAACAACCTTCAACAATCTAGGCATAGGAAGAATATATCTCAAAATAATAAAAGCTATATATGACAAACCTACAGCCAAAACAAGGATGCCCACTTTCACCACTTCTATTCAACATATTACTGAATGTCTTAGGCAGAGCAATCAGGCAAGAGAAAAATAAAGGGAATCTAAATTGCAAAAGAGGAAATTAAACTATCTCTGTTTGCCAATATTATGATCATAAACCTAGAAAACTTAAAGACTATACAAAAAAATCCTAGATTTGATAAATGAATTTAGTAATGAGTCAGGTTACACAGTTAATGTACACAAATCAGTAGCACTGCTATGCACCATGACCAAGCTGATAATCAAATCAGGAAGTCAATACCTTTTACAGAAATTGCAAAAACTAAAAAATAAAATAAAATACCTTAGAATATACTTAACCACAGAGGCAAAAGATTTCTACAAGGAAAGCTACAAAACACTGCTGAAAAGAATCAAAGAATCATAGATGACATAAATAAATGTAAGTATATCCTGTGCTCATAGATTGGAATATTCTATATCATAAAAATGACCAAACTGCCCAAAGCAATCTATTATAGATTTAATGTGATACCTATCAAAACACCAATACCACTTTTTACAGAATTAGAAAAAAAATCCTAAAATTTATATGAACCAAAAGAGAGTCTGAATAGCCAAAGCAATCCTAAGAAAAAAAAAAAAATCCGAAGGAATTACATGACCTGACTTCAAAATATACTTCAAGGCTATAGTAATCAAAACAGCATGGTACTGGTATAAAAGTAGATGCATAGACCAGTGGAAAATAATTCAGAACCCTCCCTCAATTAAGGCAAATACTTACAACCACCTGGTCTTCAACAAAGCATACAAAAACATGAACTGGAAAAGAACACTCTATTTAATAAATGATGTTTGGAAAAATGGATAACCACATGCAGAAAACTAAAAGTGGATTTATCTCTCTCATCATATAGAAAAATCAACTCAGGATGAATTAAAGACTTAAATCTAAGACTTGAAAATCATAAAAATTCTAGAAGAAAACCTAACAAAATCTCTTCTAAACATTCGCCCAGTCAAATAATTTAAGACTAAGATCCTAAAAGCAATTGCAACAAAAACAAAAATTAATAAATGAGGCCTAATTAAACTAAAAAGCTTCTGCACAGCAAAAGAAACAATCACTAGAGTAATCAGACAACACAGAATGGAAGAAAATGTTTGCAAACTATGCATCTGACAAAGGACTAGTATCCTGAATCTAAAGGGAACTCAAACCATCAAGAAAAAAACAAATATCATTAAAAATATGGGCAAATGACATGAATAGACATTTCTCAAAAGAAGATATACAAATGGCAACAAAAATGAAAAAAATGCTTAACATCCCAATCATCTGGGAAATGTGAATTAAAACCACAGTGAAGTACCATACTACCCCAGAGAATATGGCCATTATTAAAAAGTCAAAGAACAATAATGTTGTCTGTGGATGTGGTGAAAATGGAATGCTATATGCTGCTGGTAGAAATGTAAATTAATACAACCTCTATGGAAAATAGTATAGAGATTTCTCAAATAGCAAATAGTAGATCTACCATTTGACTCAGCAATCCCATTATTGGGTATCTACCCAAAGGAAAAGAAATCATTTATCAATAAGACATTAGCATGTTTATAATTATTACAGTACAATTACAATTGCAATGATATGGAACCAAACCAAGTACCCATCAACCAATGAGTAGATATAGAAAATGTGGTATATATACACTATGACATATGATATGGTTTGGCTCTGTGTCCCCACCCAAATCTCATCATGTATTATAGTGTCCACTTGTCCAGGAAAAAACCTGGTGGGAGATAATTGGATCATGGGGCAGTTCGCCCATACAGTTCTCATGATACTGAGTGGTTTCTCATGAGATCTTGTTGTTTGATAAGTGTCTGGCACTTCCTCCTCCTCCCCTCTCTCTCCTGACACCATGTAAGACCTGCTTGCTTTCCCTTCCCTTTTTCCATAATTGTAAGTTTCCTGAGGCCTCCTAGCCATGCTTTCTGTTAAACCTGCATAACTGTGAGTGAATTAAACCTCTTTCCTTTATAAATTACCCAGTCTCAGGTAATATCTATATAGCAGTGTGAGAATGAACTAATACAGACAATTGGTACCAGGATAGTGAGGTACTGTTATAATGATAACCTGAAAATGTGGAAGCAACTTTGAAACTGGGTAACAGGCAGAGGTTGGAACAGTTTCAAGGGCTCAGAAGAAGACAGGGAAATGTGAGAAAGTTTGGAGCTTCCTGAAGACTTGTTGAATGGCTTTGACAAAAATGCTTATAGTGATATGGACAATGAAGTCCCGGCAGAGGTGGTGATCTGAGAGAAACTCATGTTTAAAAGAGAAATGGGGCATAAAGGTTTGGAAAATTTGCAGCCTGACCATGAGGTAGAAAAGAAAAATCTTATTTTCTGTGGAGAAATTCAAGCTGGCTGCAGAAATGTGCATAAGTAACGAGGAGCCAATGTTAGTAGCCAAGACAATGGGAAAAATGCCTCCAAGCCCTGTCAGAGATCTTCAGAACAGCCCCTAACATCACAGGCCCAGATGCCTAGGAGGGAATAGGCTGGGTCCAGAGCCCCACTTCTCTGTGCAGCCCTGGGAATTGGTGTCCTGTGTCCCAGCTGTTCCAGCTCCATCCATGGCTAATAGGGGCCAAGGTACAGCTCAGTCCATTGCTTCAGAGAGTGCAAGCCACAAGCCTTGGTGGCTTCAATGTGGTATTGAGCCTGTGGGTGTACAGAAGACAAGAGTTGAGCTTTGGGGACGTCCACCTAGATTTCAAAGGATGTATGGCAATACCCGGATGTACAGGCAGAAGTCTGCTGCAGGACTAAAGCCCTCATGGAGAACTTCTGCTAGGGCAGTGTGGAAGGAAAATGTAGCGCTGGAGCCACCATACAGAGTCCCCACTAGGGCACTGCCTAGCAGGGTTGTGAGAAGAGGGCCACCATCCTCCAGACCCTAGAATGGTAGATCCACAAATAGCTTGCATCCTGCACCTGGAAAAGCTACAGGCACTCAACACCAGCCCATGAAAGAAGTGGCAGGGGCTGTACCCTGCCAAGCCACAGGGGCGAAGCTTCCCAAGACTGTGGGAGCTCACCCCTTGAATCAGCATGCCGTGTATCTGAGACATGGAGTCAAAGAAGATTATGAGCCTTAAAATTTAACAACTTGAAAGGGCACAAAACAATATAAAAATATTTAAAAATATTTAATGACTGCCTAGCCAAGTTTTGGACTTGCCTGGGGTCTGTGACCCCTTTGTTTAGACAAATTTCTTCCATTGGGAATGGCAGCATTTACCCAACGCCTATACCCTCATTGTATTTGGAAGTAACGAACTTGCTTTTGATTTTACAGGCTCATAAGTGGAAGGGAGTTGCCTTGTCTCAGATGAGACTTTGGATGTTGACTTTTGAATTAATGCTGGAATGAGTTAAGACTTTGGGGGATTGTTGAGAAGGCAAGATTAGTTTTGAAATGTGAAAAGAACATAAGATTTGGGGAGGGCCATGGCAGAATGATATGGTTGGGCTCTGTGTTCCCACCCAAATCTCATCTTGAATTGTAATCCCCTTCTGTCCAAGGAGGAACCTGGTGGGAGGTAATTGGTTCATGAGGACAGTCTCCCCCATGCTGTTCTCATGATAGTCAGTGAGTAGTGAGTTTGAATGAGATCTGGCTGTATGATAAGTGTCTGGCACTTTGCTCTTCTCTCTCTCTCTTCTGCCATCATGTAAGACGTGCTTGCTTCCCCTTCACCTTCCTCGATAAATATGTTTCCTGAAGCCTCCTAGCCTTGCTTCCTGTTAAGCCTGCATAACTGTGAGTCAATTAAACCTTTTTCCTTTATAAATTACCCAGTTTCAGGTAGTATCTATATAGCAGTGTAAGAATGGACTAATACAGCATATTACTCAGCTGTAAAAAACGAACAAAATAATATCTTTAGAAGCAACTTGGATGGAACTGAAGGCCATTATTCTAAGTGAAGTAACTCGGAAACAGAAAACTAAATATCATAATGTCATCACTCCTAAGTTGGCACTAAGCTATGGGATGCAAAAGTATAAAGAATGGTATAACGAACCTTGGAGACTCAAAAGAGGGGAAGGTGAGAGGGAGGTGAGGGATAAAAAAACCACATACTGGAAACAACGTACACTACTTGGGTGATGAGTGCATTAAAATTTCAGACTTTGCCACTATACAATTTATCCATGTAACCAAAAACCACTTATATTCCTAAAGCTATTAAAATATAAAAAAATTCAAAATAGGAAAAGAATTCTAACGACATTGAAAAATTCCTAACACCTAGTGACATCATAGCTGTTTTAATGTCCTAGTACAAAGTATTACTCAAATATTTGTGGTGATGCTTGTATAAAGAAACCTACTGTGCTACTGTTATAAAAGTATAACACGTAAAATTAAATACAGTACCCAATAATATTGATAATGATAATAAATGATTGTTAATGATTTATGTATTTACTATACTTTTATTGTTATTCTAGAGTGTATCCCTTTTACTTATTAGAAAAAAAAAAAGTTAACTGTAGAACAGCCTCAGGCCGGTCCTTCAGGCAGTATTCCAGAAGAAGGGATTGTTTTCATAGGAGGTCACAGCTCCATATGTGTTATTGCTCTGGAAGACCTTCCAGTGGGACAAGATGTCAAAGTGGAAGACAGAGATATTCATGATGCTGACACTGTGTAGGCCTAGGCTAATTTGTACAATTATGTCTTAGTTTTTCACAAAAAAAAACTAAAAAAAAAATTTTTTTAACTGGAAAAAAGCTTACAGAATAAGAATATAAAGAAAAAATATTTTTTGTACAATTGTACAATGTATTTGAGCTTTAGGTTTTATTACAAGAGTCCAAAAATTTTAAAAATTTAAAAAATTATATGGTTAAAAAGTTACTACAAGCTATACTTTAATTTATTGTTAAATTAAATATATTTATTACAATTAATTTATTATTAACAAAAATATTACAATACATTAATTTATTATTGAGAAAAAAGTTGTGAATTTAGTGCAGACTGATTGTACAATGATTATAATGTCTACAGTAGTGTACAGTAATTTTTTTTTTTTTTTGAGATGGCGTCTTGCTCTATCTCCAGACTGGAGTGAAGTGGCGTGATCTCAGCTCACTGCAACCTCTGCCTCCCAGGATCAAGCCTCCTGTCTTAGCCTCCCGAGTACCTGGGAATACAGGCACATGCCATCACGCCCAGCTGATTTTTGTATTTTTAGTAGAGACGGGGTTTCACCATCTTGGTCAGGATGTTCCACATCTCTTGACCTGGTGATCTACCCGCCTGGGCCTCCCAAAGTGCTGGGATTACAGTCGTAAGCCACCATGCCCGAGCCACGTACAGTTATTTTCTAACCTTTCTCATTCATTCACTTACTGTCTCACCCAGAGAAATTTCCATACTGCAAGCCCCTTTCATAATAAATGTTCTATACTTGTGTACTATTTTTAACTTTTATAGCATTTTTTTTTTACCGTATCTTTTCTACATTTAGATACACAAATAGTTGCCAATGGTTTACAATTGCCTACGGTATTGAATACAGTTACATGTTAGCAATAGACTATACCATACAGCCTAGGTGTGTAGTAGGCTATACAATCTAGGTTTGTGTAAGTACACTCTATGTTGTTCACATAATGACGAGATCACCTAATGACACAATTCTCAGAAGGTTTCCCTGTCATTAAGCAATGCATGACTATAAGTTCTTGTCATTGCTCTTCAGAAAATTGATGCTTAGATATTTTAATATTCATCTCAATTTCACCCCATTAAATAAGAGGCTGGCTCTTGAATCCTGCTTTAAAATTAATACCCTAAATTTCATTGTCATTATGTTTAGTTACTTAATTTTATGTTTTTCCTTTCTCCAATATTGTACACTTACAATATGATCAATAAATGAAAATGATGGGACATGACTCATATGATTTGGAGGTTTAAAGTATATTATCTGTTGCCTTAAATATGTATGGGTAAAAATAAATGAGATACAAAATAAATTTTCAAATTACAAAGAACTTTTATCAAATAAACAATAAATATCTTATAAATGTGAAAGATTGGAAGTGGGGGCTGGAATCTTTTCCATTAAATAATCTACCAGTTTACACCCTGGAGATTTTCTCCAAGATTCCTTCACATTGCCCTATGGCTCTATATTTGTTTGTAAATTATAAGTATAAGGATAAAAGAAAGAGAAAGAGAGAGAGAGAGAAAGCTGTACTCATTTAAAAGTCAGTCATTACTGGATACTCAAAGTTAGAGTTGGGACATCAAAAACAAATAGTACCTCATAAACAGAGAGAGAAGAAGGAAGAATTACAAGAACAAGAGACAGCATGAAAAAAGCCCCAGAAACAATAAAGCTATAACACCATTAGAAAATAATTATACCAGTAAAAATACAAACATAAATAAAAAATGATTAACAGCAACAGACAAGGAAATTAGATAGACCTTGTAATATTCTGGCAGGACTCTAGGCAGCCTAGGATTTCCCTCTCCCCTTTCACACTTCCTCCCAGAAACAGAACAAGAATGGAGCTGACTATACCATACAAGATAGAATAGTTACTGAATTTGTATTTTACAGAAAAGAATTGCCAATTTTCAATAGTTTCTAAAGGTCTGTGGTAAATAAGCGAGTAGATTTTAACTTAATATAATCATGTTTTCTAGATCCTTGTTTTGTTAAAGTGTCCTTCAAATTCTGGTATAATTTGGAGGATAAAAATAAAAGTAGTTATCAAGAATAAAGGTGGTACCTTTCATGTATATTTTTAACCTGTACTTTTCACTTTCAACTAACGTTTGCTAACATGATATCGCCATTTTATTTTAGTTAAACACTGTTCAGTTATCTGCTTGCATTAATTTCCTTACACATTTTGGAATTTTTTAGTTTATTTTTATACCAATTATGTTCTAGTGATGGGAACTTTCTGTCATATCCCAATCCATCTGTTATTAAATAAGCCATTTTTCAAATAAATAAACATTTTAAAGCCATAAATATTAACTTGCTTAAAAATAAATTTAATATGGGTTTATTTAATAAAATCCAATTTAGCTAAACTTGGGTTGATTATGATTGTCTTGGATATATTATGGAGAATAATCCTGGGAATAAATTATTAGAGATGCCTTTATTTAACACACACAAATGAAGGCCATTATTTTAAATAATAATTTTAACAATATGCTGCAATATATCAAGCTTTATAGATAAAGGACATAGCAAAGTGGATTGAGATTGATGCTTGCACTTCACTATATTTCCTGCAAATCCTTTATTCACACTATGGGCAAATTTGGGCATGTGCAGCATGTAATATTTGTCTTCCAGAGGCTCCATTAAGAAAGAAAAAAAGATCCACAAAAGTGTGTTGTTCAATTTCAGGTTAAAATGAGGCTCAGGGAATATTATGATCACTTTTTTTTTTATTTTTTAGAAACAAGGTCTCGCCATATTGTCCATGTAGGGGTGCAGTGGCTATTCACAGGCAAGATCATCGAGCACTATAGCCTTGAACTCCAGAGCTCAAGCAATCCTCCTATCTCAGCCTCTTGAGTAACTGGATCTACAGAAGCATGCCATTGTACCCAGTATATTCACATTTTTATACAAATAAATCATAGGTAAGTTTATTATAGAAATCATTTGATAAGTTGCATGTGGACTATAGAATACTTTAAAATATTTCACTAAAGAATTATATTGTCTTGCTTTGTTAAATACATCTCTATAAATGTTTATTCAAGGATTTAAAGAATACTATAATTTTGGAAAGTTATAAAAAATTCAAATAAATTTTCTGAAAATTCATATGAAAATTGTACTACTATATTAAGTGAAAATGACAGAGAAAGATATTTATGTACAACAGTCCACTTTGATTTGGTTTTATATGTTTTACATATTATTTTACTTTTTATTTTTAAGGTAGACTTGCTGAACTTAATAGAAATCTTTACATAGAACTTGAATGTTATTCTGTAACTAACATGATTTCCCCATTTTTACTATTTGCTTAAAGGTTTTATGAGGAATTTCTCCCCGTCCTTTCACCAGCTAAACATTTACTATGCTATAATGTTGTAATTCTGTCTCCTGACATAACATGATACTTCAAATGCTTATTTTTTAACACAAATATATCCACTTTTGTATGTCATCATGAATGCATATGTTCATATATCTTCTCTAACAAGCTCTATTGAAGATGGAGTTTATTGTTTTTATCTTTGGAGGCACAAACTGGTTTGTAAAATATCCTGTACACAGTAGTGACATTAATCTACCTGTCAAATTAGTATTATCCACATGTGAGTACTTGTTCAGTTACATACCATACTATGAAGCAAACACAACATAGAATAAGAATGTTCTCTTAGTCCTATAAAATGTTTGTTTAAAAGAATTCCTTGGCCAGACACGCTGACTCATGCCTACAATCCCAGCACTTTGGGAGGCCAAGGTGGATGGATCACCTGAAGTCAGGAGTTCAAGACCAGCGTGACCAACATGGCAAAACTCCATCTCTACTAAAAATACAAAATTAGCTGGGTGTGGTGGTGGGCGCCTGTAGTCCCAGCTACTTGGGAAGCTGAGGCAGGAGAATCACTTGAACCCAGGAGGTGGAGGTTGCAGTGAGCCAAGATCATGCCACTGCACTCCAGCCTGGGTGACAGAGCAAGACTCTCTCTAAAAGACAACAACAACAACAACAACAACAACAACGAAAATTCTTTTATATAAACTGAATATATTTTTTGGAAATGAATAAATTTTACTTAGAAATTACTAATAAATATCTATAATAAAACACAATTAATAAATATTTTTTATATTGATTTTACCTAAAATTTTCCTGAATTCATTGAAACCCATGATGATAATCAATGAAATTATGAATTTTATAAATTATAAAAATTATGAAATTGGAAATTATGAATAAAGATTAATCTGATTTAGATATTACAACTTTAAATGCAAATAATTGTAAAAAGACATTATGTAATCAGGGTAATGTGTATCCATGTTCTATTTGTCATTACACAGGTAAATAGAAGATAGTTTGGAAGTCGCAAGAAAGACAAATTTTGAAGTTAAAATCCTGTCCTTCATAACAGCTGTATAACATTGAGGAAGTTACTAAAGATTTCTGATTTTTTGGATCCCTCTTGAACAACCGACACATATTTCATGAAGTTCTTTGAAAACTGAGTTAGAAATGTATAGCTAATACAGTCACAGCCACATAGTAAACATTCAATAAATATTAGGATATCCCTACTCATTATTTTCCCTTCATTTCTCATATCTGAAATGCCTGTATGCCTGCCTAATAATATTATGCCTAAAGAGCACACTGTGGTTAATTTTCACTGAAGAGAAGAAAAAAATTCCAAGTTTATGTAGTGTGCTCTATAAATAAAAACTTCTGGCTTAATTAAATTTCAATAGATAAAAATGCATTTGCTTAGCTGAGTTTTCTGGTTAAAAAAAAAAACAGATTTGTGCAATTCAAGGGCATTCTTTTATAGCTAGCAAATTTCTTTAGCCTTAGAGAAGTCCAGTAGCAACTGAATAGTTTGTTATTTTTTTCTCTTTATAAGCATTAGCTAAACAGAATTTTTTTTTGAAATATATATGGAGATTGGAACAAGATAGCTGACTAGACACAACCAGAAAGTGCCAATTCCATTGAGATAGCAAGTTTTCAAGTAAACCAACATAATTTGGACATATCTTTGGAGAAGAAACACCAAGAATGGATGGAGATGTGACGTAACGTAGATGCTGAGGCTGACGAGGGACGAGGCTGGGACCCTGCACAGGATACTCAAAAGCTTGGGCTAGTTTCTGGCCCCAAATGGCTCCTGGAGAACAGGTAAGTGAAGGGACCAGGGAATTGCCAAACCTCACCATGAACCTCTTGGATTCTGACTCTAGGAACCTCCACAAATTCCCTAAGGAAATTTAAGTTGACATGGGGATCTGCCTGGAGAATAGACAGAGACAGGACTTCAGCTGGTATGAAACCAGAAGCCTTTGTGCACAGGGCAGCTCCAGTGTGGCATGGCTGTAGGTGCCCATCCTCCAGGGCTCCTCATCTCCCTCCTAGAAGCTGTAGTCCTAGCTGACTGCTGGGCCAGGAGAAAGCAGGGCCAACTTTCTAGTGAGTTTGGGGTGCATCTGTTCTGCAGGCCATCCTGCCTACCAGTCCCTCTCAGGGCCCCTGCCTGGCTGCCTCGCAGAAGCATGTGCCCAGCACAGCCTTTGCTGCCTAGCCTGGGTGCTTTGCTCCAACTGATTACATTCCAGGTGGCCTGGGAGCATTTTGGATCCCCCAGGGCACCCAAAACCTGATGTCAAGGGTTCATAGGACAAAGCTGTGTGCTGATCCAGGGCAACCCAGGGCTGCTACATGCAGCTTCAGAATGCCAAACCAAGATCTGTGGCCATGGAGCAAGAGAGGAGCCTCCACCTCAGAAAACTGAAAAGGATGAGATGTGTGTGTTCATGGAAAGGAGGGGGAGTGGGGTATGCCTCCCTCCATAGGGCCAAACCAGAAAAGATGCGAGATACCTCTACTCTGGCCTCTGCACAGGAAGCCCTTTGGCCTGGAATGCCTAACAGAAAAAAATGTGGGCATAGTGCCAATGATCCGAGGTGATTCCCACAAGACCTAAGAACATACCAGGTGAGAGGATCACCTCTCTTCTCCACGCACTACAGAGCATAACTGCAAATCCAAGAAAATACAGAGCAACAGCTGTGTAAGAGCCTATCTGCTGTCCATATAAATACAAACTCCAAAGATAAATGAGCTAAACACCCTACTTAAATAACATAGAGTGGTAAGCTGGATAAAAAGACAAGACCCAACCATCTGCTGTCTTCAAGAGTCCCATCTCACATGTAATGATACCCACAGGCTCAAAGTAAAGGCATGGAGAAAGATCTATCATGCAAATGGAAAACAAAAAAGAGCAGGAGTCACTATTCTTATATCAGATAAAACAGACTTTATACTGATAAAAATTAAGAAGGACAAAGACAGACATTACAGAATGGTAAAGGGTACAATCTAATAAGAAGACTTAACTATGCTAAATATATATTTATCTAATATTGAAGCACCCAGATTCATAAAACAAGTTTTTCTTTGCCTCTGAAAAGACATAGACAACTACATACATAGTGGAAGACTTCAAAACACCACTGACAACTTTAGACAGATTATTAAGGCAGAAAACTAACAGAAAAACACCTCTGAAATTAAACTTGACACTTGACCAATTAGACCTAAAAGTCATCTACAGAACACTTCACCCAACAACCACAGAATACACATTCTTCTCATCTGCACAAGGAACATATTTTGACTGAACACATGCTCAGTCATAAAGCAAGTCTGAAACAATTCAATATAATTGAAATCATACCGAGCATACTCTCAGACCACAGTGTGATAAAAAATAGATATTAATAGCAAGAAAGCCCCTCAAAATTACACAAATACATGAAAACTAAACAACTTGCTTTGGAATAACTCTTGTGTGAACAAACCTAGCAGAAGATAAATAACTAAAGTTGGAGAAAAACTGAATGAAAAGGAGTTGCAAAAGTCAATAGAAAAATTAGTAAAACCAAGAGTAGCTTCTTAAAAAAATAAACAAAATTTACAAACCATTAGCTAGATTAACGAAGAAAAAAAAGTGTAAAAATCCAAATAAGCATAAGCAGAAATGGCACAGATGATGTTATAACTGATTTCACAGAAATATAAACTATTCTCAGAAAAATACAATGAAGAATTATATGCAGAAAAATTAGAAAATATAGAAGATAGGGACAAATCCCTAAAAACACACAATCTCCCATGATTGAATCAGGAAGATATTGAAACCCTAAATAGACCAATATTGAGCTCTGAAATTGAATCAGTTAAAAAAACTAACAACCAAAAAAAAAACCTCACACCAGGTGGTTTCACAGCTGAATTCTACCACATGTACAAGGAAGTACTGGTACCAGTTTTACTAAAACTAGTTCAAAAAATCAAGGAAGAGGGAATTCTTCATAACTCATTCTATGAGGCCAGCATCAGCCTGATACCAAAATCTGGCAGAAACACAACAACAATAAAAAAATTTTAGACCAATATTTGTGATGATTATAAACACAAAAATCCTCAAAAAAACACTAGATAAACAAATCCAGCAGCACATCAAAAAGTTAACACACCATGATCAAGTAGCCGTTAGTCCTTGGATGCAAGGCTGGTTCAACAGATGTAAATCAATAAAAGTGATTCACCATATAAACAGAGTTAAAAGCAAAATCCAAATTATTATTTAAATAGATATAGGAAAAGCTTTTGAAAAATTCAACAGGACTTCATAATTAAAACCATTGACAAACTAGTCATAGAAGAAACATACTTCAAAATAATAAGAGCCACCAATGAAATACCCACACCAAAAGCCATACTCGATGGTCAAAAGCTGGAAGCATTCCCCTTGAGAACTAGAATAAGACATGGATGCCCATTTTCATCACTCCTATTCAACATAGTACTATAAATTCTAGCCAGAGCAACCAGACAAGATTTTTTTTTTTTTTTTACAAAAAGCTATCCAAATAGAATAGAAAATGAAGAAGTCAAGCTATCTCTCTTAGCTGATGACATGATTCTATACCTAGAAAACCCAAAGACTCTACCAAAAGGCTCTTAGAACTCATAAATGACTTTAGTAAACTTTCAGGATACAAAATCAATGAACAAAAATCAGTAGCATTTCTATACACAAATAATGTCCAGGCTGAGAGTCAAATCAAGAGCATAACACAATTTACAATAACCACAAAGAAAATGAAATACCTAGAAATACAGCTAACTAAGGAGGTCAAAGATCTCTATAAGGAGAACTATGAAACACTTCTGAAATAAATAAAAAATGGTGGCCAGGCACGGTGGCTCACTTGTGAAATCCCAGCACTTTGGGAGGCTGAGGCAGGCGATCACGAGGTCACGAGTACAAGATCAGCCAGACCAACATGGTGAAACTCCATCTCTACTAAAAATACAAAAATTAGCCGGGTGTGGTGATGTGTGCCTGTAGTCACAGCTACTCAGGAGGCTGAGGCAGGAGAATAGCTTGAACCCAGGAGACGGAGGTTGCAGTGAGCCGAGATCACACCACTACCACTACACTCCAGCCTGGGTGATAGGGTGAGATTCCATCTAAAAATAAATAAAAACAAACAAACAAATAAATAAATAAAAGATGACACAAATAAATAGAAAAATATTTCATGTTCATAGACTGGAAGAATGAAGATTGTTAAAATGGCCATACTACCCAAAACAATTTACAGATTCAATGCTATTTGCATCAGACTACTAATGACATTCTTCACAGAATTAGAAAACTATTCTAAAATTTACATGGAGTCAAAAAAGAACCCAAAGAGACAAGGCACTCCTAAGCAACAAGAACAAAGCCAGAAGCAACACACTATCCAACTTCAAACGACACTATAAGGCCAAAGTAGCCCAAATAGCCTGGTACTGGTACAGAAACAGACACAGAACAATGAAACAGAATAGAAAACTCAAGAATACAGCTGAACACCTACAATCATCTGATCATAGACAAGGCCGGAAAAAAACAAGCAATGGGAAACAACTCCCTGTTCAATAAATGGTGCTGGGATAACTGGGTAGTATTTGCAGAAGAATGAAACTGGAACCTTACCTTTCATGATATGCAAAGATTAACTCAAGGTGGATTAAAAATTTTAATGTTAAGTCCTCAAAAAAAAAAAAAATCCTAGAAGAAAACCTAGGAAATATCCTTCTTAACACTGGCCTTGGCAAAGAATTTTTGGCTAAATCTCCAAAAGCAATGACAACAAAACAAATATTGACAAGACAAGAGGGATCTAATTAAACTAAAGACCAATGCACTTCTATTTTCATCGCCACGCTATTCACAGTAGCAAAGACATTGAATCAATCTAGGTGCTCATCAATGATGAATTGAATAAAGAAGATGTGGTACATATACACCATGGAATACTTCACAACCATAAAAAAGAACAAAATCATGTCCTTTGCAGCAACATGGATGCAGCTGGAGGCCATTATCCTAATCTAATTAATGCAGGAACAAAAAATCCTAGAAATTTCTTACAAGTAAATATTTGATTACTTATAAGTGGGAACTAAACATTGAGCACACATGTACATAAACATGGGAACAATAGACGTTATGAAGTACTAAAAGGGGAAGAGAGAGAGGAGTCATGGGTGAAAAAAATACCAATTGGATACCATGCTCACTACCTGGATGACAATATCCATACTTGAAACATCAGCATCATGCAATAAATCTGCATATGTACCCCGTGTATCTAAAATAAAAGTTCACATTTAAAAATATGTATATATGTATTCAATATAACTTATACTACTCATGAGTCATTGAATATTTTTTATTGACTGTATATTTTAAGTATTAAACAGAAAATATAAGGACAACTTTGTTTGTATTTCATTCAAACAATTCCATTTTATAAAAATAATGATGTTGCTACATTAAAAATACACTAAAATAAATGAAGTATAATTTTTTAAACAATTCAGATAAAATTAGTTTATGCTGTGAGGTCTGGCATTCAATGCTGAGGGGTTATAAAAACTTTTTAAAATGCCATTTTAAATACAAATACCCACCTACTGTCACTTAAGTTCACTCCAAATATACTACCAATCATCCTGGTTTCCATCTTGTGCATCCATGAATGGCTCACTCATGGTTTATCCCAAATGAAGCACGCATAGCTACATGTTTGAGTAAGAGAAAACTGAATACAGAAGTACAGACAAAGTCATTTAGAAACCCTGGCAGAAGAACTAGCATTTTCACTGCTGCTACAGTAGATCAATATTGAGATGCTTCAAAGGGAAAAAACAGTATCCATCAGCAATGGGTATTTTTTTAGCGCTAATAAAAAAGAAAAATCAATATCCTTGTTCCAAAAGAAGCTGTATACACCGTGACAAATTATCCTAATGACCATCAACTATATAAGTAATGATCCTGTGGAATATCGCCAAGAAAAAAAAAACTGTAGTCACACAAAATAATCATATTACCAACACAAAAATCCTTTACACACATAGGAAAACATTTCTTACCTTTAGTTGATAATTGATAGCTGTTTATACTAGCCATTGTGCTACTCTGCGATGTGCTTATTAAGTCCTTTGCACATTTTTCTTTTGAGTTGGCTGTCTTTTTAACAATTTATTTGTTGTTCTTGTTTTTTATTATATGCAATGCAAATATCTTGTCTTCCCATGTGATTTGCCTTTTCACTATCTTAATTGTGTCTTCTGATAAACAGAAGTTTCTAATCTTAATGGAGGACAGTTAATTAATCCTTTAATTTATAGTATTTTATGAGACCTAGGAAATACTTTCTAATTATAAACTCCTGAAGCTATTCTCCCATGTACTCTCCTGAAGAATTTATTGTTTCACATCTTGTACTTAAATCTACAATCTACATATAATTGTTATTTTTTTCATATAGTGTTAAGCAGGAAATAAGATTAAAAATGTGTCTTTCTATATGTTAGAACACTGGGCATATTTTTGAAGAAGAAAGTAATAAAATAACTTTTTCATACATTGACAATTCTGAGAAAAATGTTCCATATAGTGTCATTAAATATGACTACTGTCATTTGCAAATACTCTTTTTTACATTATGGAAGATCTCGTTCATCTCTTGTTTGCTAGGAATTATTATGAGTAAATGTTAGATTAATACAGATATAAAAGTGTTATATTTTCCTGATGGAAAGGTGATTTCCAAAAAATTTTTCTGAAAGATCATTATTTCAGTGACACTTTGACTTTAAAAATCTACATTGTATGATAAGACATAGCTACACCAGCCTTACTTTGATTACAGCTTATACATATCATTTTTCCCTTCTTTATATTTCATACTTTCTGTATTTTTAATTTAGGTGTATCTCTCATGGGAGCACAAATTTTTTCTAACACCGCCCTCCACCCCCTACTTGAAATCTGATAATCTGATTTAATTGGAGAACCTGATTCAATTGAAGAATCTGGTTCTATTTATTTTTAGTGTAATTATTGTATTTGGGTTTTAATCTACTACCTTCTATGCACTTAACTATTTTTTAACCCTGTTTAAGTTCTTTGTTTTTCTAATTATTTTTTTCTCTTGGATTAAATTATTTATAATACTGAGGTCTTTTTGTTCTACTATTTTTATTCTATAAGTTCCATACTATTAATTTGTTAAATGCCCACTTCTTAAATGCACTATTTTACTAGTGGCTACCCTAAAACTTATCAAATGCATTTGCAATGAATTCAAATGTAATTGGAATTACTTTTCAAAACAAAGCAAGGACCATGAAACATTAAAACTCTACTTTCTCTCTTACCTTCTGTGCGACTGTTCACATGTGCTTAAATTCTGGATGTGTTTAAACTCTACAAGTTATTGTTATTATTACACCAATATTCATTTAAATTTATCCATATCCTTGCGCTCTGCAATGTTCTTTCTTCCCTCCTGCTTTTCCATAATTTCACCTTGGGTGGTTATAATCCTACTGCTTAAAAAATTCATTTTATTATTATTTTAAATCTTTGTTAATACTGATTTTTTTCAAAGTTTGTATAAACATGCCTATTTTGGCCTTCAAGTTTTTATTAATTTTTTTCTGGCTACAGAATTACTGTTTGGCAGGTTTTCTTGTTTTTGTTTTTTAGAACTGTAAAAAGTTCATTCCATTTGTCTTTTCTTTTCCAGTAAATCTGTTTCATAAGTGAGCTGTCAGATTTATGGCTCATTTGTTGAAGATGATGTGTCTATATTGTCCTTTGGCTTCTTTTAAAATTTCTCATTGTCTTTGATTATCAGTACTTCTACTGCTATTTTCCTGTTTCCAGGCACAGTAGCTCACACCTGCAATCCCAGTACTTTAGAAGGCCGAGGCAGAAGGATTACTTGAGGCCAG
Source organism: Homo sapiens (assembly GCF_000001405.40). NCBI lineage: Eukaryota > Metazoa > Chordata > Mammalia > Primates > Hominidae > Homo > Homo sapiens. The sequence goes on along the minus strand of NC_000004.12, from coordinate 32,065,016 downwards.
GAGTTTGAGACCAGCCTGGGCAACGAAGCAAGACCTTGCCTCTACAAAAAATTAAAATTAAAAAATAAAAGAAAAATAAAAATTTTTTTCTGGATGCATTTATATTTGCATTATCATGCTTGAGATTTGTAGCATTTCTTTTTTCTGTAGCTTGATGTATGTGATCAATTTCAACATTTTCATTAAGTAGCTTGTAAAATATTGCTTCTATCTAATTCTCCTTCTGTTTGATTTCTCTCTCTCTCTCTCTCCCCACCTCACTCACTCTCATTCTCACGCTCACTCTCTATCTCTTCATTGATTATTGTACAATATACTTAAATTTTCTATGAGTTAAATTTCCGTATTATGCCCCATAAGTCACCTGTACTCATTTTGGGAGTCTTAAAATTATTTTCTCAACATACTTCAGTTTTCATACTTTTTCTATTATCCAATTTACTAATCATCTATTCATTATGAAGACTATTTATTACATTTTTCATTTCTTTTTTTTTTTTTTTGAGACTGTCTCACTCTGTTGTCCAGGCTGTAGTGCCACGGCATGATCTCAGCTCACTGCAGCCTCAACCTCTCAGGCTCAAGCGATCCTCCCACCTCTCGGCCTATCTAGAAGCTGGAACTACAGGCACATATCACTACTCTGGGCTATGTTTTTATTTTGTTGTTGAGAATGTTTTGCCATGCTGACCAGGCTGTTCTCAAACTCCTAGGCTCAAAAATCTACCCACCTTGGCCTCCCAAAGTGCTGGGATTAGAGGCATGAGTTATCATATCTGGTCATTACATACATAATGTTAGGTATTTTTCATTATAATAATGATTATCTGATTCTTTATGTAGAGTTTTATTTACCTTTTAGTCTAGTCCATGTACATATTTAGTTATGACATGAAATTTTCAATCACTTATAGGTTTCTGTCAATTGCCTGCTTTTCCCTTTTGTTTTCTAGTTATGGGTTTATTTTGCCTGGTATATTTTTAATAGATTCCATATTAAGTATAAAAATTTTAAAGAAAATTTGAGGATCCAGATGGTATTGTTCCTCTAAAGATAATTTAATGTTGCTAGAGACTAGCAAATGCAGTAGGAGGCTGATGATCTTAAACCAATCAGAAATTGATCTGATTCAAAGTTGGGCTTCAATCTTTGTAAGTCACTCTCCTTCAGCACTGTGCTAGAACTAGAAACTATTCATTTTCTCCATCTTTCACTTATTAAAATTGAACAAATGACTTGAGAAAAAAGAATCGTGAATATTAGCCTCATCTCTATATACTTTTATTTAGAATTTTGGCCTCTTAAGCCTTTGATGCCTTAACAATTTTGTTAGGCTGGCATATTTGTTGAGTGACCTGAAATGCTGCCAGTTCTGAGTGAGGTTCAGAACAGAAGAGGGTTCTGCAACAGGTCCAGGCTGCTGGGCAAGCTGCTCTGCCACTTGGGCCATATGACCCAAGCAGATTCAATGTGTTTAAGGTTTCAGAGGCAGATAGGGATTGCATTAGTCAGGGTTCTCTAGAGGGACAGAACTAATAGAATATATTTATATATAAAAGAGAATTTATTAAGGAGAATTGACTCACAATCACAAGGCAAAGCCCCATGATAGGCCGCCTGTAAGCTGAGAAGCAAGGAAGCCAGTAGTGGCTCAGTCTGAGTCCCAAATCCTTAAAAGCAGGGAAGCTGACAATGCAGCCTTCAGTCTGTGGCCTAAGGTCTGGAAGCCGCTGGTAAACCATCGGTGTAAGTCCAAGAGTCCAGCAGCTGAAGACCATGGAGTCTGATGTTCGAGAGAAGGAAGAATCCAGCAAAGGAGAAAGATGAAGGCTGGAAGACTCTGCAAGTCTGTCTCTCCCACTTTCTTCTTTCTACTTTATTCTAGCCACACTGGCACTTGATTGGATGGTGCCCACCCAGATTGAGGGTGGGTCTGCCTCTCCCAGTCCACTGACTCAAATATTAATCTCTGGCAACACCCTCACAGACAGACCCAGGAATAACAGTTTGCATCCTTCAATCCAATCAAGTTACATATAACATTGACCATCACAGAGATGCTGTTTAGAGCCTTTGGCAGATCCCCATAGGTGAATCACAGTGGAGGCCTCTAGGATTTTGGAGCAAGGACCTGTCATCTTCTGCAGATAACTACTCTGCTTTTAAGACAAAGCTCTTGACCTGTTACTGGGCCTTGGTAGAAACTCAATGTTTGACTATGTGTCACAAAGTTACCATGAGACCTGAACTGCCTATCAGGAACCGGGTGCTTTCTGACCCATCTGGCCATAAAGTTGGGGATGCACAGCAGCATTCCATCATCAGATGCAAGTGGTATATATGAAATCAAGCTCAAGCAAGTCCTGAAGGCACAAGTAAGTTACATGAGAAAGTGGCTCAAATGCCCATGGTCCCCACTTCTGCCACCCTGCCTTTTCTCTCCCATCCTGCATGGATGGCTTCATGGAGAGTTCCCTCTGATCAACTGACAGAGGAACAGAAGACTGGGGCCTGGTTTACAGATGGTTCTGCATGATACGCAGGCACCACCCAAAAGTGGACAGCTGTGGCACTGCAGCCCCTTTCTAGGACATCCCTGAAGGACAGTGGTGAGGAGAAATCTTCCCAGTGGGCAGAACTGGGCAGTGCACCTGGTTGTGCACTTTGCTTGGAAGGAGAAACGGCCAAATGTGGCTGTAGCAAATGGTTTGGCTGGTTGGTCAGGGACTTGGAAGAAGCATGATTGGAAAATTGGTGACACAAAGAAATTTGGGAAAGAGGTATATAGATGGACCTCTCTGAGTGGTCAAAAACTGAAGATGTTTGTGTTCCATGTGAATACTCAACAAAGGGTGACCTCAGCAGAGGAGAATTGTAATAATCAAGTGTATAGAATGACTCATTCTGTGGACACCACTCAGCCTCTTTCTCCAGACACCCCTGTCATCGCCCAATGAGCTCATGAACAAAGTGGCCATGGTGGCAGGGATGGAGGTTATACATGGGCTCAACAACATAGAATTCCACTCACCAAGGCTCACCTGGCTATGGCTACTGCTGAGTGCCCAATTTGCCAGCAGCAGAGTCCAACGCTGAGCCCTCAATATAACATCATTCCTTGAGGTGATCAGCCAGCTACTTGGTGGCAAGTTGATTATATTGGGCCTCTTCCATCATGGTATGGGCAGTGATTTTTCCTCACTGGAATAGACACTTATTCTAGATATGGGTTTGCCTATCCTGCATGCAATTCTTCTGCCAAGGCTATGATCTGTGCACTCACAGAATGCCTTATCCACCATCACAGCATTCCACACAGCATTGCCTCTGACAAAGGCACTCACTTTATAGCTAAAGAAATGTGGCAGTGGGCTCATGCTTAATAAATTCGCTGGTCTTACCATGTTCCCTATCATCCTGAGGCAGCTTGATAGGATTGATGGAATGATAGAATAGCCTCTTGAAGTCAAAATTTCAATGCCAATTAGATGACAATACTTTGCAGGGCTGGGGCAGTTTTCCAGAAGGCTGTGTATACTCTGAATCAGTGTCCAATATATGGTATTGTTTCTTCCATAGCCAGGATTTACTGGTCCAGGAATCAAGGGCTGGAAGTGGAAGTGGCATCACCCCACTATTATCCTTAGTGACCCACTAGCAAAATTTTGGCTTTTTGTTCCTCTAACATCATGTTCTGCTGGCCTAGAGGTCTTAGTTCCAGAGGGAAGAATGCTGCCACCAGGAGACACAACAATGATTCCATTAAACTGGAAGTTAAGATTGCCACCTGGCCACTTTGGGCTCCTCCTACCTCTAAGCCAACAGGCTAAGAAGGGAGTTACACTGTTGGCTGGGGTGATAGCCCTGAACTATCAAGATGAAACCAGTCTACTACTCACACAACAGGAGTGAGAAAGAGTATCTGTAAAATACATGAGATCCCTTAGGGCATCTCTTAGGTTACCATGCCCTGTAATTAAGGTCAATGAAAAACTACAAAGACCCAATTCAGGCAGGGCTACAAGTGGCTCAGACTTTTCAGGAATGAAGATTTGGGTCACTCCAACAGGTAAAAAACCATGACCTGTCGAGGTGCTTGCTAAAGGCAAAGGGAATACAGAATGAGTAGTAGAAAAAGGTAGTTATCAATACCAGCTGTGACCATGTGACCAGTTGCAGAAATGAGTGTAATTTTTATGAGTATTTCCTCTTTATATTGTTAAAAATATGTTTGTGCATGTATACACTTATACTAAAAAAAAAATCTTCATTTTCTTTTCTTTTTTCTTTATCATGTGACAGAAAATTTATTAACTTTATATCCTCATTTAAGTGTTGTTAACATTATGTAACAGCATTTAGGTTAAGAATTAATGTGTTTCTGATTATACGAAGGATAGCTATATGATGTTAGGTGTAATTACAACCTTATTTTCTTATTTGAAGGTTAAGTATGATTTCAGATGTATAGGGGTTCAGGTTGACAAGAGGTGGACTTGTGATGGTTAATATTAAGTGTCAACTTCATTGGATTGAAGGATGCCTAGAGAGCTGGTAAAGTATTGTTTCTGGGTGTGTCTGTGGGGGTGTTGCCAGAGGAGATTAACATTTGAATTAGTGGACTGGGAGAGGCAGACCCACCCTCATTGTGGGTGAACTCCATCAAATTGGCTGCCAGGCAAGCTAGAACAAGGCAGGTGGAAGAAGGAATAAGCTGGCTTGCTGAGTCTTCTGGCTTTCATCATTCTCCCATGCTGTATGCTTCCTGCCCCTGAACATTAGACTCCAGGTTCTTTGGCCTTTAAACCCTAGACTTACACCACTGATTTGCCAGGGGCTCTTGGGAATTCAGATGCAGACTGAAGGCTGCACTGTGAGCTTCCATACTTCTAAGGCTTTTCGATTTAGACTGAGCCATTATGGCTGTCTACCACCTCAGCTTGCAGGCAGCCTATCCTGGGACTTCACCTTACGATTGTGTGAGTCAATTCTCCTTAATAAATTCCCTTTCATATATACGCATACCCTATTAGTTCTGTCCCTCTGGAGAGTCCTGACTAATGCAGCTTTCAGCTTTGAAATAAGCATTTTTAACCTTTATTATCATCCAAAGGATTGGTTTACCACAGATGGTTCAAAACAGTAATGGTATACATATATAGATGTGTGTGTGTGTATATATATATAGATGTGTGTGTATATATATGTGTATATATATATGTGTATATGTATGTGTATATATATGTGTGTGTGTGTATATATGTGTATACATATAGTGTGTGTATATATTATATGGGGGTTTTGTTGTGTCCCTACACAAATCTCATCTTGAATTGTAGTTCCCATAATCCTCATGTGTCGTGGGATGGACTGCTGAGAGGTAATTGAATCATCAGGACAGTTAACCTCCATGCTGTTCTCATGATATTGAGTTCTCACAAGACCTTATGGTTTGATAAGGGCCTTTTCCCTACTTCACTCTGAACTTCTCTCCCTGCTGCCATCTGAAGAATGATGTGTTTGCTTCCCCTTCTGCCATGATTGAAAGTTTCCTAAGGCCTCCCCAGCTGAGGCAGGAAAATAGGGTTTGGAGGCAGGGAACATAAGGCCAATTCACACTTAAGCTATAACAGGAAATATCCTCGCCATAGGGTATATGCCATAAATATCTTTGTAACTTTACTTCATTCTCTCCATTTACATAGGGCATACCCGAAGTAACCAATGGAATCCTCTAGGGGGTATTTAAACTCCCCAAAATTCTGTAATGGGGCCTTTGAGGTACTATGCTCAGGCCTGCTCCCACACTGTGGAGTGTACTTTCATTTTCACTAAAACCCTTCATTCCTTCCTTTTCGTGCGTTTTGTCCAATTCTTTGTTCAAGATGCCAAGAACCTGGAAGCCCTCCATCGTTAACATAGCCATGATAAACTGTGAGTCAATTAAATCTCTTTCCTTTATAAATTACCCAGTCTCTGGTATGTCTTCATTAGCAGTGTGAGAACTGACTAATACAATAAATTGGTACCAGTAGAGTGGGATGTTGCTGTAAAGTTATCCCAAAAAGTGCAAGCGACTTTGGAACTGGGTAACAGGGAAAGCTTGGAACAGTTTGGGGAGCTCAGAAGAAGACAGAAAAATATTCGAAACCTTGAAACTTTCTAGAACCTTAGCGGGCTCAGAAGACAGGAAAAAAATGGGAAAGTTTGGAAATTTTTAGAGACTTGTTGAATGGCTTTGACCAAAATGCTGATAGTGATATGGACAATAAGGTCCAGGCTGAGGTGGTCTCATTGGAGGTGAGGAACTTGTTCTGAACTGGAGTAAAGGTCACTCTTGCTATGCAAAGAAACTGGTGGCATTTTGCACCTGTTCTAGAGATCTGTGGAGCTTTGAATTTGAGAGAGATGATTTAGAGTATCTGCCAGAAGAAATTTCTAAGTGGCAAAGCATTCAAGAGGAGTCAGAGCATAAAAATTTGGAAAACTTGCAGCCTGACAATGCCATAAAAAAGAAAATCTCATTTTCTGGGGATAAATTCGAGCCCACTGCATACTAATGAGAAGATGAATGTTAATTGCCAAGAAAATAGGGAAAATGTCTCCAGGACATGTCAGAAACCTCTGTGGCAGCCCTTCCCATCACAGACCTGGAGGTGTAAGAGAAAAAAAAATGGTTTGGTGGGCAAGGCCCAGGGACCCCCTGCTGTGTGCCACCTAGGGACTTGTTGCCCTGCATCCCAGCTGCTCCAGATGTTGCTAAAAGGGGCCAAGGTATAGCTTGGGCCATGGCTGCAGAGGATGCAAGCCCCAAACTGGGGAGCTTCCATGTCATATTGAGCCTGTGAATGCACAGATGTCAAGAATTGAAGTTTGGGAACCTCCACCTAGATTTCAGAGAATGTATAAAAACACTTGATGTCAGGGAAAAATGTTTGCTGCACGGATGGAACCCTCATGGAGAACCTTTGCTAGGGCAATGTAGAAGGTGATGTGGGGTTGGAGCCCCCATACAGAGTCCTCACTGGGGCACTGCCTAGTGGAGCTGTGAGGAGCAGGCCACCATATTCCAGACCCCAGAATGGTAGATCCACCAACAGCTTGCACCATGACCCTGAAAAAGCTGCAGACACTCAATGCCAGCTCGTGAAAGCAGCAAGAAGGGAAGCTGTACCCTGTAAAGCCACAAGGGCAGAGAGCTGCTCACTGTGGGAGCCTATGTCTTGCATCAGCATGTCCTGGATGTGAGACATGGAGGAAAAGGAGATTATTTCAGAGCTTAAAGACTTAATTACTGCCTCATTGGATTTTGGAGTTGCATGGGACTGGTAGCTCCTCTGTTTTGATCAATTTCTTCCATGTATAATGGGTGTATGTACCCAATGATTGTCCTTCCATTGTATCTAGGAGGTAACTAACTTGCTTTTGATTTTACAGGCTTATAGGCAGAAGAGATTCACCTTGTCTCAGATGAGACTTTGGAACTGGACTTTTGAGTTAATGCTGGAATGAGTTACTGTTGAAGGCCATGATTGTGTTTTGAACTGTGAGGACATAAGATTTGGGAGGGGTCGGGGGCAGAATAATATGGTTTGGTTGTGTCCCCACCCGAATCTTATCTTGAATTGTAGTTCTCATAATCCCCACGTGTCTTGGAAGGGACCTAGTTGGAGGTCATTGAATCATAGGGGCAGTTACCTCCATGCTGTTCTCATGGTAGTGAATGAGTTCTCATGAGATCTGATGGTTTTATAAAATAATTTTCCCCACCTATGCTCTGCACTTCGCTCTCTTGCCAACACGTGAAGAACAACATGTTTTCTTCTCATTCTGCCATAAGTGTCCTGAGGCCTCCCAAGCCATGCCCAATTGTGAGTCGATTAACCCTCTTTCCTTTATAAGTTACCTAGTCGCCAGTATGTCTTTATTAGTAGTAAGAGAACAGACTAATACTATAAATATATATATATATATATATATGTATATATACATACACACACACACACAGAGGGAGAGAGACTATTTTATGCTCTAAATTATATTACTTATCATTCTATGTGACAGCATGTTAGATTTTTAAAACTCTTAAAATAGGAATTATTATGAACTTTCAATTTGCAAAAATAGTACAGAAAGTTTTAGTGTACTCTTCATTCAGCTTTTCCCAATGACAACATCTTACACAAATGTTATCTGTGCAAGTACATTAGCAAAATTAGAAAATTGTCTTTGTACAACACTATTAACTAGACAATATAACTTACACCATATGTGCATAAAACTAGTTTTTTAAATGGTTGGTACATTTGATATAATTATATGACCTACTTATATTTTTTTCTATTTTTTTATATTGTGTTATTAATCTTAAAGTACTTTGTGTTTTAAGAAATTAGCACTTTGTCATATGAACTGAAAATATATTACCAGTTTGCAATATCTTAGCAACTTATCTATGAAGAAGGGTGCATTTTATGTAATTAAATTTATTAATCTTGTTCCTTACGACTTCTACATTCATTTTTTCTGTCTTTCAATGGAGTTGTAAATTCATTTTCACTTACACCCCATGCATATTCCTGAGGCTTTTACCTTCATTGTAAGAAAATTAAAACTCTTTTCTTCTCTTTCAGTTTTTAGATGACTTTAAAAATAGTTATTGACAATGCATTGATTTTATGTAGTAATGTAATTACTGAATTCTCATATTTTTAAAGAATTTTCTCATTTTTTTATTTTTCAGTTATCAATTTTCTTCTGCCAATGACAATTTTGCTTTTTTCTCTGAAATATTTATATATGATATTTACTCTTCCCCTCAAAATGTCTTGATTAGCATCTTAGAATAATGTTAAATGATAAAGATCGGAGTAGATATCCTTGTACTGTCCTACACTACAAAAATTACTAGCTTTAGTGGTTCCCCATTTAGAATGCAGCTGCCTTTTAAATATTTATAGCTCTATATCCATGTAATAATTCTATGTATATTTATCATGTTAAATACATATCCGTTTTGATTTGTTAAATAAAATTCAGCATTAATTCCTGATTAAAAAACCAAAAAATTATAGTTTTTAGGATGTATTGATTTTTCTTTTATTATTTATTGATAGAGTCAATAATATTTATACATTCATAACCATGAATAACTTTTGGATTATGTGATATATATTTACATTTATATATTTATATATGTATGGAATTTCTGAATGAAAATTGGCAAAATTTTAATAAGACTTTTGTGTTATATTCATTAGTAATCTGAGTTTATGTCAATTGTTGTGTGTTAATTGGGATACTTTTTATGAATTTTGGTATCTATACAAAGTTTGAATCCAAAAACTATCTTGAATCTTTTGTGATTTTTTTGTGCTCTTAAATATTTTGAATAACATCAGAATTATTTCTTTATTAAATTTGAAAACATTTAGCAGGAAAATCATCTGGATTTGATATGGTGTGTCTCTGTATCTCCACCAAAATCTCCTGTTTAATTGTAATTCTCAAGGTTGGAGGTGGGGCCTCATGGGAGGTGACTGGCTTATTGCGGGGGGTGGTTTTAATGGTTTATCACCATCTCCCTAGTGCTGGCTTTTGGTGGAGTTCTCATAAGATCTGGTTGTTTGAATATGTGTAGCACCTCCCCCTTTACTCTCTCTCTCTCCTGATGGCCATGTGAATATGTACTTGTTTCCCTTTCACCTTCAACCATGATTGTAAGTTTCCTGAGGCTTACCCAGAAGCAGAAGCTTGTACAGCCCCAGTACAATGAGCCAATTAAGCCTTTTTAAATAAATTACCCAGTTTCAGTTAGTTCATAGCAATGTGAGAACAGACTAATACAGAAAATTGGTAGAGGGAGTGGGCAATTGCTATAAATATTTCTGAAAATGTGAAAGTAACTTTGGAACTGGGTAACAGGCAGAAGTTGGAACAGTTTGGAGGGCTCAGAAGAAGACAGAAAGATGAGGGAAAGTTTGAAACTTTTTAAAGACATTAAATTGTTGTAACCAAAGTGCTGATAGTGATATATACAATGAAGTCCAGGCTGAAGTTGTCTCAGACGGAGATGAGGAATTTATCTGGAACTGTAGTAAAGGTTTCTCTTGCTATCCTTTACCAAAAAGACTTGCAGCATTGTGCCCCTGCTCTAGAGATCTGTGGAACTTTGAACTTGTGAGTGATAATTTGGGTTATCTGGTGAAAGAAATTTCTAAGCAATAAAACATTTGAGATGAGGCCTGGCTGCTTCTAACAGTATATGCTCACATGTGTGAACAAAGAGATTACTTGGAACTGGAATATATATATATAATATATATGTATACACACACATATAAAATATATATAATATTTATATTTATATAATTTTTTTTTAGTTCTCCTGCCTCAGCCTCCTGAGTAGCTGGGATTACAGGCATGCGCCACCACGCCCAGCTAATTTTTGTATTTTTAGTAGAGAAGGGCTTTCACCATGTTGGTCAGACTGGTTTCAAACTCCTGACCTCATGATCCACCAGCCTTGGCCTCCCAAAGTGCTGGGATTACAGGTGTGAGCCACCATGCCTGGCCTGGAATGTATATTTAAAAGGGAAGCAGAGTATAAAAGTTTGGAAAATTTGCAGCCTAACCATATGGTAAAAAAAGAAAAAAAAACATGTTCTAGGGAAAAATATAAGCAGGCTACAGAAAATTGCATAAGTAAAGAGGAGCCAAATGTTAATAGCCAAGACAATGAGGAAAATTTCTCCAAAGTATTTCAGAGACCTTTACAAGGCCCCTCTCTTCATGGGCTCGTAGGCCTAGAAGGAAAATGTGGCTTTGTGGGACAGGTCCAGGTCTCTGTTGCTCTGCATAACCTTGGAACATGGTGCCCAGAATCCCAGCCACTCCGGCTCCTGCCATGGCTAAAAGGTCCCCAAATACAATGTCTCAGGTTGCTGCTCCAGAGGGTGCAAGGTGTAAAATGGCTTGGCAACTTCCATGTGGTGATAAGCCTGCAGGTGTGAAGAGGGTAAGAATTGAGGCTTTGGAGCCTCTGTTTAGATTTCAGAGGATATATGAAAACACATGGAGGTTCAGGCAGAAGTTTGCTGCAGGAGTGGAGCCCTCAGGAGAACCTCTAGTAGGGCAATGTGAAAGGGAAATGTGGAATTGGAGCCCCCTACATGAGTCCCCACTGAGGAACTTCCTAGTGGAGCTATGAGAAGAGAGCCACCATCCTCCAGACTCCAGAATGGTAGATTCACCTACAGTCTGTACCGTGTGCCTGGAAAAGCCACATACGTGCAGTGCCAGCCAATGAAAGCAGCTGCAGGGACTGTACTCTTCAGAGCCACAGAGATAGAGCTGAACAAGGCTGTGGAAGTTCACCCCTTGTGTCAGCATGGGTGTGAGCCATGGACTCAAAGGAGATTATTTTGGAGCTTTAAGATCTAATGACTGCCCTGCTGGTTTTCAGATTTGCATTTGGCCTGCAGCCCCTTTGCTTTGCCAATTTCTCCCTTTTTGGAACAGGAGCATTAACCCAACACCTGTGCCCCCATTGTATCTTGAAAGTAACTACTTTGTTTTCGATTTTACAGGCTCATAGGTAAAAGGGACTTTCCTTGTCTCAGACGAGTCTTTGGACTTGGACTTTTAAGTTAATCCTGGAATGTGTTAAGACTTTGGGAGACTGTTGGGAAGGCATGTGTTTTGAAATGTGAAAAGAACATGAGATTTAGGAGAGACTGGGGTTGGAATAATATGGTTTGGCTCTGTGTCCCCACCAAAATATCATGTTGAATTATAATTCCCAATTTTGGATATGGGGCCTGGTAGGAGATGATTGGATTATGGGGGTAGTTTCTAATGGTTTAGCACCATCCCCCTAGTTCTGTCTCATAATAGAGTTTTCACAATGTCTGGTTGTTTGAATGTGTGTAGCACCTCTCATTTTGCTTTCTTTCTCTTTCCTGCTGGCCATGTGAAGATATGCTTTCCTTTTGCCTTCTACCATGATTGCAAGTTTCCTGAGGCCTCCCCAGAAGCCTATACAGACTACAGAACCATGAACTGATTAAACCTCTTTTCTTTGTAAAATACCCTTTCTCAGGTAGTTCTTTACAGCACTGTGAGAACAGACAAATACAGACAATACAGCACTTAAACATATTTCTAGCAGCTTTTGTATTTTTTTCTTCTCATAATATTCCAGTTACTATTTTATCTGTCTTCTGTATTGTCTTTAGTCATTTTTTATATTACCCATTGTTTCAAGTGAAGTTGAATAGAGGTAATTTTATTTTTAATTTATAATTTAAGCTCTGGGCTATTTCTAATCTTCAGTCTTACATATTCCTCTGTACAATCGACAGCTCTTCTGAAATGCAAAATACACTTGAAAGATTTAATATATTCAAAACCAGTTCTTGAAATTTCTCTCAAAACTAATTTTCCTTTGACAGTTGCCATGTCAGTAAATAGCAATTGTAAACATGCACGTTTTTAAGACACTGAAAATACTTTCTTTCTGCTCTCTTTCTTTCAAACCCCATCAGCTAATACTATTGTCTTCTCCTTCAAAAGATGTTCAGAAACCATAACCTACTCACATCTTCATATTAACACACTATCCATGGCATTATCATGCCTCTTTTAGAGGGCTGCATTAGACTTCTGAACCATGACCTCACTTCAGTCTTGGATTCACCATGCTAAGTGTCATCTTTTAAAATATGAGAAAATGTCTCGTCCCAATATTACTCAAAACCATACCATAGCTATTTCTCTTCCCTTGCTATTTCCACCTTATTTTTTCTCCTTTCTTCTAAAAAATTTATTATGTCATTATGTAGTACTAATGGTCTAGCAAGTTAGTGTCCCACCAAACAGCTGGAAGGGGTCCTGTCATGGCCCTGATTGTGGTGTTGAGGGCTAAATAAGAGTAGTCTAGAAAGTGGCTGAGGGGCACATTGGTTAGAAATATTGCATCATGAGTAGGGTAACAAGGTGCAGGATGGGGAAGCTAGGTAGCCTGTTTATGGATTAGATGGAAAGTGTTGGATGAAAAGTGAGAAGTGCAGAGTATTTGAACTCTGGCTAAGTGAGAACGGTTTCCAAAGTGAAAAGAGTGAAAAAAAAAAAAACAGTGGCCTAAGACAGTGTGTCAAAAGAGCCTGAGTGAGGGGTGTATCTGAGTGGGGCATAGGAAGTAGCTATGACAAGAGCAAGGGCCACCACAAAACTACATTTAAAGCATCTGCTAGTGTCACATTTGCTAGCATTCAATGATTAAAACAAGCATCATGTTAAACCCAAAGTCAAAGTGATGAGGATATATACTCTGTCTACTCTATTGGAAGTCACATAGCAAAAAGTATGTAGAATTTTATTACCCAGACAAATAAATTTGAAAAAAACAATCATTCTTCTTCATCCATCCATACTATTAACCTCATTTTTTATTAATAGTTTAATTTATGAACATTTACAGACTATATTATATACTTTTTTTTTTGAGATGGAGCCTTGCTCCGTCACCCAGGATGGGTTGCAATGCCACGATCTCAGCTCACTGCAACTTCCGCCTCCCAGGTTCAAGCAATTCTCCTCCCTCAGCCTCCTGAGTAGCTGGGATTACATGCATGCACCACCACGCCCAGCTAATTTTTGTAATTTTAGTAGAGACGGGGTTTCACCATGTTGGTCAGGCTGGTCTTAAACTCCAGGCTTCATGATACACCCGCTTCAGCCTCCCAAAATGCTGGGATTACAGGTGTGAGCCACTGGGCCCAGCCAATATATTATATACTTTTATGGATACATATGTGACACGTAAAATCTTAAGTTGTAAGTATAGGATCTCAGTATTCCCCGTTGTATATATCCACTGTACAGACAATTTACAGTTCATTATCTGAGGCTTTGGTTAGTTTTATATCCAGTTTCATGGGAAATACATTTCTTGCCCTGATTATTCAATGTTTTTATAATTTCTTATGCATTATAAAAATGGAATAAAAGTTTCTTTACTTTGCCATATTTTACCTAAATTTTGTTTATTTTTAAACCATATTACCCATATAAAGTGGATTAAACCCTTGATTGTGTTATCAGAGCAAAATATTTCACCGTTTTAGGCTCTGCCACAACAAACGAGGCCTCTTTATTTATCTTTTTGGCCTTTTTTTAAAAAAAGCATTTTCTAAGTACCTGCTGTATTTATTTAACTGGCTTCCTCCTTATGGATTTCTTCTACTTATTATACTTCATTTAATTAGTACACTGATATTAGTACTTACACTGAGATTTGATTCACATACTCAATGACAGAAAAGAAAAAAAAAAGTTTATAACTACTACCAAGGGGATTAACAATATCTTTTAGTGTGTCTGTGGCTGTATCTATAGAGTTTCAAACAAGGCTGCATCATAGTAAATGTGGATTTTGTGAGTGTGTTAACTAGTTCCGATTGGTTTCCATGATTTATTTAATTGCACTAGTGCTATTGAAACATAATGAACTTGTAATCAAGAAACTTAAATTATCCTATAGATAATGACAAATAATTAACCTATGACTTTGGCAACTCACTTTAACCTGTGTTTTACTGTTTTGTTTTGTTTTGTTTTTTCACATGTCAAATGAGTATTCTGGATTCTACATACGATCTATCCATAATAATCTGATGGAAATTTTTATGCCAACTTAAAATAATTTAAAATAATAATTAAAATAATATCTAGAGGCATGGTCTCTATTCATGAGTTTATATTCTACATGTTAAAAGAAACGTAAAGTTTGGGAATAATTTTCAGTGAAATGAAATAATGTAATTAATCAGGAATGTTAAGGGTCTTACAATTGCATCAATGATACCAGTGGTTTTAATACAATGCTTGAGAATTGTTTTTGAATATCTTATAATAGTCATATTAGAAGAACTAATAATGTTTTGCAAACATTATTATGGCAAAACAAACAGATATTATGTATAGCAAAACTAGAACTAATTATCTAGAAACTTCTACCAAAATATCAACACAAGAATTTTGGAATAAAAGGGCCATATACATTCCTTCTAAAGTAGAGCATTATTTTTCAAAACTGAAGCTATGGTTTACCTTAATTGTTTGATTCTGTCAAATTGGTAAAAGTCACTTGATAAGATGAAAAATTATATGCCTGGAGATACACTATAGAGACAGTTGAACAGGCAAATGCATTTTATATATCTTTTTAGAAGCATTGAGTAAAAAAATATATCTTTCGAATTCCTATGTTCTTAAAGATCTGTCATACAGGAGACATATAGACATGCTGATGTGTGCAGTGATTCTATTGAAAGGTAGGGCCCTAAATATTCAGCACTATCCATTTCCTAACATTCTGCGCAGAATACGGATATAGCTACGCATGAATCAGGAGATGATTCTAAGTGTGTTCTTACATTAATAAAATAAAATCTGAAGGACTACTGCAAGAGTAAATTATTAATCACACTCTTGAGCCAAAATAATTTATGGTCATAGCAGCATATCAGCAATGTCTGCCACCAAGAAGCTGTTGGGCCACAAACATTTTAGGAGTTCTTAAAAGAGGGCAAAAAAAAAAAAAAAAAAAAGAAAAGGTGAAACATTAAACGTTTTATGATTTTTGAAAAAGAAACAGTTTGGAGTATTCCAGAGTTAACACACCAGTTATTAAGGAACTAAAATTTATAATAATGCTGTATTAAAATGCTGATGTTACTAAGAAGAAAAGACTATTTAAGGAAGAGTGACATCAGCAACATTATGGTATAGAAATTTTCTACCATTGTCTTTCCATAGGAGCACTAATTTTGACCATTATCTACTAATGAAAGTACCTTTCTGGGAGTCCAGGAGTACAGAAGAGAAGGTCTAGCACACCTTTGGAGCAAAAAATCTGACAATAAACACATTGAAAAGGTTAAGAACAACAGTTTCACTTAAGCCATATCATCCCTCCATGAGGTAGCACAGCTCAGTACCAAAAGAGATTGAGGTACCTTTAGCCCGCAATTTCTTCCATGGAAGAAAGTGAAAGTACAGTGGGTGAGTGCCTGGATTCTTACTCTGTTCAAGTTACTGCCCAAGAGACCCACTTATTTTTCACACCACCCAGATTACTGAGGTAATCAGTATGGATGAGTGGTTGGGAGAAGCTGGGAGCAGGGAAGAGAGGTAGGATTCATAGCAAGCAAAACTCAGAACTCAACAAATAGCCACATTTAGTATAACCTCTAGTCAGACTCCATTACGGTGCCTGTCTATGAGTCACTTGGGATACAACTGTGAACTTCTCCAAGTGACCCACTGGTACCCCCCAATACTGGGAAAAAAAATGGGAAGATCTCAGCCCCTGACCTCCCTTTGCAGGATTAAAAAAAAGACATATGATCCTAAGAATTTTCTCCCCCAAGAGGGAACAGAGGTATGGAGCAGGAGTATTTATATAAAAGGTTCAAGAGAGCCTCAGAATCCCTAGCTGGGCTTACTGGTGAAGGTGTTTCTTTCCCAAATCCAGTCACAAAGGATAGGAGATAGTAATCGCTTCTTAAAATGTGAAGATTGAAATGAAAGGCTTCAAGGAACATTGAAACTCAAGGAAACATGATACCACCAAAATAACACCATAATTTTCCAGTAATTGGCCTCATAAATGGGGATTTATGAAGTACCAGACAAATAATTCAAAATAAAAAAACTCAGAGTGCTAAAAAAAAAAGATGGAAAATTCAATGAAATCAGAAAAAAACATGGAGAAAGATGTTCAGCAAAGACAAAAATTATATAAAAAAGAAGGAAACAGAAATTCCAGAACTGAAGACTATAATGAATTAAATGAAAAATTCAATGGAGGTAATCAACAAATGATTTCATCAAGCAGAAAAAATAATCCAGGAATTTGCAGACAGATGACTTGAAATCATCCAATCAAATGAGAAAAAACAAACAGAAATGAAGAAAGACTACCAAATTTATGTGAAAATATCAACAGAATTAATATAAAAATTATGAGATTTCCAGATAAAGAAGAGGTAAAGGGTGAAAAAGCTTATTTAAAGAAATACAATTGAAAAATTCTCAAATATGAAAAGAGATAAAGATATTCAAGTACATGATGCCCAAATATTCCCAAACAGGCACAACACAAAGAGTACTTCACTGAGACACGTTATAATCAAACTGTCAAAAATCAAAGACAAAGAGAATTTTGAAAGCAGCATGAGAAGAGAGACTGGTCACGTACAAATGAATTCTTATAAGACTACTAGTGGATGTCTCACCATAAACCTGGCAAGCCAGGAAAGATTTGGACGATACATTCAAAATACTAAATGAAAAAAAAACAAAAACAAGTCAACCAATAATAATTTACCTGGTAAAGCTGTACATCAGAAATAAAGGAGAAAAATTATCCCAAATGAAAAAAAGCTGAGATAATTCATTACTACTAGACCTGCCTTGTAAGAAATGCTAAAGAAAGTTATTTAATCTGAAATATAATCATGATAATTAGTAACACAAATTCAAATGAAAGTATAAAACTCACTGGTAAATGCAAGTATATAGACAAATTTAGAATTCTTTAACACTGTAATTATGGTATGTAAATCATTTTTAACTCTAGTAAAAGGTTAAAATTGAAAAGTACTTAAAATAATAAGAGCTATAATAACTTGCTCATAGATATATATTTAAAAAGATGTAAATTGTGATATCGAAAACATAAAGTGGGGGAAATGAAAGTGTAGGATTTTTTAATGTGATAGAAATTAAGTTGTCATCAGTTTAAAATAGACTATTAGAACTATATTCTATTTTATATGAGCCTCATGGTAATCACAAGGCAAAAAATCATAGCAGATATACAAAATATAAAGAGATAAGAATTAAAGCATACTGCTACCAAAAAAATCAATGAATCATTGAATCTAAAAGAAACAGTGATAGAGGGACTAAGGAACTTAGAAAATACAAAGATACATAAAAACCGGAAAACAATTTTTAAGATGGAAATAGTCCTTACCTATCAATAATTACTTTAAATGTAAATGGATTTGAATTTCAATCAAAAGATACAGAGTGACTGAATAGATTTAAAAACAAAAACAAGACCCAAGTATATATTGCCCATAAAAGACTCACTTCAGCTTAAAGGACACACATAGGCTAAATGTAAAGAGACAGAAAAAAACCGGTATTCCATGCAAATGGAAATAAACAATGATCAGGGGTAGCTATAATTATTTTAGACAATATAGACTTTATGTCAAAAACTATCACAAGAGGGGAAGAAGGTCATTATATATACAGAAATTTGAAATCAGGAGGCTATAACAGTTTTAAATATATCAATATGTTGGAATACACACAGCATTGGAGCACCAAAATATAAAGAAAATATTAACAAATTGAAGGCAGAAATAGACAGAAATACAATAATAGTATGATAATTTAATGCCTAATTCTCAATACTGGATAAAATATCCAGACAGAAAATCAATAAGAAAACTTTTGGAATTTAAACTACACTTTAAGCCAAAAGGATCTAACAGATATATGCAGAACATGTCATCTCACAACAGCAGAATAACAAATAACAAAAAAAAAGCTAAACATCACTGATCATTAGACAAATGCAAATTAAAATCACAATGAGCTGCCATCTCACACCATTTAGAATGGCTATTACTAAAGTCAAAAATAGCAGATGCTGGTGAGGTTGTGGAGAAAAATGAACGCTTATACACTGTTGATGGGAGTGTAAATTAGTTCAACTGTTGTGTGAGACAGTATGACAATTCCTCAAAGAATTAAAGATAGAAATACTATTTGATCCAGCAATCTTCTTATGGGGTATATACCCAAAGAAATATAAATCATTCTATCATAAAGACACATGCATACGAATGTTCATTACAGCACTCTTCACAATAGCAAAGACATGAAATCAACCTAAATTTTCATCAATGATAGACTGAATAAAGAAAATGTGATAGACATACACCATGAAATCTATGCAGCCATAAAAAAGAATAAGATCATATGTTTTATGGCCCCTAAATGTCTTCTTTCCAGAAGTGTCTATTCATGTTTTTGCCCACTTTTAATGGGGCGGTTTTTTGTGTTTTTTTTTTTCTTTAAATTTGCTGAAGTATCTTGTAGATCCTGGATATTAAACCTTCTTCAGATAGATAGATCGCAAAAATTTTCTCCCACTCTGAAAGTTGTTGGTTCACTCTAATGATAAAAACCTCAATATCACTGATCATTAGGGAAATGCAAATGGAAACCACAATCAGATACCACCTCACACTAGTTGGAATGATGATTACTAAAAAGTAAAGAAACAACAGATGCTGGCAAGGCTGTGGAGAAATAGGAACACTTTTACACTGTTGGCGGGCATGTAAATTAGTTTAACCATCGTGAAAGACAGTGTGGCAATTCCTCAAAGACCTAGAACCAGAAATACCATTTGACCCAGCAATCCCATAACTGGGTATATACCCAAATGAATATAAATCATTCTATTATAAAGATTCATTAATGCATATGTTCATTGTAGCACTATTCCAATAGCAAATAAATAGAATCAACCTAAATATCCATTAATGATAGACTGGATAAAGAAAATGTGGTACATATACACCATGGAATACTATGCAGCCATAAAAAAGAACAAGATCATGTTCTTTGCAGGAACATGGATGGAACTGGAAGCCATAATCCTCAGCAAACCAATACAGGAACAGAAAACCAAACACCACATATTCTCACTTATAAGCAGGAGCTGAACAATGTGAACATATAAATACAGGGAGGGGAACAACACACACTGGGGCTTATTGGGGGGTGGGGTGAGAGAGAGCATCAGGAAAAAATAGCTAATGCATGCTGGGCTTAATACCTAGGTGATGGGTTGAGGGGTACAGCAAATCACCATGGCACATGTTTACTTATGTAACAAACCTGCACACCCTGGAACTTAAAATTAAATTAAAATTAAAAAAGAATGAGATCATGCCCTTTTCAGGGACATGGATGGAGCTGGAGGCCATTAGCCTTAGAAAATTAACACAAGAACAGAAAACCAAATATCGCATGTTCTCACTCATAAGTGGGAGATAAATGATGAGAACACACAGACACGAAGAGGGGCACAACACACACTCAGGCCTTTTTGCACGGATGGAGCTAGCGTGGAGGAAGGGATCAGGAAAATAACTAATGGGTGCTACTAGGGTTAATATCTGGGTTATGAAATAATCTGTACAACAAACCCCATAACACAAGTTTACCTATGTAAAAAACTTGCACTTGTACCCCTGAACTTAAAATAAAAGTTAAAAAGAACCACATTTTCTTTTTAAAAAGAGGCTATTTAGGAAAACATGGTAACTGTAGTCATATGTTTGAGGAGCTAAAGCCCACTGCAAATAGGAAAAATATTTGAAAAATAAGACAATTCTGTTTCTCATGTGTCCAAAATCAACACATATTTTTATATAAGGAGAACTCAAGTGATACAACCAGGAATAATGAGTAAAAGAAAATGAAGAAATTGTTTATTTAAGTATTAACTAAATATTACAAATGCATTATATGTTTTAGATTAATGAAAAACTTTGTGACTTCATTGAAATATTCATCAAACAATCCTGTAAGATAGTTATTTTTATCTATAGTTTTAGTTGAGGAGACTTCATTTCAGGCTGAAGAAAACAAATTGCCCAAGGCCAAAGAGCAAAAATGGAACACAGGGACCTATTCTCAGGTCTCACGACTCCCAGACTTTCCTTTCTAATATTTTTCTAATATTCTAAGCTCATGTTCAGAATCTGGGTGAGGCAGTTTTTTGTTTTGTTTTGTTTTGTTTTTGTTTTTGTTTGGAGACGGAGTCTTGCTCTGTCACCCAGGCTGGAGTGCAGTGGCGTGATCTCAGCTCACTGCAAGCTCCACCTACCCGCTTCATGCCATTCTCCTGCCTCAGCCTCCCCAGCAGCTGGGACTACAGGCGCCCACCACCACACCTGGCTAATTTTTTGTATTTTTAGTAGAGACGGGGTTTCACCGTGTTGGCCAGGATGGTCTCGATCTCCTGACCTCGTGATCTGTCTGCCTCGGCCTCCCAAAATGCTGGGATTACAGGCGTGAGCCACCGCACCTGGCCAAGGCAGTTTTTATACTGCTGTACTAGCACTTACTAGAAAGATTACCTTGAATGAGCTCCAACATCTCTGACCTCAGTATGATCACCTCATAATATGGGAAATTCTACTACCTACTCTATACGATTATTTTTGGTACTAATTGGCTTAAGGTATAAAAATGTTTACAATATCAGTCCAAATAAACTTCAAATGTTAGCTAGTACTGTCATCGTTAATATTTCCTAACAATAAATGGCTTTAGTGCTGCACTGAGAAATGTTAAAACAATTGATTCTAGTGCTGCACTGAGAAATGTTAAAACAATTGACTCTCCAGGGAAGAGAAGAAGCCCCAATTTACTCATTTCAATTATCTAAATGTTCCCTCCACCCCTCCTTCTCTCTATACAGGCACCACTTTAAAGCTGCCAAAGTGGCATTACTGAATGTAGAGTTGGGAAGACAGCCACAAAATCTGTGTGAGCTGGTTTCAGCATACCACTTCCTACTATCATAATTTAAGTAAGGAAATTTCTTTGTTGTAAAATATTTCGTGATAATTTACTTAATATGAGATTTGGATGTAGGCAGGAAACAAAGTAATGAAAGTGATCATGCAAAGGCTTCATAAGAGAAAAATTGGCAAATTTGCTTTTGTTTCTCAACGGGAATGTGAGATGAGAAGAAAGTAATAAAGAGGAGGGAGGGAGAATCAGGAGAAGAACCGTTGATGTGCCAGTGGCTGGAAGACAAGGACATACCCTGAGAGTAAATATTTGGTTAGGAAAGAACTTTTATAGGCAGGATTGTCTAATGTAATCTGAACTTGTTTTTGTAAATGATTTTGTGTGAAATATTTAAACTCTTTTTAGCTCACTCCAGTTAACATGATGATTTACAATTCTCTGAATTGTTTGCTCTGTACCTTGGGACACATAGAATAAAGCTTTCCTGAGACTCCCAAATGTAGGCTGTAATTTGCTGTAGATGCTGGTGATTGTAAATTTTTTACAGTGATAATTTTAAAACCATATTTTTACAACTATTCAAAAATTTACAATTGTTTGCATTATATTTAACATTATTTGTATGACTTCTATTGCAGACTTTGTGTTATTTTAGTGGCTTACCAATTCACTGGTAGAATTCCACCAGCAGAGAGCAGTCAGTGCTCTGGCAGCTTCCTTTCAATCTTCCAATTTGGTCTTTTTATTATTTAGGCTGGATGCATTTGTTACCAGCAAAACCCTTTGCTTGAATTTTTTACAACTTTTTCCTTTCTGTTCCATTTAATTTGCATCTCTATTTTATTACAATTTGTCTTAAAAAGGAAGATATATGTCTGTATACTAAAAAGAAACCTGCACCCCATCTATTGCAGCACTATTTACCATAGCAAAGATACAGAACCTATTTACATGCCCAGTGGACTAATGAATAAAGAAAATGGGGCGTATATGCACAGTGGAATACTATTTGGTCCTAAAAAGAATGAAATCATGTCATTTTCAGCAACATGTATAAAAGTGGGGGAATTTATGTTAAGCCAAGCACAGAAAGACAAATATTGCATGTTCTGACTCATATGTGGGAGCTAAAAATTTGATCTCATGGAGGTAGAGAGTAGAATGATAGATACAAGATGCTAGAAAGGCTGTGTATTGGGAGAAGAGGGATGAAGAAGTGTTAGTTAATGGGTACAAACACACAGTTATATAAAAGGAATCAGTTCTAATGTTTTATAGTGGAAAGGATGACTATAGTTAACAACAATATATTGGATATTCCAAAATAGCTAGAAGTGAGGACTTGAAATGCTCCCAATATGTAAAGATTTTAAATAATTAAAGTGATGGATACCATAAATGTAGTTATTACACATTCTATGAATGTAGCAATATAGCAATGTATCACATGTGCCCCATATATGTGTAGAAATATTAGATATCATAAAATAAAATAGAAAGCAATAATATTATTTTCAAAAATAAAAATACATATCTAATTGTTATTCTTTGAATTAACAATATTTGAATACGAGGTATCCCTACATAAAACATAATCTTATAAATGTTCATGTTTTTATGTTTTTTTCTGTATTATTTTATTTTCTAGCTTTTTATGTCAATCAATTTAGCTTATTTGGATAAAACAAAATATGTATTTTTAAAATTAAATTATTGTTGAATGTAATTTTTGAAGAGACTTCTGCTTTCAACAGAAGTACAGCTAACGTAACCTCAAAAAATCAATTTTACGGAATAATTTTGACACGATTTTACTAAATATTGAACTGTTTTTTATATTATCATGATTTTTATCCATCCTAAAAAATTGTGTCACATGCCCAAGGAACTACTCCTCAGAATTCATATGAGTAAGACCTCCACCTTTGAAGTTTAGATTTCATCCCCATGGGGCCTGCATCCCTCAGCTCAGTTGGCCATTACAAAATATCAAAGACTCAGTGGCTTAACTGACTTGTATTTGCTCACAGTTATGGAAGCTGGAATCCAAGATCAAGGTTATGGCAGGGTTGGTTTCTGGTGGGTCCTCTCCTCCTGGCTTGCAGGTGGCCACCTTCTACTGTGTCCTCACATGGTCTTTTCTCTGTGTGCATATACTTTTTATGTCTCTTTTTTTCCTTATAAGGACACAGTCCTATTGAATTTAAGCCTCACCCTTATGACCTCATTTAATCTTAATTATCTCCTTAAAGGTTGTATCTCCAAACACAGTTACAATAGAGTGTTGGGATTCAACCCATAAATTTTGGAAGGTCACAATTCAGTCCATAATTAAGCCACATCTACATTTATAAATTTTGATTATTTGAAACTCCTCTCTTTGTTCCTTTAGGGAGAAGGGTGGTAACTTTCTATTATCTAACTAACATCTTTATACCTCATTAACAAGCTTTTAAAGAAATTATTTTTGAATAACTGGCATGTATTCTGTCTCCCGACTAAATCTGACACATACACCACTCTACTAATACTGACCTTGGCCATTTCAAGTGTCTTAGTCAATACTATGGTAGCTTACCTGTCAGCAAGGTATAGTTACCCTTATCTTTTGAGCCTCTGACAATCGCTATGAAAACTTAAGAGCTTACCCCAAGTAGCTGCTCTCCTTTCGGACTTTCCCCTAAAATAAAGTCCTGTGGAGCTCCAGCCACTGCAGTCCAACAGAGCTGGCCAGATGAGACCAATCTATACGTAGGAGAACAAACCATTGCTGTTATAAATCACTGAGATTAGGGGTGGCTGCTATTTCATATTACTCTAACAACAGTCTACTGGTAAAATACCTTTCCGCAAGTTCTGCCTGGTATCTGTAGCTCGTGGTTCTTTTCTCCCATAGCTAATATACTTGCCCAATGAATATGAGAGCTTAAATCTGGGTCTATGAAATGGTGGTAAGTAGATTAACCAGTGTACCATTCTTTCTTAATAAGCATTCAATGTTGTTACTTATTATTATTATTCTCTATATTACTTGTTAAACATGCTGATTAAGGGATTCCACCTATCCCCCTTTGCTGGGCCCCAAAAGCTGCATATTAAGAAACTTCATACTTGATTCCAAATAATCTTTATAACTGACAATCTTTCTGTGAATAATTTCTGATTCTTACACATCATTTTAACAAGTCTAATTATTACCCAAAAGCATTTTATGCTTAAAAATTGATAAGATATCATTCTTGTTGAATATATACATTATTAGTCTTAGTTTTCTATTGCCCAAAAGCATTTTATGCTTAAAAATTGATAAGATATTATTCTTGTTGAATATATACATTATTAGTCTTAGTTTTCTAAGGCAGAGATTATCTTTTATTTGTTACTTTTACATATAGAAACTACCTGCAGTGAGTTTAAAATAAATGGTTCCAGAAAGTCACAAGTGGAAAGAGGGGAGGAAATAACACAAAGAAATAGATGATTTGGGGATGGCCTTGGGGACAAAGGAGAGAGGATGTCCTTTCTTGATAGAATCTTAACAGATGGTAGTTTTACAACAATAAAACTTGATAACTTTGTAAATTTGTCTGAGGCCACAACCACTTTTGTTATCATTAACAACCAGATCTCTGACAAATATGCCATTCATTTCCACTGCCTATACTTAGGACATCTGAACCAAACTACCCAAGAGAACAAATGGAAATTCACCCAAGGACCTGAGAGATAACATATAATTTAACAGTATTTAATAATTTTTAAAATATATTTAGGTTAGACAGTATCTTACATCTAAGAGTTCTGAATTATGGGCCAGGCACAGTGGCTCATGTCTGTAATCCCAGGACTTTGGGAGGCCAAGGCAGGCAGATCACCTGAGGTCGGGTGTTTGAGACCAGCCTGACCAACATGGAAAAACCCCATCTCTACTGAAAATACAAAATTAGCCGTGCGTGGTGGCACATGCCTGTAATCCCAGCTACTCAGGAGGCTGAGGCAGGAGAATCGCTGGAACCCGGGAGGCGGAAGTTGCAATGAGCTGTGATGGCACCACTGCACCCAAGGCAACAAGAGCCAAACTCCATCTCAAAAAAAAAGAGTTCTGAATTATAGCTCTACCTAAAAATCTGAATTTATATTTATTTTCAATACATATATTCATTATATACATATATACAAAATAGATGTGTGTATCTTTATTATAAAAACTGAACAAATTATCTATCTTATTTTTCAGCAAATTCCCCATATACTTATACATTTCTACTCTCTTGCTGCTGGATTTATACCCGGATTAATGATATTATATCTTTCAACATTTACACAATGTCTTGCTGTGCTCTGCCATCATAAGGCAGAGCAAAGCATTATTCAATGTGTAAAGATGTTATTAAGTCACATCTCAGTTATATGAAGGTAGAAGATAGTGGTGAAAGCAGAGGGCTTGACCTAAGACTTTAGCATACAACCTTCTTCCTTTTTGATAAATAAGCTTAAACCTAAAGAGATTAATTCAACCTATTCCACTGTGGCCTGCAGCCTTAAAAGTGTAGCAAGACACCAAAGGCTTCACAATCAGATAAAACATGCTCTTGTTATTTTCTATAGTGAAGCAATAGAGTGGTGATACTATTTGTAAGGAAATCCCTGACCTACTTCAATGCTCACCTTTTTATCCCACTGAGAGCATTATTCAGCCTAGAGAAATAGATACCGCAGAGGCCAGCAGTAAGTTATTTGGTTTTACAGCTTTATAACATGTCAAATACTTTGAAGGCTTAAGAAATCAGGGAAGCATCATTAGAATAGTATAATTAATCCCAAAATAAAAATACTAAGAGGAGAGAAAGGATATAGAATGATTTACAACTCAAAGAGAAAAATATGCCAGTTATGTGAGAGAATGAGGGAAATCTCTTGGCAAAGAAATGGGGTTAGAAATTTAATTGACTGAAGGGACTTCACCGAGTGAGGATTAGGAGAAACAAATCTAAACATATAAAGGGGACAATCAATACAGGATGCTTATGAGGAATAAAAAATTAATGAAGTTAACATAAATGACAACTTGAGTATTTTAAATTGAAATAATCATTTTATCTTGTAAATACATAGCAAATGATGTGATCTGAATGTAACCAAAATTACAATTTAAAGTTAACTCTGTGTTATAATTTAAATATCAAGATTTAGCTGCAGACAGTTTTGTCTCCAAATTTCATTGAAGAGTAGTTCACTTGTTAGTTCTTATCAACTTTAGAAGCTTACTTTCTTTCTCTTTTTGCTTTTCTCGTTCTCTTGTTTTTCAATTTGAAATTTGTTTTGACTGATAGTAAAACTTACAATGTAATTTTATTATCACATAACAATAAAAGCTGTGATTTCTTTCAACACTAAGCTAAAATGACAATTTTTTCATATATATTTAATTTTATATTACAATTATACTGTAGAAGCCAATGTACTTTCAAAACAAATTTTAAAACTTTTAAAACCACAAGCCTTTTCTAATTTCTGTTAAAAATACATACTTATAATTATGCTTTTCTGAATTCAGGGAAATCCCTTTATTTAACATTGTGTGTTATTATGGCGATTTGTAATTTTTCACCAGGTAAGACTTTATAAAACTCCTTTAAGCTCAGGCTGCTTGTACCTATGAATGAGTTAATTGTTAATTTGATCTCTTCTAAGGGAAATGAAGCATCCACACCCAATCAATCTCCTGAAGTAAGCATAGGATGAATGCCTTTTTTTAGAAATCAAGAGAGCATATCCTCCTCCAGTACTTCTGATGAAGGATGTAGGACTCTATAACAGAATTGGAATGCTTGGTTAATTGCCATTGCTTGCATAAGTGAGTGCCCTCATATGTCTGTTTAATAGGACAAAGCTATTTCAGTGAGTTTTCAAATAATATTCAAGAGTTTATGAATGTTTTCTAATAGAATTTGCATAAATTATAATGATCAGCATCTAGGTCATTGATATAATAATAATCATGGCAAATATTTATTAAAGATATATTCTATGCTAGATTCTTTATATACCTTAACCCTTTTATCTTTTCATGGCCTAATTAATAATTCTTTTTCAATCACAAAGAAAAGTCAAGTCTTAGAGAGGTGATATATGATAAAGACATACTTTAAGAAGAAGTCACACAGGGCAGAACAAAAATAAAAGACACCATGCTGTCTATCTGAATCCAAAACTTGTCTGTAAGTACTTCAAATTATTTATTACAAGATCTGCCTCCTACTCAAACTACAGCAATTGTTAACTAGTTCAAATATTTGAAAATGTGATACTAAGACTGTTTTTTTAAATAAAAACACAGAGTTTAAGGAAAGATTTTGTAGTTGCCTGGTGATTTCTTCCTACCCACTGCACAGTCAAAACCAATTCACTGAGACCACAACATTGCAATGAAGAATCTAATTGATATGAGACCAGCCATGCCACGTGGGAGACAGTTACTACTCAAATCAATCTCCCTGAAAATTCAGAGGCTGGGGTTTTTCAAGAATAGTTTGCTGGGCAGGTGGTTAGGGGAATGGGTGTTGCTGTTTGGCCGGGGATGCAATTATAGGGGTGTGGAAAATGGTCTTCAAGCACTGAGTTGGCTTTGGAGTAGGGTCACAGGACCTGTTGAGCCCGGAGTTAAGCGTCCAAGTAGAGCCAGTTGGTCATTAGATATGCAAACTCTGGAAAAGACATCTCACAAGGACAACTTTAGTTTCTACAATAGTGAATTGGGTAAGTTGCAAATCTTGTGACTTCTGGAATAATGGCTGGCAATTTGTTAACTCCACCTATGTCTTAGAATTCAGGCATCTCTCATCCTCCTAACCTACTGAATTCTATCTGAATTCAGAAGTGACAATAGGAGTTTAAACTTCTATTATAGATGGAGTGTTAAATTAAAAGAAATTATTCATGGCACATGTAAAATTTTGTAAAATGTTGATGTAATTGTAGTAAATACTATCACATTTGTTAGCCTAGTAGGGCAAACCAAATGCAAACAAAAGCACATATTTGAACAAGGAGGGGCTACTAGCATGAGGCTTTTAGTAGGATAGAGAGATTGGGGTAAACTCTGAATTGAAGAAAAAGTGGGAATTTGTAGCTAAGGTTCAAGTTGGGGGTCAGTGGATAAAAAATTACCAAGAAAAGACATCAAAGGTAATGGGGCTTTTGTCTAAACTGACTTAACAGGATTCTTGCTAAAGGTAGACTAGAGTGATTAGACATCATCTGGAGAATAGTGGAGGATAAAGAGCCCAATCAGATATTTAGTGTATCAAATATGAAAGATGGGGCCTTCTGGATAAACTGGCTTAGCAGGATTTTTGCTGAAATTAGACAATGCAGAGGTGGACACAGCAGCCTAAAATTCAAGGCTTGAGAAAAGTGTCAGAGGAGCCTGACTAGAGTTTGAACAAGAAGAAAATTTTTGTCAAGAATGATCATATAATTTGTCACTCAGTCTGGAACCCATTAGAGAGTGAAAGGAAATTTTTTAAAAAAACTGTTAACCCAAAGCAATAAGTATACAATGGAAATGTCCTGGGAAAACCAATACTTATTGTCACTCTATACTTGGGCTTATAGAAGATATCCTAGTAATAAAGATAATAGAGCCAGAGAATATTGAAAAAGCCTATATATCTATACTATAAAACCTTAATACAAGATTTGGGCTACCTTCTAGGTATCACTTATCTATCTTTTTAGAGTTATTATTTCTATCTTTTTAGAGTTTCTATCTTTTTAGAGTTTCTATATTTTTAGATTTATTATTGTCTGGTGGTTTTTTTTCACATGTGATAGAACCTAATCATAGCTAGCAGAGTAATTGAAATAAGTACCTTGTTTTACATCTGATCAATTCTAAATAGGATAAGTTATGTTACAGGAACAAAAATCCCAAAATCCCCGTGGCTCAATACAATAAAAGGTGTTATTTATTTATCTATGTATTTTTTTTTTTTTTGTCAGTCAAAGTTTACATGTGAGCCTAAGCAGTTTGCTGTCCACATTTCACACTAAATAGATCTTGGGCAATCCTATCTTAATTCAGTGCAGAAAAGGAGAAATTGAAACTACTCCAAGATTTCCTACCCATAGGTTGCTTAAATCAAATATATAACTTTTATTAAAAACAGAAAACTACATGATTATGCTTAACTGCTACAGGTTGTCAGGAGGCAATGGGAGAGATATGCAATCCTTGTATACATGTACTGGAAAGGGAAGAAACCACAAATGTTGATGTAATTGCAGTAAATACTATCATATCTGCTAGCCTAGTAGGGCAAACCAAATGCAAACAAAACTAGAACACTAATGCAAATGCTAGAAAAAAAGAAAAATGTTGAAATTTGCTATTGTCTTCTTGATTTTTTTAAAGCAAATTCCCATAAGAGAAAGATAAAATTAGGCAAGGATATATCAATATGCAGAAATAGATGAAAATGAATTTAGATTTTCTAAAGAAGGTACTCTTTACCTGCATCTTGCAGTGCAGTTTTTGTTGTTGTTTTTGTTTTGTTTTTTATAATTTGAAAACTTACAGGATTGTCAAAGAAAAAGGAAAGGAAAAAAAGCCAAAACCTGATGTCAGAAATTGGATAGTTAACTGATATTGCCTTCCCATTCAAATTTTCATTGAGATGGTAGAAACAGGTGTTCTAAGATAGAGAACAGTAGGTAATAGACTTGAATTTTCCTGCTTGTGACATTACAATGGTGGGGTTCAAAACACACCACCTCTAAATATGGTATCTTGCCATTTGAGAAAACAGCAGAAGCAGAAATATCACTTTCACCTTCCCCTTGATCCTTTTCTGCTGAAGTATGCCTTAAAACACAGCTGACTTTCCTCTAAAGTAGGTCATAAGACCTTCATTTTAGAAGTGTTTTTTCCTATTTTTGGGGAAAAGTAATATACTTTTTCTCTTCTGGAGAAAAGACACAAAGATGCCAAGAAGAATCTGATCCAACAGGCATTGTTAAGTTCCCTGTTTATTACCAGAGGATAAATAAATATTTCCACTTTATTGTCATTTAGTCAAACAATTTTTGTCTTTCAATCATATTTTTCCACAAAATATTTTCTATTCATTCATTAAACTTAGCATAAAAATATACATTTTTTCTGTTTCTTTGAGTCTTTTTTTCTGAAGGCTGTTACATATTAAAAATGTTATATTCAATAAAATTATATACTTTAACTCTTGTTACTCTTTTACTATAGGGGCCTCATTTATAAACCCAGTAATGGATGAGAATGTATGTTACGTTCCCTCTTCTGCCCCCCAGCAATATAAGTCTGTTGGCTTTGGTTATGTTTATGCATGGAATTGACCAAAAGCTAACTGGACAAGGAGACACAGACAATAAACTATAAATATAAGTAAGTTACATAATATTGCGGTAGGTGATGAATGCTTTGGAAAAATGTAGAAAGTATAATTATTGATGAGAGATATTAGGAGCATTAGGAGATAATGCTCCTAATATTGAATTTTTTAAAAAACATTTGGCCGGGCGCGGTGGCTCACGCCTGTAATCCCAGCACTTTGGGAGGCCGAGGCGGGCGGATCACCTGATGTCGGGAGTTCAAGACCAGCCTGACCAACATGGAGAAACCCCGTCTCTACTAAAAATACAAAAAATTAGCTGGGCATGGTGGCGCATGCCTGTAATCTCAGCTACTTGGGAGGCTGAGGCAGGAGAATCGCTTGAACCCAGGAGGCGGAGGTTGCAGTGAGCTGAGATTGCGCCATTGCACTCTAGCCTGGGCAACAAGAGCAAAACTCGGTCTCAAAAATAAAATAAAATAAAATAAAATAATAAAATAAAAATAAAAAATAATAAAAAATAAAAAAGATTGAAAATATTATATATTTATAAAAAGTTGACATTTGAAGAAAGACTTTAAGCAGACAAATGGAATTAGTTTTCTGAACATCAGGGAGAAGACTGTCCCTGTCAACGCAAAGGAGCAAAGGTGAAGTAGATCTATCCTGTTCATTGAGCCTTACAACAAGGAAGACAGCATGACTGCGGCAGTATGAGTAGCTGATGAGATTTGAAAGCAAATAATAAGGCATATTATGTAGGCACTTGTTGGTCTTTGCAAAGACTTTGATTTCCCCTATGTGAAAGGAGAGACCACCAGTGGGTTTTGAGTAGAGAAAGGGCAGAATCCAATTTGTCTTTCAAAAGAAACTTCCTGGCTGCGATCTAAAGATTAGGTTATACGCAGTCAAGAAAAGCAGCAACGGCACCAGTTAAAGTTCTACAGTAATCCAGGAAAGAGAGGATAAGTTGGTAGAACTGGAAGTAGTGCAAAACATCAGGTTCTAAATATACTTTGATGGTAGAGGTCATAGTTTTCACATTTAAAAAAAAAATGAGAAAATATGAGTGTAACCTCAAGACTTGTTGCCTGAGTAACTTAATATTGACTTGTGTTTCACTTAGATGAAGAATATCATGAGTAACAGCTTGGGCACTGGGATAAGTAGGAGTGGAAAGGGGTTATACTTTTTGTTCACCCATCATAAAACTCACGGCCAAAATTACTGTAATAAAAAAACAGGTTAATAAGAGAAAATAATAAGTTTATTTAACTAAAGTTTTATGTGACATAGAAGACTTCAGAAGTGAAAAGCCTGAGAAAACTATTTTATGCTTAAATTCCATGAATAATAAACAGTCATTGATATGGTTTGGTTTTGTTCTGTATCCCCACCCAAATCTCATCTCAAATTGTAATCCCCATGTGTGGAGGGAGGGTCCTGGTGGGAGGTGATTGCATCATGGGGACAGATTTTCCACTTGCTGTGGGTTCTCACAAGATCTGGTTGTTTGATAAGTGTCTAGCGCTTCCCTTTTCTTGCTTTCTCTCTCCTTCCGCCACGTAAGAGGTGCCTTGCTTCCCCTTTGCCTTCCGCCATGATTGTTTCCTGAGGCTTCCCCAGGCATGGGGAACAGTGAGTCAATTAAACCTCTTCCTTTAAAAATTACCCAGTCTCAGGCAGTTTCTTTTTATAGCAGCATGAAAACAAACTAATGCGGTCATGTAGAAATGTGACTGACAAAATGTATAATCTACTAGTAATAGGCTGAGTGGGGAAGCCCAGGAAGGCCTTTATATTCAGATACTTTTTGGTCTGCCTGTGTAATATTTTTTTTGCCCCAAGTATAGGGCATGACCTTTCTGTAATGAGGGTCTTATTACCTACTTTTAGACAAGATAGGTCACAGAATTTCCTTATGGCCAGCTCTCATTCAGAAAGGTGGGGAAAAGTGAGAGTAAACCTTCTTGCTTCTGAGGCCCTCCTCATCTTCCTTGGCTTAAAATACTTCAGGGTAGCATTTTCTGAGTCCCAACTGGTATAAACGAGAAAGAAGAGATAATGCTCATATGGATATGCTAGGTTTTAGAAATCTGTTAGATGTCCAGGTGGATGTGTTAGTTAAACTATTGGATATGCTTATTTGAATTTGAGGAGAGAGGACAGACTGGAGATATATATATATATTTATATATATATATATAAATATATATATAAAATATACATATCAGATATATTTGATATATATATATCTGATATATATATATTTGGTGTTTGGCAAATAGATGATATTTAAGTCCTTAAGACTGGATGAGATCATGCAGGAGTTACTACAGATAGGAAAAAGAAAAGGGGAATAAAGGAATTAGCCCTAGAATACTACAATATTAAAATATAAAGGAGAAGAGAAGAAAACCTGACAGGAGGCTATGATGGAGTGATCAATGAAGTAGGAGGAAAACTATTAGTGTGGTGTCCTGAATATGAAATGAAAAGAGGTTTATTAAAGAGGAGTTCCTTGATGTAGCCAAACTGCAAAATCTGGAGGCATAATCCTTCAAAACTATCCTCACTCAGGAAACGAACTGTTAAGTGCGGGGGGTTCCCCAAATCCCTTTAAGTATGACAGTTCTCTAGGAGTACTCACAGTACTCTCTGAAAGCTGTTATATTCATTGTCATGTTTTGTTACAGGGACAATATACATTAAAACCAGCCAAAGGAAGATGCATAAGGCAGAATCTGGAAAGGTTCCAAGCATAGTTTTTATTGTCATTAGGGCACATTACTCTCTGGAATTGATGCATGACGATATGCACAGTGTATTTACAAGCAGGGAAGCTCACCAAACCTCAGTCATTCCTTCATTTTGTAGGAATGACTGATTATATGATTGTCTACTTGGGGAACCTATTTTCTAGCCCTAAATCCCTAGAAATTGAGCTGATAACAAGGCCCACTATAAATCACTTTTTTATCATAAATTATTAGGTGCAGTTCTAGATGCCCATGATCAATAATAAAGACACCCCCATCACTCAGGAAATTTCAGGCTCTCAGAGGTTATCTCTTGCCCTAGCAAGGGCAAAAGGCTAGACTTCTCTTTGGGCAAGTCCAAATTCATTATTACACATGGAATGAGTGGTTAAATAGGTCAAACGCTGCTGAAATGTCACATAACTATTGAAGAAACATAGCATTTTTATATGCTGGTAGTAATGATCTTTTAGGAAGTAAGTGTTGACAATGTAAAATGGAATAGAAAGAATTTCTGAAGGAAAAGTTTTGAGTAGATAAGATCAGAAAAGACCTAACCCCAAAGAAGATCAGATAAGACCTAACTCCAAAGTAGAAAGACTGACTATAGACAGGGGCATGACATTTCACCCAAGCTAAGGTGAAAAGCACAGTAGGTGGTTGCAGATACTGAAAGATAGATTGATGTGGTGGAACTCTGTAGACATTCTTTTCTGATTACTATAATCTTTTTCACTAAAGTATGAAGCAAATTCATCAGAAAAGAGTTAAGATGGAAGAAGAGGTGTTAAACATTTAACAAGAAGGGTCTGGAAAAAGACTCCTGGAAGTACAAGAGAGCTAATGGATTAAAAATAGTACATTGTGTTTCCCATCATCCATAAAGGCTTAGTTGAAGTTAGTCATTATAAATTTATATGCTCTAATCATTGTGATTTTCAGGTTTTCCTCCAGCAAAATTTAGATGCATTATGCAGGTGTGGAGTGGGAGGAGAGTTGGATTTACTAGGATTGTGGTTTTGCCAAGCATACAAGTTTTCATCATTTGGCTTAGCCTTTCTTCTCCATTCTAGATTCATAATCTGCATGTTTAACCTTTAATTTGCATCCAGAGAGGTTGATCCCTATGGATGGTATCACTAGGGATCCTTTGTAGCTGACATTAGATTGAGGTTCAATCAATGGAAGGTTCTAATAGGAGACTGGGGGTGGGAGGAAAAAAAAATATCAGATTATCTTTATCTGCACTTCCTCTGCTCTGGATGATCTTTCCTGTAAGCAGCAATGTCTTTGTCACATTTCTAGTTCCTAACGTATCAATCTAAAAAAGGACACTAGATAAAATTATCTCTAAATATGTTGGGCTTACTCAGAAATAAGAAATAAGGATTATAAAGTGTGCTGATTCACAGCTTAATCCCTATGATTTTGGAGGCCAAGGTAAGAGAATCACTTCAGCCCAGGAGTCCAAGACCCTGTCTCTAACAAAGTAAGTAAAAAACACACACAGAAAAAACAATTATCCAGGTGTAGTAGGACACGCCTCTAGTTCTAGCTACACAGGAGGCTAAGCTGAGGCAGAGGCATCACTTGAGCCCAGGAGTTTGAGGCTGTGGTGAGCTATGGTAGAGCTACTGCATTCCATCCTGGGCAACAGGTCAAGAACCATCTTTAGAAAAAAAAAAACAAAAAAGATTATGAACTAGAATGCAGAGAATGGCAGATGCCGCCAGTACACTCAGCGAGGGAAGGATAAGGGGAGCTTTTCTTTGCAAAACGAGATTTTCATAAGCTGCTTAGAAAGAGTTCATTGGTTCCGGAGGCTCAAAGTCAGAGTTGTCAATTCTTTAGTGGAGACGCTGTTACTGAGCAAGGGTTCTTTCAAGAACATCTTATCTGAATTACTACAGTCCTAATGAATGTCTAGTGATAGACCTTATCAAAATAGGATATGTGTGAAGGATGTTAAAACATTTTTAAAAAGTCCTTGGAAACCATTCTTATCTCAGACATGTTCATGAGCCTCCTCTCTTGCAGTCCTTCCCCTTCTGGATCTATTTTGTCTGGGTGTGACAAAAGTGATTTTATCATGGTATCTGCAACTTTCACATTTCCCCCTTTTGATCAAGATCTTTCTCCAAAAGCATCATTGATCAATTAGCATTAGTTAGGTTTTAAGTGTTCCTCAGTGCTGGGCTGGACTTTTTCAAGTAAGTTGGTCTTGTTCCGCATTGAAGAAAGGTGATTAACAGCTTGAAGTCAGTGTCAAAACTCTTGTAGCTACATTTGAGCAACAAAAAGGCCAGAAAGAGAAGCTTTTAGAATTAGTTTGTCTGAATTTTATATTAAAATTTGATTTTGTCTATTTCATAGACATTGGCTATCATTTCAAGCACTAGGCTAACATTATTTTGTAAGGAGTTTTATTTCTAAAAAGATTTTACAGACAACACGTACAGAGTTTAAAATAAAAATACAAAGCATAAACAACAGCAATATGACAAGTCCAGTTTTCATGATGGTTTTGAGCCATGACCCTTGACTTAAAGGTAACTAACTGAATAGATCAAATGATCATAGGGAACTGAGCGAGACTTGTTGTAGCCAGGTATGCTGTTTTCTTATTTTACATAACTGAGTCTTAACTTCCCCAGAGGAGTTTACTTAGGTAAAGCATGCAGTATTAGCAATGGCACAAACATTACTTTGATTAGCTAATAAATAATCAAGAGCGACTCTGTTATCTAACACTACCCTGTCTAGAAAAGCTAATGAGTGCTGCTGTGCAACAATGGCCTTTGCAGTGGAGTCTGCAATAGGGTAGCAGATACATTTTTTATCATTTCTTCCTTAGCAGAAACATCATACCATGGCACAAAAGATCTGCAAAAGGAAGAAAATCCAGCGTCCTGTAACCCACTTAATGACTCATGGTTAACTCTTTGATGTAGTAAGAGGGTCTAGTCCAATGATTATCCAAATGATAATTTTTAGAACTATTATGTATTGACAAAAGAACAATCAGATATTCCAACCCACATTAACCTTCTGCTATCCAAGTGTCTAAACATCTGGAGCCCCATATTGAGGTATCTCACCCATAAAAGTAAATGTATATGATAGTAGTACAGAAAATTCTTCCATCTATGAATTTTCTATGGATGGTAGAATGAAACCAGGAGTCAGTTACATTACTAAATATTGCTATTAGCCCTTTCTTTTGCAGTTGGTCCATATATATATTTTTTCTTTTTACATATGTTAGGAGGACCCAAGGAGGTTTCCCCCGGGACTACAGACTGAGAAATGCAGATGAGGACATCCTCCTTCTAGGGAGAAAATAAAGTTAAGAATTAGAAGAGAGAAAAGGGCATACAGGCCTGGCCAAGGTATCTTGGGGAAAAAAAAACCATCTACTCAGATGTTGTCTACTTCAAGTCCTAGATATTTTAAGACAATTTCTAGTTTTAATTTGTTGATAAGAGTACAGGCTCACTTAAGAGATAATAGATTTTTAGATGAGGTACATGTATCCAGCAATCAGTTTCTTTAAGCTTGGCAGTGCAGATGTTTTTTTTTTTTAACAAATGTGACATGGGCCTTTCCAGTGAAGTTGGAGGGAGTCTTTTCCAGTAGACAAAATACCATGATTGTAGGTTATAATGTTCTAGTTCTTTGTCCCCTGGGAGCACACTTTGGAAAGATTGTTCTACCAGAGTATAATTTTTATCTGTAGCCTTAATTATAACTTTATAATATTAAAGCATTTCACCTTCTATTAATTTGGGGTCAAAAGAAGTTGGGGCCAAATGCATAGGGAGTGCAGTAATTATCTGAAATAGTGAGAGCTTATGTAATCAAAGGGAGTAGTGTCTAAGTTCAAATTCACTATACATAGGGCTTTTGGCCATGGCACGTGTAACACTCCCAAAAGCTTTTCAAATTGATTCTTAAGAGTGCTATTGTTATGTTCAACTAGTATAGAGAACTGAGGATAATTAACACAATGAAAGTTCTGTAAGATTGGTTAGAAACCACACTCTTGTTTGATAACTTGCCTGGTAAAATTAGTTTCTCAGTGACTGTGGAGCTTAAGGGGTAAAACTCCAGGTAGAATTTTTTTTTTTTTTTTTTTTTAATAATAGGACGTTAGCCATTCCAGAAGTGCTTGCTCATCTTCAGGAAAAGGTTTCAACCCAATAGGAAAACATATAGATTAAAAACTAAAATATAATTGTATTAATGTGAAGGAGATCGGAGATCGATGAATAAAATCCATCTGCTAATTCTCAAATGGCCCATTATGGTGGTTAAAATGGCCTGGGGCTGTACATACTTGCTTTCTACGATGAGGGGGGCAGGATAAATAAACATTTTTCAACTGCGGTGTTGACCTTGCCCTATCAGTATTTTTTCATAAAAGTAATAATCTTTTCTGTAGTCTAATGACTTAATTATGTACAGTATTTAATAACAAAAATTTCATGGGGTCTGGAAGAAAGGTTTTTTGTTGTTTTTGTTTGTTTTGTTTGTTTGTTTTGGCTAAAACCAGAGTTCCTCTTTATCATTAAAGCAGCAGCTGTTATTTTTCCAATTTGGGTTTTTTGTTTTATTTTCTGTTTTTGGCCTCTATTGCCCAATTCTGTGCATCTTTAGTAATTATTTTAAATTCATCTCTTAGGAATCTTTCTAGTTGGGTCATGACAAAGATTTGATCAGAAGGATCTTTAAGGGCACCATTCTTTGTTGTGTTATTAGCCAGGTAATTTCCTCTAGTTCCCATAGCGTCTGGTTTTGAATGGCCTAAAAATTTGATAATGGCTAGAGGGCGGATAGCTGTATTACATCTAATAATTCTGTTATATACAATCCAATTCTTTATTTTGTCTTCACTGGAAGTAAGGAAACCTCTTTGTTTTCATAACATTCCAAAGTCATGAGCAATTCCTAAGGACTACCAACTGTCTGTGTAATCATTAACAGTCTTCCTCAGCAAGGAGACAGGCTTGAGTGGGGCAATTAGCTCTGCTTGCTGGGCTGAAGAGGCTAAAGGCAAAAGAGCTGCTTTCACCACCTCAAAGGCATTAGTGATTATAGCGCCTGCACAATACTTGCCAGAGTCATTTTGTAAATATGAGCCATCCGTAAACCAGGACAACTAAGCATTACCTAGGAGACTCTCTTGGAGATCCTCCCGAGGTCTATCAGAGTTAAGCAGTCATGTGGTGCCTCTCTTGAAGGATATGGCACAAGAGTTACAGAGAGTTAAGGTTATTGCAACATGGGTGATATAAGAAGTAGCAAGTAGGAGAAGTTCATAAGAAGTAAATCAACTAGCAAAGGATGCTATATTAATCTGTTATCACGCTACTAATAAAGACATACCCACAACTGGGTATTTTATAAAGGAAAGAGGTTTAATGGACTCACAGTTTCACATGGCTGTGGAGGCTTCATAATCATGGCGGAAAGCAAAGGAGAAGCAAAGCCATGTCTTACATGGTGGTAGGCAAGAGAGCTTGTGCAGGGGAACTCTCATTTATAAAATCATCAGATCTTGTGAGACTTATTCACTACCACAAGAACAGCAGGAGGGAAATTGCCTCCATGATTCAATTATCTACACCTGGCCCCACCCTTGACTTGTGGGGATTATTACAGTTCAAGGTGAGATTTGGGTGGGGACACAGCCAAAGCATATCAGATACTGAGTGAGATGTGAGTTTAAGATAGCTTACTAGAGAGTGATGTTGGTCCCTATACTTTGGGTTAAGATTCCCAATGTGTTTCCTTTCTTTACATATATAAAGAGGAAAAAAAAGAGATTTTATAATTAAGATGCCCTGGAGCTGAAAAATGTACCAATTTTTCCTTTGGTTTAAAAACTTTTCAGATTTTGCCCCTAAAGAGACAGATTTGATTCAGCAGTGATGGGTGGCATTATTTTTGGTTTTTGAACAGGCAATGACATAACAAAGGAGGAAATTTGGGAAGTCAGAAGACTCCAAGGTTGAGTCAGCACAGTTTGCCTTGTCAAATTCTAAAATTATTTCCCTGTTCTGAGGGAAAAAAAGTTCTAACATAGTATTTTTCTTGAAAATCAAGTCCAAGGAGGAGGTAGATAAGGAAGAATTAACAAGCAAAAAAGGGACAAGTGCCTTGGAGAGGGACAAGTTAG
This sequence comes from Homo sapiens, assembly GCF_000001405.40. NCBI lineage: Eukaryota > Metazoa > Chordata > Mammalia > Primates > Hominidae > Homo > Homo sapiens. The sequence goes on along the minus strand of NC_000004.12, from coordinate 32,025,074 downwards.
AAAGGGATGGGCTGGGAAACAACAACAGCTAAAAGCTTGTTGGAAACTCCCATATGTATCTTTTTATTAGCCCAAGGCATGGGCTGACTGTGGCTGGTGGGGTTAAAAATTGATACTCTTGCTCCAGTATCTGTAAGCACAACGACCTCATTCCCAACTTGAAGAGTGGTTTCACCTAGATGACTGAGGGAACTGGGAAGAGCCCCTGTAGTCCCTGGTGCCTGAACAGGCAGACTGAAGAGTTGTCTCCAGGTGGGGAAGAAGGGTTGGGTAGCTGGGAAATGTAAACAATACTTTTTGAGGAGTAGTAAATTACTAGGGAGAATAAATGTGAGGTAGGAGACTGGCAGAACTTGTTTCCTGGTCACAATCTTGCTGATCAAAACAGGATCTGTTCCAGACAGGATAAAGAGAAGAAACTGGCAGGAACAAGTGGATGGAGATGAAAGTGATCCTTAGCTGCTCTCATTGCTCATTGACATAAGACACTCCCACCAGCACCATGACAGTCAGGCATTGCCATCCCTCTCTAAGGCAACAACCCAGAAGTTATTGCCCCTTTCTGAGAATGTTCTAAATAGCCAGACCCTCAGTTCGCATTGACATACCCTTAATTTACACGTAATTGAGAGTGTTCTTTCCTGAGTATAAATACAGTTGCCAAGAGCCCACACATTGTTCACTCTGGGCACACGGCCTATGAGGTAACCTTTCTCCACAAGGAGCAGTACCATTTAATAAAAATTGCTATCTAATGTCATCAACTCACTCTTGAATTCTTTCCTGGGCAAAGTGAAGAAACCTCCCAGGCTAAGCCCCAATTTGAGGGCTTGTCTCTCTTCATCAGATGAACCTGGGACATGGGAGGCAGACATTAAGAGAAGGTGAAAGGTGAAGTTGCACAAGAAAAAAAGGCTTTTTTATTATGTAGATAAAGCACCCCAGGTAATCTCTTGGAGCTGCCCTTAGAAAAATAGATTAAAAAGTGTGTTTGGGTGTGGTAATAAATTCCAGTCTTTTCTCTTCTACAGTGGTTGATCTTTCCTTGTTATTTGATGAGATCTCTAGGAAGAGGACTTAAGGCAATTGCATTTCTTTTGGAAAGAGTTTCTTGAACAGAGAAAAAAATTTCAAAGGGAAACTCTTTCTGAGTTTGGTGTGATCCAGGTGAGATTAGAAGGACCTTGGTTCTAAGGCTGCTGCTAAGGCCTTTTAGCATCTTAAAGCACCAGTCTTTAGGGTTATCACTTTGTGAAACCCAACAGAATCATATAGTATGTAATCTTTTGAGACTGGATTTTTTTACACTTAGCATAATTTTCTGGAGATTTATTAAAGTTGATGAGAAAGAGATTTTCTGGCTTTTTTGGCACTCTCTTTTCCAGTGGCCTGGTTTCTTATGGTAGTAGCCTGGCCGAGGATGCTTTTTCCTAGTGTTATGTCTGGGAAGCTCCATCTGCTGTAATAGGAGATTTAAAACTTGAGTGGTTTTCTCTGTATTAGTGTCCTCACAGGTGCCAGCAAGCTGATTTGCCAAATTATCTAGATCAGAAGTAGGTATGGTTTTCCATTCTATCCAGGCTCTTTGGACAAGCTGAGAGAGTACTCCAGAAAGGAGAACTGTAATTCTGCTCACAAACAGAATAAAAGGCTACTTGAATAGATTCAACATCTATAGGTAATTCATAATTTTCTCTAAGTACAACCTGGATTTGATATAATTTTTTTTAAACATGGCCTGGAGTACAACTGTAATGGCTGGAAAGTGGCTCATTAGGTTCTTAAATATGGGAATGGATTTTATTGCAGTCTAAATGTAACGCCTAAGGTTCTTGCCTAGCCACGCCAAAGAATTGGTGTGGCGGTTGACCCCGGCGAGTGATAGAGACACGGACCAAGAGAGAGAAAAAGCTGTAGGCTTTATCGAGCAGAGTGAAAGTACAAAGCTTCCACAGTGTGGAAGGGGTCCCGAATGGGTAGCCAGAGTTAGATTATATGATTGCTTTTTAAACTCCTTAAGGTGGGAAATACCTGAGGCGGGAAGATGTTACTAGAGCAAGAAACAAAGACAGTAAATTATTTTGTGACATGTCTTAGATTTGGACGAAAAATGGAATTGCAACTTAGGTTTCATCTACTTTATGACCTTGCAGAGGCACAGCAAAGGAGACAGGATCTTACAGGACTTTACAAAGTATGTTTACAAGGAATTGGAATTGGAGTATAGATAAGGTCCGCTGGTCACAGAAAAACGGGCAGTTAACATTTCTTTTAGTTTCGGGGGAGGGGGAAGGGAGAGAGGGAGAGAGGACACAGGGAAACTTACAGCAAAATTTTCGCTGTTCACAGCTTTCTTGGGGAAGAAAACACATGCACAAATCCTGGTATTAGGAATATTTTAAGCATATATCTTCACTATTATTCATCCAAGACTGAAGTAAGTCCTGATGCAGGAAATGAGTGACTTTCACAGCTTTCTGATCCAGAACTCGACTCAGTAAGCCCAGCTGGCACCTCCTCTCATAAAGTTTTTTTTTTTTTTTTTTTTTTTTTTTTGAGACAGAATCTCGCTCTGCCACCCAGGCTGAAGTGCAGTGGCACGATCTCATGAAGTTTTAAGAAAAGCCTCAAGAATGGCCTCATGGCCTCATGGAAGTTTTTGCTATGCCTTCAGTTCTGTCACAGTCTTTAGAGGTGTTTTTGTCTAACTCTCCCTCAGGATCACACCAAAAAGCCTTGGTCATTCAGCATGGTGCCTGACCTTCAGCAAATATGTGAGTCAACTGGTATAGATCAGAAAACCGGGGGATGATAGGCCTGACTTACTATCTTGAGTTACTCAGCAAATTGGGGAGGGCCCTCAGTGATCCTTGGAAATTCCCTGGCAATGGCTTGAAGTTAAGCTTGCATAAAAGAAAAATGGGAATTTGAGGTTTAGAAGAATTATCAGTGAGTTTAACTTTAAAATAACAGGTTTTAGCAGACCAAAGAAGGATAGAGAGGAAGAACAGAGGAAAGAGAAGGAGATGTCTCTTCTAGAGAGGACAGAGTCTGGACCTAAGGCCTTCCTTAACTGTTTCTTTGTCTCAGTTAATTTTGAGATAACATATTACTACTCTAATAATTTACACGAGATAACAAAAGCCCAGATTGTTTTTTGTTTTTGTCATTGTTGTTAATTTTTTATTTGACAAATATCCCAGACTAGTTAAATGACAGAAAATAGAACTAGAACTAATGACTTCTTATTTTAAGTTCAAAGTGTGTGTGTGTGTGTGTGTGTGTGTGTGTGTGTTGAATGATACCCTGCTTCCTTATCAAAGGACAGAGACACATTGTCTCTGTCATAATGGTAGAGTAGTCCAATATTCATGACAAACAACCAACAGGAAATAAAGAGGAGCTCAGATTAATTCAGTTTATTTCGGGCCCTTTTTGAATAGTAGAATTCTTTTCAATATTTCTACAGTGCCTCTGTGTGTTTTGTTTTCAATTGTGCTCAAATGGGTCAACCTCTATTTTCATAGTTATTACATTCATACCTCAATCACAGAGATTAAAATAATTAAAAGCACCTATAAAGTCTTAAGTTCATAAATCACTTCTGACACCATAATTATGTACATAAGAGACTACTGCCAAAATTAAATCCCTATGTCTCCATGTTTTTGTCTGAAATTCCTTTGTCTAGTACTAAGGAGTTAAGAAAAACAACAACTTCTACAATACTTCCTACAAAAAACAACCCCACAAAAAACATCTACTTTAAACAGGGTTACTGTGATTAAAGATGCAAATTTTTTTTTTTTAATTTAAAAACTAGGAACTGAGCTACCTATACAGCTTATTTTAATTGAATGTTTATTTCTCTTTCTATTCAGTCTCCTGGTGACCAATTGAATTGTCAGAAGAAGGCATTTTATGTACAAAGTGTTTATCTCAGATAAAAAGGACTATTCAAGCAGACAACAGAAATAAATAATGCCTGATGAATTCTATCTACTGAACTAATTCTCATTTAGTGGTAACTCTACGGTCTACAAAAATGAAAATGATTGTATAAGTTAGTTGATATATTACTGTATTGCTTCTATTCATTGTTTCTGAACTATGGAAAGTACTGAAATGAATGCACATTTGTGGAATACAAAATGCAAATCAACCTAATTTGGAAGTAGGATAAACAAATTAGAGAGAGTTAATTGCTTTTTTTAATGTAGCATGGTTGGTTTAGGACTTCTTACTCAAAGACATACTATAGCCTAGAACTTTTATGTGTTTTTTAAAAATCTATACTCTAGAGTTTTGGCGGAAGAAGTAATTTGGGTGCTAGTATGGGCATTCTATTTTGATGACTAAACTCCCAAAGCTCACAATGTGGGTATCACCACAGTCCATGGTTTGGACTTCAACCTTTTAGGTATCAGGTTGCACCTTTACATTTATTCAGCGTTAATAAGACTTAAGAAATTGAACAAATAATTATCTCTAGAAGAGTTGAAGTTAAAAGAAAAGATTACCTATTTCTATGGGCTGACTTGTGTTCTCCGAAAATTCATATGTTAAAACTCCGATCACCAATACCTCAAAATGTGACAGTATTTGGACACAGGTCTTTAAAGAGGTGATTAATTTAGAATTAGGCCCTTTGGGTGAAGCCCTGATCCAATATATTTGATGCCCTCATAAAAAGATAAGACACTAGTGGCACTGGAGCACAGAGAACTTGTAAGGATACAAAATGAGGTGGTGGACATCTGCAAGCCAAAGAGAGGGGCCCAATAAGAAATCAACACTGTTGACACCTTGATCTTGGGCTTGTCATCTCTGAAACTGTGAACAAATATGCCTCTGAATTTTTTTTTTTTTTTTTTGTAGACATGGAGTCTTGCTTTGTCGCCCGGGCTGGAGTGCAATGGCATGATCTCGGCTCACTACAACCTCCGCCTCCCGGGTTTAAGCAATTATCTAGCCTCAGCCTCTAGAGTAGCTGAGGTTACAGGCATGTGCCACCACGCCTGGCTAATTTCTTTTGTATTTTAGTAGAGATGGGGTTTCACCATGTTGCCCAGGTTCGAACTCCTGAGCTCAGGCAATCCGCCCACCTCGGCTTCCTAAAGTGCACGTTTCTGTTTTTTAAGCCACCCAGCCTGTGGCATTTTATTATGGCAGCCCTAGAAAACTAATACGTGCATTAATTGTTATAAAATGAGATTATAAATATAAAATGGAACAGATCATATATCTTCTGACCAGCACATTTTTCTGTAAAAGAAATTTACACAGGCACCAAGGAAGTAATCAGACAATAGATTCTTAGTTACATAAATAATTAAGGTTTTTTAAATTTTTAATTATTTGAACCAGGAGAGCCCAGTTTGAGGCTCACAAATTGAAGTCCAATAGCAGATGCAAGTCAGTGATGATCTTTGGAGAAAAGACAACATTAAAAATCTAAAAACACATTGTCTTGCTAAATGTCCTCAAGGAACTGTACTATCATCTCAATGTTATCATCTGTCTTTCACTTAGTGTATATGATTTTGTGGGCATGAGTTTGGATGTGGGTGAGAATGGGCTGTAGTAAATTTCCAAATACTTTTTTAACAGGGAAAATAGAAGAATCCTCTGCTGGCCTCTCCCTTGTCTAGTTTATTTGTTCTTGTGTATCAAGAGTTCCTTTGGATCCAAGCAAAAAATTTCCAATTAACAGTAATTAAACTTATAGTAGTTTAGTTTTCTCATGTAACAGATGCACATCCTAAACTTAGGATGCTTTTTTATCCTAAACTGATAAGTTTGCCTTCAAATGATTCTAATATGATTCATTTTCTTTTTCTAGGCACAAAAATCAGGGAAAGACTAACAATAAAAGGCTTTTTAATAACATATCTTATAAGGCACTCTCTTACTAAGCAATTCCACATATATCCCATTGTTCTTAATTGTGTCACATGGTGACCCTCGTTTGAAAGATTTTCAGCCTCAGTAAAAGAAGATAAGAGAAAAATGGTTGTTGAGGACTTAAAATAGCCAATGGACAGACTGTGTCAGCCAACCCATGGAAGGAAATAGCCTGTAAAACTCTATCCAACACATTTAATCTTCCCAGGGAGACATTTTTGCTAATGGGACCAGTTGAGTTCTATGCTTAAACTCTTATTGAAATTATCTCTGTGGTTGCAGTTTGCTTTACATCTAAAAAGTAGCTTTCTTCGATTTTTTTGATAAGCTCTTTCTTGCATCTCTTCAGATCCATGTTTTCTCTCTTTAAATATATAAATGTATTTAATTAGGTTGAAGTAAAATATTACTAGGGTGAGAAGTCATTCTGCTTTGTTAAATTTGAGTTCCATTATTGCTACTGAGACTCATTCTGTGTTGACTTAGGGTAACTGTCATAAGCCTCTCTAAGTGAGAAGATCACTTATACACTGTGAAGTGGGTAAGACTTCACCCACTCGCAATCTAACAAGTCAGCCTGGCACAGTTTTAAGGATGCTGCAGAATAAACGAAACCACTGGGTTAGAGACTTTTGACAGTCTATTTCTGACAACAAAAGCAGCAGCCAGAGTACCAGCACTTTTTTACACTGAATTCTGAAGTACCAATTTCCATGGAGTGACACAAAGAGGGACAGGGGATACTTAGGCAGGAGGTGGGTTTGTTATAGGTAAGAAACTCTGAGCTTTGGAAACTGGACTCTCTCATAATAGTCAGGAAGCATGCCTGTGCTTTGCTCTGGATGGAGTCACTATATCTTTCAAGGTGATTTGCAACATAAACATCTGTGAAAAGATAATCCAACACAAAGGGTACTTAGAACCATACTCCCAAGACTTGCAGATATGTGGATAAATGTAGCTTAATATAAGAGACCATCTTCTCTGAACTAAGCTTCTTAAAGGTAATGTGAGAAAGAGAGAATAAATGTAGAGAAGAAACTCCTAAATACCAGAAGACCAATAAAATTAATTACATATTTCTTAATGTTCATGAACATATTTTTAATTGCTTAAGAACAGAACAAAAATATCTCTTCAGAAAAATGGAGCTGGGCGCGGTGGCTCATGCCTGTAATCCCAGCACTTTGGGAGGCCGAGGTGGGCAGATCACAAGGTCAGGAGTTCCAGACCAGCCTGGCCAATATGGTGAAACCCTGTCTCTATTAAAAGTACAAAAATTAGCCAGGTGTGGTGGTGGACACCTGTAGTCCCAGCTACTCAGAAAAATGGAAACTAATGCCAATTTACAAAATGTCTGAAGATATTTTTTCCCCTAACTCGTATCCTTGAGTTAATGTACAAATACCAAATTTTGTAATAGAATAATTATATTTGTTGCTTTACAGTTCAATGAGAGGATAAGCTAAATAGAACTCTACAAATAGCTGGATGTAATAAACACTATATAACAGAATCTAACATGTAATTACTATATACCTGAAAATAAAAATATTTAAATACAAGAATGTACCCTTACTAGAATAATAAAGGCAAAATATCATGCTATTTTTATAGATATATTTAAATTAAATTCCTTCTTTGAACAATTTTTTTTTAATTTACTTAAATTTTGGAATACTAGTTTAGTCTATGAAGTAAAACTACTTAGGTAGAAAAGACAACTCTCTTTGATTTGGTTGCAGTATACACAATAGGCATATGCTGTATTCCATGTTATCCATTATATGTTATATGCTATATGATACATAATGTATTATGTATATTACTCCATATTTACAGCAGGCACCAGTCTTTCTTACTGGTCCTGAAGCAAATTGCTATGACTGTCTATGGAGAAGGCCATGTGGCAAGTAACTACTGATGTCCTCTATGTTATAAGACAAATTTCCAACCTACAGCCAGTAAGAAGCTGGAGCTTTCATTTATACAGCTACACGAAACCAAAGCAGATCCTCCCTACATGAAACTCCAGCAGAGAGGCCAACACCTTACTTGGAGCCTTGAGGAACCCTCAGCAGAAGACAGCATAGCAAGAGATAACTAACATAATCTCTATGCTCAGAAAAGATGCAAAACCCACAGAGGCCCATAGAGAATCTTCTCCCAACATTGCACTGAGGAGCTCTCAACTACACATATTATAAAAGTTAGTAACTTTCCCAGTTAAATAACAAGCTGTCAAATTCAATAAGACAACTGAAAAGAGGGCTCACAGAGTATAATTAGCTGTATTTTTCCTTTTTCCACACAAATGTTGTAACACTTCTCATTTGTAAGGTGTTATCATAGTATGTAACAGAAAAATAAGTGAGACATGGATAATGTATTAAAGAATTTTCCATCTAGTAACAGATATGAAATACTGTGCTACTCAATTGTTACATCCTTTGCTCAGACACAATCTTAGCCTCATATGTAGCTAAATGTGCCCATCTGTACACAATTGTCTAATGTTTCCAGTTCATACTTTTTTTTTTTTTACAGAAAATGTACTGTATTGAGTTCACATAAGGAAAAAAATCTTGTTTTTCTTAGCATCAAAATTTCCAATTACTCTTCCACTCTATTAGCTCAGTAAAAAGATGTGTTGGAGATGATCCTATCCTTGAAACACTTGGAATACAAGGGATAATCAATTGATTGGTGTGAGCTTTCCGAGAATCCTAGGTTATGCCAGTACCTATGCAGCTTTTGTTTTGCTCTGTGGCATATGCAAGCTGAAAGATAGCATTGAATTATTTAGTTATGAAGAACAACTCTAGATGCTATTTGTGGACAGGGAAAGGAAAATGTAAAAGGTGATGTAGTGATAGAGCTGGTGACCAGAGAATATCTCTTGAGAAGAGAAAACAGATTATTTATCCATCTGTCCATATATCTATCTAAACAACTATCGTCTATAATGTGTTGTCATATAGTGTACAAGGGAAATAAATTTTCCGTGTATTCCTTGACATTTCAATAAAATCTATGACTCTGGGAGTGATATTTTTAGGGAATAGACTACTTGTTAAGGTGTTACATTCTCCAGGTCAGTGCAGAGTGGAAAAAAAAAAAAAAAAAAAAAACACCATTGGGATCCCAGCTACATTTGAACTAAAATTTTAATGCACATTAAAATTTATGTGCCTGTCTCTAATCAGATAAATCAGAAATTCTTTGGAATTCTTTAGTATAATGTGTGTATTATTCATGTTTGTATGTGCTGCACCTGACACAGCACACTGCATGGTAACATGCATGTAACGTAATGAGCAATCTGTCGGGTTTTTTTAAATTTTAAATAAATAGGTAGATGAAGACTTTATAGCCAACTTCCAACAGAAGTATGGTATTGTGGCCATAGGTTAAATCAGAGACAAGCCTAGTTGTTGTCTTTTACATACATTGACTTCTACAGGTTTTCTTTTGTTTTCGTAAATCTTGATTATAAATATTTAACACATTGAATGTTTTAGCTATCATATTTTCTTAAGAATAACTAATATGGCTGGGCCCGGTGGCTCACGCCTGTAATCCCAGCACTTTGGGAGGCTGAGACAGGTGGATCATGAGGTCAGGAGTTCAAGACCAGCCTGGCCAACATAGTGAAACCCCATCTCGACTAAAAATACAAAAAATTAGCTGGGTGTGGTGATGGGCCCCTGTAATCCCAGCTACTCAGGAGGCTGAGGCAGGAGAATCGCTTGAACCCGGGAGGTGGAGGTTGCAGTGAGCCGAGATCATGCCATTGCACTTCAGCCCAGGCGACAGTGAGAGACTCTGTCTAAAAAATAAAAGAATAATTTCTCAGAGAACAAGTACAAATCAAATACCTGATATCTTGTTATATGATGTAATATTGTTTTAATTCATACAAAACAAGTATATTCTAATGTTGCAGAAAGTAAACTAAGTTAATACTGCAATCTGATTGGTATCAGTACTAAAGTATGTGACAGAACATAAAAATGTATTTGAGAAATCAAATCACCTGTCAGTGATTTTATTGAATTAATTTTTAAATTTTGCCAATTATATATTCATGTTCTGAAATACAATTTTCAGAACATGATCAAAACTTTAATATTTTACATGGCTTCTATTTGCAACCAAAACAGAACTGCTCTTAACTACTTAGTCAAGAGCAGTGTTTGTCTGCAAAGAAATTCCACTGTGCTGTGTTCACTCACAGGGATACAAAATCTAGATTATTCGCTATGGTCATGCTACAAAACAACAAAATATTTATTTTAATTGAAAAAATCTTTTTAAAAATTTGTTTCTTCTAAAAAGAAAACAACAGGATACATGTGCAGAACGTGCAGGTTTGTTACATAGGTATACGTGTGCCATGGTGGTTTGCTACACCTACTGACCAGTCCTCTAAGTTCCCTCTTCGTAGCCCCCACACCCCAACAGACCCTGGTATGTATTGTTCCCCTCTCTGTGTTCATGTGTTCTTAATGTTCAACTCCCACTTATGAATGAGAACATGTGGTGTTTGGTTTTCTGTTCCTGTGTTAGTCTGCTGAGAATGATGGCTTCCAACTTCATGTATGTCCCTGCAAAGGACATGATCTCATTTGTTTTTATGGCTGCATTACATTTTCTTTATCCAGTCTATCATTAATGGGCATTTGGGTTGGTTCCATGTCTTTGCTATTATAAATAGTGCTGCAATAAACATACCTGTGCATGTGTCTTTATAGTAGAATGATTTATAATCCTTTGGGTATATACTCAGTAATGGGATTGCTGGGTCAAGTGGTATTTCTGGTTCTAGATCCTTGAGGAATCACCGTACTGTCTTCCACAATGGCAGAACTAATTTACATTCCCACCAACAGTGTAAAAGCATTCCTATTTCTCCATAGCCTTGCCAACATCTATTGTTTCCTGACTTTTTAATAGTCGCCATACTGACTGGTGTAAGATGGTATCTCATTGTGGTTTTAATTTGCATTTCTCTGATAATCAGTGATGTTGAGCTTTTTTTCATGTTTATTGGCCACATAGATGTCTTCTTTTGACAAATGTCTGTTCATATCCTTTGCTTACTTTTTGATAGAGTTTTTTTTTTCTTGTAAATTTGTTTAAGTTCCTTGTAAATTCTGGATATTAGACCTTTGTCAGATGGATAAATTGCAAAAATTTTCTCCCATTCTGTAGGCTTCCTGTTCACTCTGATGATAGTTTCTTTTGCTGTGCAGAAGCTCTTTAGTTTAATTATATTCCATTTGTCAATTTTGGCGTTTGTTTCAATTGCTTTTGGAGCTTTCGTCATGCAGTCTTTCCCTTGCCAGTGTCCTGAATGGCACTGCCTAGGTTTTCTTCTAGTGTTTTTATGGTTTTCAGTTTTACATTTAAGTCTTTAATCCATCTTGAGTTAATTTTTGTATAAGGTGTAAGAAAGGGGTCCAGTTTCAGTTGCTGCTTATGGCTAGCCAGTTTTCCCAGCACCATTTACTGAATCCTTTCCCCATTGCTTGTTTTTGTCAGGTTTATCGAAGATCAGATGGTTGTAGATGTGTGGTGTTATTTCTGTAGTCTCTGTTCTGCTCCATTGGTTTATATATGTCTGTTTTGGTACCAGTACCATGCTGTTTTGGTTACTGTGGACTTGTAGTACAGTTTGAAGTCAAGTAGCATGATACATCCAGCTTTGTTGTTTTGGCTTAGGATTGTCTTGGCCTCTTGGGGTCTTCTTTGATTCCATATGAAATTTAAAATGTGTTTTTTTTCTAATTCTGTGAAGAATGTTAATGGTAGTTTGATGGGAATAGCATTGAATTTTTAAATTACTTTGGGCTGTATGGCCATTTTCATGATATTGATTCTTCCAATTCATGAAGATGGAATGTTCTTCCATTTGTCTGTGTCCTCTCTTCTTTCCTTGAGCAGTGAGTGGTTTGTAGTTTTCCTTGAAGAGGTCCTTCACATCTCATGTTAGCTGTATTCCTAGGCATTTTATTCTGTTTGTAGTAAGTGTGAGTGGGAGTTCATTCATGATTTGGCTCTCTGCTTTCCTATTGTTGGTGTAAAGGAATGTTTGTTATTTTTGCACATTGATTTTGTATCCTGAGACTGATGAAATTGCTTATCAGTTCAAGAAATTTTGGGGCTGAGATATTGGGGTTTTCTAAATATCAAATCATGTTGTCTGCAAACAAAGACAACTTGACTTCCTCTCTTCCTATTTGAATAACTGCATTTATTTATTGTTTTATTTTGCCTGATTGCCCTGGACAGAACTTCCAATACTATGTTGAATAGGAGTGGTGAGAGAGGGCACACTTGTCTTGTTCCGGTTTTCAAAGGCAATGCTTCCAGCTTTTGACCATTCAATACGATATTGTCTGTGGGCTTGTCATAAATAGCTCTTATTATTTTAATATGTGTCCCATCAATACCTAGTTTATTGAGAGTTTTTAACATGAAAGGATGTTAACTTTTATCTAAGGCCTTTTTTGCATCTATTGAGATAATCACGTGGTTTTCGTCTTTGGTTCTGTTTATGTGATGGACTAACTTGATTGATTTGTGTATGTTGAATGAGCCTTGCATCCTAGGGATGAAGCCAACTTGACGAAGCCAGCTTGACCATGGTGGCTAAGTTTGTTTACGTGCTGCTAGATTTGGTTTGCCAGTATTTTATTGAGGATTTTTGCATTGATGTTCATCAGGGATATTGGCCTGAATTTTTCTTTTTTTGTTGTGTCTCTTCCATGTTTTGGTATCAACATGATGCTGGCTTCATAAAATGAGATAGGGAGGATTCCCTCATTTTCAATTGTTTGGAATAATTTCGGAAGGAATGGTACCAGCTCCTCTTTGTATTTCTGGTAGAATTCAGCTGTAAAGCTGTCTGCTCCTGGGCTTTTTTTGTTTGGTAGGCTATTAATTACTGCCTCAATTTCAGAGCTTGTTATTGGTCTATTCAGGGACCCAAATTATTCCTTGTTTAGTCTTGGTAGGGTTTATGTGTCCAGAAATTTATCCATTTCTTCTAGATTTTCTAGTTTATTTGCATAGAAGTGTTTATAGTATTCTCTGTTGGTAGTTTGTATTTCTGTAGGGTCAGAAATCCCCTTTATCATTATTTATTGTGTCTATTTGATTCTTCTCCCTCTTCTTTATTAGTCTAGCTAGAAGTGTATCTACTTTGTTAACTATTATTATTATTTTTTTAAACAGCTCCTGGTTTCCTTGATTTTTTGGAGGGCTTTTCGTGTCTCTATCTCCTTCAATTCTGCTCTGATCTTAGTTATTTCTTGTCTCCTGCTGGCTCTTGGATTAGTTTACTGTTGCCTCCCTAGATCTTTTAATTGTGATGTTAGGGTGCCAATTTGAGTTCTTTCTAGCTTTCTGATGTGAGCATTTAGTGCTATAAATTTCTCTCTTAATGCTGCTTTAGCTGTGTCCCAGAGATTCTGGTACATTGTCTCTTTGTTATTATTGGTTTCAAAGAACTTCTTGATTTCTGCCTTAATTTTATTATTTCCCCTCCTAAGGAGTCACTCAGGAGCAGATTTTTCAATTTCCATGTAATTGGGTGGTTTTGAGTGAGTTTATTAATCTTGAGCTCTAATTTGATTGCACTGTGGTTGAGAGACTGTTATAATTTCCATTATTTTGCATTTACTGAGGAATGTTTTACTTCCAATTATGTGGTCGATTTTAGAATCAGTGCCATGTGGAACTGGGAAGAATGTATATTCTGTTGATTTGGGGTAGAGAGTTCTGTAGACATCTACTAGGTCCACTTGATCCAGAGCTGAGTTCAAGTCCTGAATATCCTTGTTAATTTTCTGTCTCATTGATCTGTCTAATATTGACAGTGGGGTGTTAAATTCTCCCACTATTATTGTGTGGGAGTCTAAGTCTCTTTGTAGGTCTCTAAGAACTAGTTTTATGAATCTGGGTGCTCCCATATTGAGTGCATATATATTTAGAATAGTTAGCTCTTCTTGTTGAATTGTTCCCTTTACCATTATGTAACGCCCTTCTTTGTTTTTTTTTTTTTTGATTTTTGTTGGTTAAAAGTCTGTTTTCTCAGAGACTATGATTGCAATCCCTACGTTTTTGTTTTGTTTTTTTGTTTTTTATTTTTTTGTTAGCTTTCCATTTCCTTGTTAAATTGTCCTCCATCCCTGTATTTTGAGCCTGTGTGTGTTTTTACATGTAGGAGGGGTCTCCTGAATACAGCACACGAATAGGTTCACTTCAGGCCTTATTCATCCAATTCACTCCTGTGCCTGTAGATACCATTCAAGGAGGCTGGAGAGCAGCAAAGACGAGTGCCTGCTCCTTCTTCTGGGACCTCTGACCTCGAGAGGGCACCAACCTGATGCCAATAGGATCGCTCTTGTATAGGGTGTCTAACAATCCCTGTTGGAGGGTCTCACGCAGTTGGGTGGCATGGGGATCAGGACTTGTTTAAAGAAGCACTTTGTCCCTTGGTGGAGAGGGTGTGTTTTACTAGGGGAAAATCCACTTGTCTGGGCTGCCTGGATTCAAGGAGGAGAGTCTAAGTCTGCTGGTCCACAGACTGTGGCCACCCCTCCCACTAGGGGCTCAGGCCCAGGGAGATCTGAATTCTATCCCTGAGCCTCTGGCTGGAGTTACTGGAGATCCTGCAGGGAAGCCCCGCCCACTGAGGAAGGATGAGTCAGGGTTAGGCCTGAAGAGGCCCTCTGTCCACAGACTGCCATAGCTGGTGTGTTGGGCTGTGGGGACAAGTCACGGGACCAAGCTATCCAGCCTCCCTGGCTCCAGCAGGGGAAAAGAGCAGCCTGGAGCTATAGAGATGGGTGCTTCTCCTTTCACAGAAGGAGCTTAGCGTGTTAGGCAGTTACAGGTCCCATTGCTGGTTACTGCCCCTCCCACAAGGAGCTTGAAAGGCTTAGACAGGGGGCAGCCGCAGCCAGTGCTGGTCGCCCTGCCGCCCGGGAGTTTGGTATTCTTCAGCAGAATCTAACTGAGATGCTCTAAGAATCTACACCTTCCAGGTTTGGGACGCTAGGCTCCGGTGGCATGGGTTCGCAAGTGGGATCTTCCGATCTTTGGGTTGCATAGTTCCGTGGAAAAAGAGCAGTTTCCCCAGCTGGGTAGCGCACTGCCTCACTGCCTCCCTGGGGAGGGTTAAGAGGGTTCCCCTTCCCCATGTGGCTCTCAGGTGGGCTGCTGCACCACACTGCTCTGCCTTCTTTCTGCGCCTTCTAGTCAATTTTGATGAGAGAACCTGGATACTTTGGTTGCTGGTGAAGGATTCACACGCTTATTATGTTTTTTTTTTTTTTTTTTTTTACAGTGGGAGCCTCCGATTCCTGCTGCTTCTAGTCTGCCATCTTTGCCACACCCCCAGAAAATTCTGAGTAATGTCTTTTTAAAATATAAGTGTAGTAGCATTATGATTTTATCGCAGTTTACACAAAATGACAAATATGTAACCATTGTTTGTATGAATTATATGCTATACAATAAATTATGGAAAAATATATGTTATATAATAAATGTTACATTAGATTTTACACTGTATTATAAATTATACATAATTTTATAGCAATTTGAATTACACAAGTATTTCTGTTTGCTGGTACTGAATACTGATCACAGAAGAATATAACTTCTGTTCTACATAAATCCATATAATATATCTACAACAAGATTTCAAGGAAAAAGACATTAATTTTTTTTTAGAAATTAAAGATTTTAACCCAAAGAGTTTATATTATGTAAACAACTTACAATAGAAGAGCTACAGACTCTAGAAAGATAGAATTTGTAAAAGAAAAGTACAGGATGTTTGTTAATCTTTGTGTTAGTTGTAATACTTTAGTGCAAGTCACCAAAATCCACTAAAACCATCTTGAGTACAAATGAGCTTTCATGAAAATAAAAAGGGATTTAAGTCTAATGAAAGCATCAGAACAGCTTCAGGAACCTTGGAAAAAAATGTTTGGACTGGAAAGTCCACAAAAGAAGTTATAGCACCAGGTTACTGTTGCTATGCCTCAACTTTAGCTCTTTCAAGAATTTCAAGTCTCGTTAAGTAAAAAAATCCTGAATAATAATAATAAAAAAAGCTGCAGCAATGGGTATGGTTATTTAGTAAAACAGCCACTGGAATTTTGTTCCACTATGTGTATCAAAGTTTTGTTTGTGTTTTTGTTTGTTGTGTCTATTAAATGTTTTGGCATATAGACAATGAAAACAATCCAGAGTTTACCTTTTCCGACATGGATATACGAACAAATAATTTCTCTTTTGAAGAAAAGGAAAATGAAAGTGAAGAGTGTTCACAGACAGCTTAGCTAAGATGCTTTGTTAAATGCAAACAAGAACTAAAATTTATTAGTGAGGATATTTGATTACAACGATGATTAAAATCTCTTTAGGTTTAGCTAATTATCTTTTAAATGGTATCCTATACAAAAGTTATGATTTCAAGCTCATGAAAAAGTTTACTAGGTAAATTCCCTAACTATATAGTTAAATAAGCTGAACATAATGGAATTAAATGATATGACTATGGTCATCCAGCTACTTAATAAAAGAGACATTAACATGAGATGTATCAGTTTGCCTTGAAATATGTAATGTATGTGCATATGCACACGTATCTTTAGTGGTTTTATTTCAGCATTTATACATATAAGCATCTACACAGGATAATATTTTGTCTAGAATGTTCAATTTGACATGTACTTCTGTATGAGTTCATTCTCATGCTGCTGTAAAGAACTGCCCAAGACTGGGTAATTTATAAAGGAAAGAGGTTTACTTGACTCACAGTTACACATGGCTGAGAAGGCCTTAATAAACTTACAATAATGACAGAAGGTGAAGGGGACAAAAGGCACCTACTTCACTGGGCAGCAGGAAGGAGAAGTGTCAAGCAAAGGGGGGAAAAGCCCCTTATAAAACAATCAGATCTCATGAGAACTCACCCACTATCATGAGAACAGCATGGGGGTAATTGCCCCCATGATTCAATTACCTCCCACCTTGTCCCTTTCTCAATATGTGGTATTATGGGAACTACAATTCAAGATGAGATTTGGGTGGGGATACAGCCAAACCATATCAACTTCTATGTTTATCAATTTCTATCATTTCCTAGTTTATTGTTATTATTGTCTATCAGTCTGCATCTATCTATTTATTATCTATCTTTCAACTTAATGTATTCTTCCATCTTATTAGACAAAATGTAAGACATGGAATGCAATAATATAGATGGTCAAATAGAAAATATATAAATATTATTATTTAGGAGAATATGGGAATTGAGATAGCTGTTTATTTTACTTTTGAAAAATCTTAAAATTGAGTTTAATTTTTTGTATGTATTCATATTGACATATGAATGTCATGCATGACTTTAAAAATATCTTTTTTTTCTTTTCTCAGCTATTCAATTTCTACTATACCAAAATTAGACTCCTCCTCCCGCTAAGGTAACCTATTTTAACAATATAGCATGTATCCTAATAACCAACTTTGTATTCTACATTTTTCAGTGCTCAAATTACCCTATGCAAATAAGAATGCGTGGTATGCATATACACATATATATTTATCTATAAACATGTGTATATATGTATACATAGATGTGTATATATATATATGTGTACACACACACCCACCCAGACACATATACAATAGATTCTTGTTATATGTGATAGTCATATTTTTATAAAGACACCACAAACACTGAAATCGTGAATACTAAACCATTGCTTTTAGCTGAAATACAGGGTTAGGTTCCTGCAAGCATCTGTTAACAACATTTTTATCAACCACTCAATACATAACCTTGTTTTATGTGTTTGTTTAAAGAAATCTTATTTAACCTATATTATTGCTTCATTAACATTGAACTCATAGCCAATAGCACTATACCTCATGCCCAAGAAAATCTTATCTAACACACTCCATAAGGCACATCACAACCATCTCACATTTTGGCACTCTTGGAAGGACTTTAGCCGTACATTTGGGTGCCATTTTAAACGGTGAAATCACCAAAAAAGCACACGTGGCACTAAATAAACCATGATAAGGATACTTGTTTACATTATGAGAGCTAAAACAAGAAAGCAGATTATTGTTTAGTTCAACTTCAAGTGTATCAGACAAGTCAAAAATTCCACCACTCTGTTCATGTCTGTGAAGAATTGTGAAAGTGACCTGAGTATCAATTTTGGGGTTAAAAATAAATTTTATGGACATGTATCTGCAGATACAGACTCTTCAAAAAATGAAGATTAAGTGTATTTGAACTACATATGTACACGTTTTCTGTTGCATAGACTTTTATGTGTAACTCTGTACAGAGTTTATTGTCTTTTTATTCTATAAAAATGGATGTCACTAGCTACATTAATTAGGAAGATTGCTCGTTGAACATATATACATATATATAACTTTAATAGATTTTATATTTCTTGTAAGCAATAAATGATATAGCTTTTAAAAATTTAAGATTTGCTATTCAAACAATATATTAAACTTAATTTTTAATTTTATAACAAAATTTGAGAATTTTTTCATATATTATTTGACTTTTGAATTTGATATTTTCTATGTATTTATTCATGTTCTTAGAGCATATTTTTCAACTTGACCATTTATTTTTTTCTGACAATTTGTAAGTAGTCTCATATGACACTGACAGTATTCCTTTGTCTATAATTTGTGTGACCAATTTTTTTGATATATGTTATGTTTATTGATTTTGGTTTTGATATATTGCCCAATGCAACTTCTATATTTTCTCCATTTATCAGTACCAATGGGTTAAGAGAAAAAAAATCTGCACTCTTTAATCAAAAGATAGGAAAGGGGATGACAGAAAGTCAGAAAATATTTATAAAATAATTCTGGTACAATTAAACTGCCCAGGAAACTATCTGGCTCCACCCATACCTACAATACCAAAGAGGAAGCAGAGAGCCTAGATTTCCACCCTTAGCAGACTATAATGAAGCACTCTCAACCTTCAACTGGCGTGGTGTGAGAAAAAGCTAAATAGAGAGCCAAGACTTTTATTCCTGCCAGACTATAACTTCTCTTCTCTCCCAAATTGCTTCCTCTGCTAGGAAAAGTGGTGACAACATGGGCATATGGACATTCATTCCCACCTTCAGCAGAGGGAGGATATGTGTTTTGAGAAATGGTACTAGAGCAATTCAACATAGAAGAAAAGAAGAGAAGATGAAGGAGAAGAGGAGGAAGAGGAAGAGGAAGAAGGAGGAGGAGGAGGAAGAAGAAAAAGAAGAAGGAAGAAGAGGAAGAAGAAGAGGAAGAAGAGGAAGAAGGAGAAGAAGGAGAAGGAGAAGAAGCAGCAGCCAAGTGCAGTGACCCAGCCTGTAGTCCCAGCGCTTTGGGAGGTCAAGGCGGGCATAGCAGGAGGTCAGGAGTTCGAGACCAGCCTGGCCAACATGGTGAAACCCCATCTCTACTAAAACTACAAAAATAAGCTGGGTGTGGTGGTGTGCACCTGTAATCTCAGCTTCTTGGGAGGCTAAGCAGGATAATCGTTTGAGTCCTGGAGACAGAGGTTGCAGTGAGCCGAGATCATGCCACTGCACTCCAACCTGGGTGGCAAAGCAAGACTCTGTCTCAAAAAATAAATAAATAAATAAATAAGAAGGAAGAGGAGGAGGAGGAAAGAATAATAATAATAATAATAATAATAATAAGGGGAGCACCTTGACCTAAGTCTCACTTTCGCACCTACAAAATTTAACTCAAAATGAATCACAGACTTAAATACCATAGAAAAAAAAAACAGGGCACCTGTGTGTTCTAGCACCAGTTAGAGAGTTCTTTGACCGGATTCTGAAAGCACTATCCATAAAAAGAAATTTTGGTAAATTGAAGTTCATTAAAATTGGAAACTTTTGTTCTGTGAAAGACCCTGCCAAAAAGATGAGAAAATAAGCTACATGCTGAGAGAAAATATTTGCAAAGCACCTATTTGACACAGGGTTAGTATCTAGAGTATATAACAAACTCAAAAAGCTCAAAAATAAAGGAAAAAAAATCCATTAGAAAGTAAGCAAAAGACAGAGAGAGGCAATTCACTGAAGGGAGTATAGAAATGCAAATTAACATCATAATAAGATATCACTACACATTTATCAGAATGACTAAAATAAAAAGAAAAATAGTGACAACATTAAACGCCAGAAAGAGTGAGAAGAAACTGGAACACAGACTTTGCTGCTAGAATGTTAAATGGTAAAAATATTTTCAAAAATTGCTGAGCAGTTTTGTTGTTGTTGTTGTTGCTGCTTAAATAACAACAATACACAAAAACATGTAACTACAATACAATCCAGAAATTTCACTCTTAACCCTGTAACACAGATAAGTGAAAACCTATGCTCATGTAAAACTCTGTACATGAAAGTTCATAGTAGCTTTATTTGTGATAGGCTCAAATTGGAAACAACTTAGTTGTCATTCAAAGGGTGAGTGTTTAAGCAAATTGTGGTACATCCATACCATGGAATAGTACAGAGTAATAAAAAGAAATAGACAACTGATACCTACAAGAAACTGAAGGGATCTCCAAAAAATTATGCTAAATGAAGAAAGCCAAATGATTGTAATTATATAACTCTTGAAATGACCAAATTGTACAAATAGAGAACAGATCAGTGGCTTCCAGACATTAAGGAGATCTTTATTCATTTGCATTTTTTAAAAGAGAGATGAAGCAAAATATCCCTCCTGATATCTAATCCCCAGTGTTATGTTTATGTGAGTCTCTCCTCTCAAGTTGGAGTGAGATCTGTAGCTTGTTTGTAACTAATGCAATATTCTGTAAATGATAGAATGCTATTCTCTTAATAATGTCCTATTATATAGCAAAGGTGAAAAAAACTTTCTATCTGCAATTAAGACCCTAACCAGTTGAATTTAAATTAATCAAAAAAGAGCAGATGCTGTTAATTCCATGGCTGCAAGGAAATAAATTCTGCCAACAGCTTTGTGAGCTTGAAAGCAGACCCAAGTCTCAGATGAAATTGTAGATGAGATTCAGCCTCATGATACCTGGATTCGAGGACCCAGTCAAGCTGTGCCCAGACTCCTGACTCTCACAAACTGTGAGAGAGTAAATTTATGTTGTTAAAGATGGTAAATTTATGTTGTTAAAGATGTTAAATTTGTGGTAAATTGTAATGCAGCAATATAAAAGTAATACAACAGTGTCTTAGTCTATTTGGGCAGCTTTAGTAAAATATCATAAACTGTGTGGCTGATAAACAACAGAAATGTATGTCTTACAGTTCTGAGAGGTGGGAAATTCAAGATCAAGGGACATGCAGATTGAGTGTCTGATGAGCACTTGTTTCCTGGGCTGCAGATGGCACCTTCTCGCTTTGTTCTCACAGAGTGAAAGAGACTAACTCCTTCAGGGCTGTTTGGCAAGGACATTAATTTCTTTCATGAGGGCTCCTTCCTCATGATCTAATCACCTTCCAGAGATCCTACCTTTTAATAATATTACACTAGGGATTAGTTGTCAGCATATGAATTTTGGAAAAATATAAACATTCACTCCATAGCAACTAGTAAATAAAGATTTATTTATTGTTGGCAGTTGCTTTTTTTACTTTTTTTTAAACCCGAGTTATCTTTCTCTGAGTTTAGCTTTATTATATATTTGTTAAATGTATTTTAAAAATGTTTTCCTAAGATAGTTTGAATTGAAGGTACACTCTTTGGATTTCTTGCATATCCTTAAATATTTTTCACTCCGATAGGTGATAAATTTCTAGACTACATAATGGATTCTTGAGTTGAAGTTCACTCATTTAACAAGTCTGACTGTGCTTATCTAATGTTTTCCCATTTTTCAAATGCTTTCCCATTTTTCAGGAGCATTCAATCAACCTGTCATTTAACAAATATTTATTGACCTTATAATTTCAAAATAAATGTGTATTTTAATTATTTATTTAGTGCCTCTTCTCCCTTATTTTGTTCCCTCTTCCTAAAGCTTCTATATTTTGCCTCAGTAATTCAAATAAGGATATTGTCTTCCTATATGAGCCTATTGTTTCAGATACGTTCAAGGCAGAAAGTATTAAATTGAGAAAGTGAACCAGGAAGCCAAGAAAGTGAAGAAATAAAGCAGAGTTAAAAACAATATCAAGACACATGGAACAGACAGAAAGAAAACAGTTTAATATACTTCTGACATTTATTGGAAACAGCATTGCCAAGGAAACCATGAATCTGAGCTTAAAAAGTTTTTGATTGTGACAGTTTAACTTCTAGAAAAATTATCAGACAACCAAACTTGTACCATCAAGAAGTGGGCTATAAAAGTTCTTCAAATCCCAGAGGAGCTGCACAATACTTCCCACATATTGCTTTGGATTTAGCCATGCAACATCACAGTCAAGGAAGAATCTCCCAAAACTGGGGCCGTGAAATACATGGACAAGTTAGTTCCTTCTGTCAGGTAGAACCGGGATTTAGTAAAGACATTCCCTCTGCTGCCAAGGTGAGAGGTCGCCACAATGACTAAGCAGGATTCGATTATTCCTAAAAACCAGGCAATGCTGGGTGTTTCCCATTTTAATTAAAAACAATGTTTTGAATGGGAATTATGACTGTGGATATTATGTCCCTATTCTAACAACATTGCATATTGTACATGTGTTTATGTGTGTTTATATGTCAATGGACAAGGGGGAAAAGAAAAGAATTTCATTTAGAGTATAGATACATTTGTTTTAGAACAGATAAAGGAGGAAAATTATGGATACAAAAATACCATAGGACAACAATACATCTTCTTTTTCTATGGCCGACGAAGAATCATAGGTTTTTGCAGAACTATGATATGATCAGATCTGACCTTTGGGGAGACTTATTTAGAAGCTGTGTGCACTAGATATGAGTGAGAGGAGCCTGGAGAGCTGTGTGCACTAGATATGAGTGGGAGGAGCCTGGAGACAGACTGTGAGCTAGCTATCTTTAAGGCAAAGTGTTAGTTATGTATCTTAATTTCTAGTCTTTCCCAATAAACAGTTAAAGATGACCTAATATTCTGTATTCCATGAGAGAAATCAAGATAGTAATATGTATCTAAAATCTGTGTTCTCTTAGAATAGTACAATTGTTTACCTTTATGTTGCTTCAAAATTATTTAACTCGTACTTGAATGTCTATAGCTTTATCACTCTAGCTATATCACTCACAAACTACATAGAATATGTGCATTTTCATTTTCTGGCTCTATGTATGTTTAATAGCACTTTTTAAGAAAAATATATTTTCTTTTTTATTATTATTTTATATATTTTTTATTTCAGTGGGTTCTTGGGGAACAGGTGGTTTTTGGTTACCAGGATAAATTCTTTAGTGGTGATTTCTGATATTTTAGTCCACCCATCACCCAAAGAGTGTACACTTAGGTTGAAATAGCCCCCTTTAATTTTATTTTATATTTTTGCATTTTGTGGAATTTATAACTCATTATTTCCACCTTGTTCTCATTTTACAAATGCCAACAATTTCTTTCAATTTTTGAATTATTATTATCAGAAAAAATGATAATACTTCTGTTCTTCCACAGGTAGCAGAATTTTATCTTGGAATGAATATGGATGTTGGTGTTTGTCTCTGCTCTACTTATCTATTCTTGCTTAACAAACTTCTCAAAATGTAGCGATTTAAAACAGCTATGTTTTGTAGCTCATAATTTGGGGAGCCAGGAATTCAGGCAGAGCTCAGCTGAGTGATTCTTCTGTGCATTTGGTGTTGACTGTGTCACCGCGATATGTGGCTAAAGACTAGGCTACTCTGTAGGCTCTGAGACAGCTCCACACACATGCCTGTAAACTTGAAGAGAGAGTAAGAAAGCTGGTATCAGATAGGTGCATCTTCCTTTAGGTCTCAGGGCCTCTCTAAATGTTTTCTCTGGCAGGAAACCTGGTTAAGTTGATGTTCAGCTTTCCAAGAGTAAGTATTTCAAGAGCAGGGAATAGTAGTAGCTCTTGTAATCAGGGCCTAAACACTGGCAAAGCATCACTTTCACTGGTTAAAAAAAAATCATGGAAACCAGATTCATGGTGAAAGGAAATGGACTTCGCCTCCCAATAAGAGGCATAGAAAAGAATTTGTGGCATCTTTAAAGTATCAGTGTCAGAACTGTTAGGTAATATCTTCAGCAGCTAACTAGCTTTTGACATTGGGTGACCAGATTATAGTTTCCTTAATCCATAAAAGAATATAATTTACCCATGAAATTGAATTTTTCAGAGTTAAATCACAGCAGCATACTACCTTTCCCAGAGAAAATGCTCAGCGCATCTCGAGTTTTCTTCCCATTGTCTTCACTCTATCTTATGCAGGCATTATCTTAACTAGATTATTTTATTTTCCTTTTCTGAATTTCTACAATTATATAAAACATTTATGTTATTAATAAAAATATTTTGTTTTTATTCTTGTGATGACATACTATTAGATTGTAAACAGACTTTTGTCCAGAGATTATTGAAGTAAGAAAATTTCCTATGAAGTACATGGCCCAAACAATTTTTAAATAAAATAAAATTCTCTATCCTGAGATTAAAAAGCAGTTACGGTGCTTCACATTTTTGTCTGCAGTAAACCTAGTTATGGAACAAGGCAATTCCTTTAAGTAATGGAAAATTGAATTATCTAATATGGCCTCTGGAATGCAAATACTAATGGCAGTCAGACATTTTCTAAGCCCAACTTATTAAAAAACATTTAATAGAGATAATTCAAATAGGTCTATGGTGGATATAAACCACACAGAACTATCTTGAATCAAAGAAAAATATATATCATATATGATCTAAAATAGGCAATGTGCTTTTAAATATATTAATACTAGTTGACATGAAAATTGAAAAGTTCATGTAATACAATGACTTGAGATGAGAGCTCTTACATTCTCTGGTACATTCTTCCTAACAAGCTTAGAGGAAATTAAATTTACAAGACAAGCTTTCCGTCTGTGAGTTTATCATTCTGCTATACAATTAAGATTGCAGATATCATCTCTCTTCTTATTAAATCCTGTAAATGTGCCCAGAGGGTACTGCAAAGGGAATATCCACAAAATGAGATCAAGAAATACATAAATAAAAAATGTGAGTTTAGTATTCATTACTCATGATTTCCAAAGTGTGCATGGAGAATGAGCAGAACATTTATACTCATTCTGCTTTACTAATATTGACCTAGTAGAATGTTTTCAATACAACATTGTGATGTTAGGGACTGTGGGCAGAAAAGAACTTAGAGGTCACTGGCCCAGGACTTTCATTTTACAGATGAAAAATAAATAAATAAACAAAAACAAGCAAACAAAATTCTGATGCTCAGAGAAAGAAAACCACCTTCCTGAAATTTAAAAACTTAGTAAATTACAGAGCTGAAACTTTAATCTGAGTATATAAGTTTTAAGTATGTTTTAAGTTTACAATTATCTTCACTAATTCATTCTAATTGTTATTCTGAAATTTATTAACACGATAACATACATTCTAATATTATAAATTGCCTTTAATCTACCCTGATGGTTCAATTGGTAATGTGATAACCTGTATTGTCATGAGAACTAAGGTCTCTCTCTCTATTAAATATATATAAATCTATTCTTTCCTCCCACAATTAACAATGATGAAATTGCATTACTCAAATAATAATTTGTCATCTGATTTTTTAAAAAAACTTAAAATTAAACACTTAAATACTTCAACTTTCAACTGAAACAAGATTAAATATTAAACAATGATCTCAGAATGCCCAGAGCCACAAAATACAATCAGAAGCATGTTTTTTTTTGAAAATTTTAAAAATGAAAGCTAATTATATTTTCATATATTGTGATTAAACACACAGGATAATATATAAGACAAACCTGAATTATAATCCCCTTTCCTCTTAATAATAAAATGATGCCTAACAGTTAGTTAGTCTAGTTAATTCTCCGTTTCATTATCTATATTCGTAATTACATATTCTGCACTTTGGGGGGGAGGGGCAGGTGTGTGTGTGTGTGTGTGTGTGTGTGTGTGTATGTGTGTGTGTGAGAGAGAGACAGAGGCAGAAATAGGGAAACAGGAACAAAGACAAAGATTGCTCAGTGATCAGAACCCACTAAATTTTGAGCAGGCAGCATGCCATAATGGTTTAGCTTTTGGTTAGAGTTTGGCAGTCTGCAGTTTGAATGTTGTCTTCATCACACCAGAGTAGGATACCACCTTAGGAAGAAAAAAATTAGTTTTTTGAGTCTGCTTCCTTGTGGGGATAATTGCAGTGCATATCTCTTCGGGTTTTTACAAGGATTAAAAACAAATTTCTCATTTAAGATGGACTCAAAAAAGTTAATGTACTATTTTGTAACCAAGAAGTATATCAGAGCCAAAACTCTCAACATGCATTATACACATTCAAGAGCTTGCTTAATTATCATTTTTTGCTCAATAATACTGTTTTTTCCATAAGGGACTAACCATTTATTTTGTCAAAAAGTCTAATTTTTTAGAATCTCTGTTACTATTAATAATTATCTGGGTATGGAATTTGTAGCCATATTCCAAAAATAGTATTTAAATTTACACTAAATTCAAATTTAGCCCTGTCTGGTTCAAACACAATCTTTTTACGAAGTATAATGCATTATAATTAGAGTTTACTTATAGAGAACATTAAGATGTTCACACTGGTAAAACAAAACGTCCGGATTTTTTTCTTAAACTACAGAAGTTAAGTCCAGTTTTTAGAAAGAAATGATAATATTGAAATATTATAGGTATTCGAAAAATATATAAAATTATGGAATTTAGTATATGAGGATTCAGCTTAATTTGGCCCCCTGAAATTGTGATAAACACTGCTCTGATGGAGAGAACATATATTCACCCATTCAGCAAACATGAAGTAATGCCTATTATGTCCTAGGCAGTTTTCCAAACACCAAAAAATAACAATGAATAAGATACATCCCCTATTCCAATATTTCTTTCAGATTTATGAAGGAAATCGATATAGAAACAGGTGTGATAGGAACTTGAATAATGAGCACATACCACATAAAACGTCTTTCTGAGCCCACTTTGCCAACTTTGCTTGAACAAACAGGACAAAGACTTGACTTTGAAACTGCAGCCATTTTGAGAAGTGGCACTTGGCAGTTAGATTGTCTCTGGGCACATCATGTGGACAGAGAGGAATTTATTCAAGAACAGTGGGGCCAGAAAGACTCTCCACAGATTAACAGTAAAGACAGTATCTTACCTTTGTCTAGGAGCTCCCCTCTGCCTTTGGTAGTGTGTCTGGAATTGGTGGGTTCTTGGTCTCACTGACTTCAAGAATGAAGCCGCGGACCCTCGCAGTGTTGCAGTTCTTAAAGGCGGCGTGTCTGGAGTTTTTTCCTTCTGATGTTCGGATGTGTTTGGAGTTTCTTCCTTCTGGTGGGTTCGTGGTCTCTGGCTCAAGAGTGAAGCTGCGGACCTTCGCAGTGAGTGCTACAGCTCTTAAGCCGGCGTGTCTGTAGTTGTTCCTTCCTCCCGGTGGGTTCGTGGTCTCCTTGGCTTCAGGAGTGAAGCTGCAGACCTTCCCGGTGAGTGTTATAGCTCATAAAGACAGTCTGGACCCAAAGAGTGAGCAGCAGCAAGCTTTATTGCAAAGAGCAAAAGAACAAACCTCCCACAGTGTGGAAGGGGATCCAAGGGGGTTACCACTGCTGGCTTGGGCAGCCTGCTTTTATTCTCTTATCTGGCCCCACCCACATCCTGCTGATTGGTCCATTTTACAGAGAGCAAAGTGGTCTGTTTTGACAGGGTGCTGACTGGTGCCTTTACAATCCCTGAGCTAGACACAAAGGTTCTTCACGTCCCCACCAGATTAGCTAGATACAGAGTGGGGACACAAAGGTTCTCCAAGTCCCCACCAGAGTAGCTAGATTCAGAGTGTCAATTGGTGCATTCACAAACCCTGAGCTAGACACAGGGTGCTGACTGGTGTGTTTACAAACCTTGAGCTAGATACAGAGTGCCGATTGCTATATTTACAATCCCTTAGCTAGACATAAAGGTTCTCCACCTCCCCACCAGAGTAGCTAGATACAGAGTGTCAATTGGTGCATTAAGAAACTCTGAGCTAGACACAGGGTGCTGACTGGTGCATTTACAATCCCTTAGCTAGACATAAAGGTTCTGCAAGTCCCCACCAGACTCAGGAGCCCGGCTGGCTTCACTCAGTGGATCCCCCACCGGACTGCAGGTGGAGCTGCCTGCCAGTCTCGCGCCTTGCGCCGGCACTCCTCAGCCCTTGGGTGGTCGATGGCACTGAGTGCCGTGGAGCAGGGGGCGGCGCTCGTTGGGGCGGCGCTCGTTGGGGCGGCGCTCCTTTGGGAGGCTCCCGCCGCACAGGATCCCAACGGAGGGGGTGAGGCTCAGGCATGGCGGGCTGCAGGTCCGGAGCCCTGCCCTGCGGGGAGGCAGCTAAGGCCCGGTGAGAAATCCAGCGCAGCGCTGGTGGGCCGGCACTGCTGGGGGACCCAGCACACCCTCCGCAGCCGCTGGCCCGGCTGCTAAGCCCCTCATTGCCTGGGGCCTTTAGGGCCGGCCGTGCGCTCCCAGTGCGGGGCCCGCAGATCCCACACCTACCCAGAACTCGCGTTGGCCCGCAAGCACCGCGCGCAGTCCGGGTTCCCGCCCACGCCTCTCCCTCCACACCTCCCGGCAAGCTGAGGGAGCCGGCTCCGGCCTCGGCCAGCCCAGGAAGGGGCTTCCACAGTGCAGCCGCGGGCTGAAGGGCTCCTCAAGTGCCACCAAAGTGGGAGCCCAGGCAGAGGAGGTGCCGAGAGCGAGCGAGGGCTGTGAGGACTGCCAGCACGCTGTCACCTTTCAGTGGAACCAGGCTAAGTAGAATGGTAATCTGGTGGTTCTCACTGAAAGTATCTCGCCTTTGTCTAGGAGCTCCCCTCTGCCTTTGGTGGGACCAGGCTAAGTAGAATGGTAATCTGGCGGTTCTCACTGAAAATACCAGGGTTCTAGCCTCATTTGGTCACTACTCAGTAATGGAAATGTTAGTGTAAAAGTTACATGTAAAGAGCCTTTTATATTGTCTTTCACATAAATATTCTGTATGTGGTGATGATAATTATTACCCATGTCTTGAATTATTATTTTTTTTGCTTCAAATTAAAAAAACGCCTAAAGAATGAATGAGGTTGTCAAGAAGATTAAATAAGTAGCACTTTTACTTTGACATGCTTTCTAGTAATATGTTTCCATATATTATATACAAATAAGAGGATTATTAGAACAATATTATTTTCTTCATCTTAAATATGAGGAAACTAAAACTAAGAGAATTTCAGCTACCTCATCAAAGTATTATATCTAGTTATATCTTTGACGTAGTAAAGTAATTTAAACCATATTATTTGTTTCGGCACACTTTGTCAACTAAAGAAATGTTTGAGAAAGTTAACATGACATTTTTCTATGTAGTTTTTATTCATTCTGTTAAAGTCTGAAACTAGCAAAAGAACAAAAATGTCATCTTTATGACTGAGATCTCAGAGTTAAAACAAAACGCGGTGGCCATGCCTGGGTGAGGGAGCAGCCAGGTATTCTGTGTTCTTAGAAAGATTTTGCAAAAGTATCACAGGATCTCCCTTTCTACAATCAAGGCAAACTAGTTCCCATGGTGGGTGCTGACATAGGATACTCTGCAGCTGAATATTCCCCAAATGATCATCAACAGAACACCTGGTGCCAACTGACCAAACACCTGGAACCGACCAATTAAGAGTGACTAGTGATTTGGGGGTTAAAGGCCATCCAGTCAAGACCCTGTTCCTTACCCTGTTACCTATCCTGCCCTGCCCTGCAGTTCCTGCCTTTATAATCTCTAACTCTCTACCCTCCACCCCCTTCAAAGCATGCTTTCATTTTACACTGCAGGCTACATCTCGCCAACCTGCAGATTGTTTTTAATAGGAATAAAATTCTCCATTTCTTTTTCCACAGATCTCATGATCTTTTGTTAACAATTCTTTCTTTCACTATAATTTGGGGTGTGGGGAGGGGGACCAGATGACCAACATGACAAATGAAATAGCTAGTAAGTTAGGTAGAGATACTTGCTAAGGAGAAAAATAAATAAATAAATAAATAAATAAAGGAGGAAAAAGAACAGGAAATGGTGTGGGTGGATTTCAGTTATACAAAGGATGGTCAGAAAAAGTTTCACTCATCAAGGTGACATTTGAAAACTACAGAAAGTGAGGAGTGGTCCAGAAACACTCCAATCACAAAGACCCAGAAGTTAAGAATGTGCTGGTTATTTTTAAGGAATAGCAAAGTAAACAGAAACAGAAAGAAATTTGAGGGAGAGAAAAATCAGAGATGAAGTTAGAAAGTTAACAAATGAGAGGGAGAAGGTTGATATTGTTAGGCTTTGCTTTTTTTCTTTTTTCTGAGTAAAATTGGAAAACAGTGTAAGACTGAATTTATAGCATAATCTTGCAATGTTGTGTACAAATCTAGTTCAGGCCATGATGGCAAGTGGGGAGTAGGACAGACCTCACTGTACCCTCCTCCTATTGGAATTCAGGCACAACTGACCAGCATTAACATTAAAACAGAGATCTTAAGACAGACAAAACAGACTCTTGTGTAGCGATAAGACACCGAATTCCAACCTGACTAGTATAGATTGCAGACCCTGAAAGACATTAAAGTATTTTTACTCAAAATATATTTCTTTGACAAATTTTGAAATGGCCCTGGAAAGCTACCTTGTAGGGAAAATTGAAACATCTTTGCAAAAATTATAACTGAGAAAATTATCATAGTGAGGTCGGGTGCAGTGGCTCACGCCTGTAATCCCAGCACTTTGGGAGGCTGAGGCGGGTGGATCACGAGGTCAGGAGATCGAGACCATCCTTGGCCAACATGGTGAGACCCCCGTCTGCTAAAAATACAAAAAAAAAATAGCTGGGTGTTGTGGTGTGCTCCTGTAATCCCAGCTACTCAGGAGGCTGAGGCAGGAGAATCGCTTGAACCCGGGAGGCAGAGGTTGCAGTGAGGCCAGATTGTGCCACTGCACTCCAGCCTGGCAACAGTGAGACTCTGTCTCAAAAAAAAAAAAAAAAATTATTATAGTGAAAGAGATCTGACGTAACTGAGTCCGTCTTGCTTCTAACCTCCAAGCTGTCCTTGTTTACTCCTGGAAATAGGACAAACTAACTTTAGGAGGATCTTAGTTTGTCGTTTAACTTTAAAACATAGATAACAACCCTTTCCCAAAACAAACCCCCTTCCTGCCTGGGGACTAAATACCCTTTGCAGGACTAACAAATTAGCCACAAGTTTAGAAATGGTTTAGGAGTCATGCAGCTGGAGGCTGCAGGATTCTGAACCTCCTCCTCAAATTGCTCCTGGGGATAACCTCACTGTTGTAAAACCTAAAATCAGTGCTTGAGATATTTTGCATACCCTGTATGTGATGGCGCACCCAGCACCACCCAGATCCAAAAACTGACTTACCTGGTATTGTGGCCTCTACCCAGTAATTGACTCAGCACAAGACGACAGCTTCAACTCCCCGTGATTTCCTCTCCAACCTGACCAATGAGTACTCCCTACTTTCTGACCCCCTACTCGCCAAATTGTCATTAAAAACTCTAACCTCCAAGTTCTGGGGAGACAGATTTGAGTAATAATGAAACTCCACTCTCTTGCACAGCCAGCTCCATGTGAATTAAACTTCTGTATTGCAAAATCTCTTTCTTGATAAATCAGCTCTGTCTAGGCAGCAGGCAAAGAGAACCCACTGAATGGTTATAAAATCTCAATTTTGTCTAGAATCCTCTTCCCTTTTCAGGTCTTTCTCTGACTCAAGAGAGAATTAACTAAGAGTCTGGCACCATCTTAGGTCTGATGAGAGCTCTGAAGCCTGCTACCTGGAGGCTTCATCTACATGATAAAAACTTGGTCTCCAGAACCTCTTATCTTAACCCAAATATTCCTTTCTGTTGATTTCAGGTCTTAAAATAATAACTCTTTCAACAAATTGCCAATCGGGCAATCTATTTTTTTTTTTTTTTTTTTTTTGAGACGGAGTCTCGCTCTGTCTCCCAGGCTGAAGTGCAGTGGCGCGATCTCGGCTTACTGTAAGCACTGCCTCCCGGGTTCACGCCATTCTCCTGCCTCAGCCTCCTCAGTAGCTGGGACTACAGGCACCTGCCACCCCGCCCAGCTAATTTTTTGTAATTTTTAGTAGAGACGGGGTTTCACCGTGTTAGCCAGGATGGTCTCAATCTCCTGACTTCATGATCCGCCCACCTCGGCCTCCCAAAGTGCTGGGATTACAGGTGTGAGCCACCGCGCCCGGCCCAATCAGGCAATCTTTAAATTCACCTATGACCTGGAAGCCTCCACTTCAAATTGTACCACATTTCCTACCTGAACCAGTATACATTATGCATGTATTGGTTGATGTCTTATGTCTCTCTACAACACTACAACATGTAAACCAAGCTGTAACCTGACCAACTTGTGCACATGTTCTCAGGACCTCCTGGGGCTGTGTCATGGGCCACTGGTCATATATATTTGGCTCAGAATAAATGTTTTCAAGCATTAAAGACAAAAGTCCTGGAATTCTCTAGAGAGGAAAAGAGGAGAATGGTTTTAGTAGGCTTAAAATAATTTAAGCCATACATTTTTGCTATAAAAAACAGTTGGTATATTAATAAAGTTGTACTGTGAACATTATAAACAACACCTATGGCTTGCCTGACTAGACTAAACATACTTATGACCATTTAAATCCACACTTGTTTGGAAATATAGGATGTTTAACATAACGTGAAATACACCATGACACAATCCTGCTACTTTATGTGAAATGACACTTTCTTGTCATCTTGACATTTTCTTAACATCTTGACATGAAGAGATGGATTCTCTGTTCAGCCTCCACACCTGTGTCAATAGATACTTTCAGAGTGGAGATCTCACAGGTCATAGTCTGCTTGTTTTGCCTAACAGGTTTTTCTCCAGCCAACTAGTTCAGAATCTTACTTTCTTCTCTCTTGATTATTGCAACAAATTGTAAGCTTGTCATTTGGCCTTCACCCCAACTTCCACTTAATTATTCAAACAACTGCTGGAATAATTCTCTTAAATAAAGGTCTAATTAAATTAATTATCTATCAAAAGACATATTTTGATAATAATTCTTTCGACCTGTTGCCACCCTCCTTCGAGTTGCCCTGCCTTTCCTGGCTGAACCAATGTACATCTTACTTGTATTGATCGATGTTTTATGTTTCCTTAAAATGTATAAAACTAAACTGTAGCCCAATCACCTAGTGCACATGTTCTCAGGCTCTCCTGGGACTGTGTCATGGGTCATGGTCCTCACATTTGGCTAAGAGTAAATCTCTTCAAATATTTTACAGAGTTTGACTCTTTTTGTCAACAGGAAGCTAACGCAAGAATCGAGGCAATGGATGATGGTGATTTGAATTAAGATGGTCAAATTTTGTATATTGTTGGAAGCTAAAGCAAAATAAAATTTTTGATTGGTTAGCTTGGTGATGAGAGAAAGAAAGGAGACAAAAACTGACTTTAGGGTTTGGCACCTGGTCATCTACAAGAATGATATAACCATTTCATTGGTAATGATAAGGGAAGAAATGATTAAGGGCAGAGATCAGGAACTCAATTTGGGGATTATTAAATATGAGATGATATTCGATCTTTAAGGGGTGTGTGTGTGTAAATCAAACTAATGTACCACAAAATCTATTTCTTTGACATATTTTGAGATGGCTGTTCAGAAAGGCAGAAAACAGAAGTAACCCAGAAATGCTGTCTTTTGTGGGAGAGGTTTATGTCTATGGAGAATCTGCCTTGATGCAGTTAGACTTTCCCTTTTCCTGATCTAGGAAGGATTAACTAAGAGTCAAAACACTTTTAAAGGTCTGAAAGAAACATTTATTGGTCAGGTGCGGTGGCTCATGCCTGTATTCCCAGCACTTTGGGAGGCCGAGGTGGGTGGATCACAAGGTCAGGAGTTCAAGAGCAGCCTGGCCAAGATGGTGAAACCCCATCTCTACCAAAAATACAAAAAAAAAAAAAAAAAATTAGCGGGGCATGGTGGGGGGGTGCCTGTAATCCCAGCTATTTCGGAGGTTGAGGCAGAGAATTGCTTGAAACTGGGAGGCGGAGGTTGCAGTGAGCCGAGATCGTGCCACTGCACTCCAGCTGGGGCACAGGGCAAGACTTCGTCTCAAGAAAAAAAAGAAAAAGAAAAAGAAACATTTATCATCTATGCTTTTTGAGGGCTGCTACCTATGAGGTTTTTACATAACAAGACCACTTTTGCTAGCCAGGCCTCCTCTTTTTTTCCTCCCATAACCTGTCTTGCCACTGTAACCCGATTTGCCACCATAACCTGATTTTGACTATACTGTGACTCCCCATTCTTTTCTGTTGCCCCGAGATGGTATCAAAGCTTCTGCACCCCATGGGAGAGGTAATTACTCTGTGGTTCTTACCGGTGTGATATTAATAAATTTGTATGCCTTTTCCCCAAATTAATCTGCCTTTTGTGAGTTGATTTTTTTTTTCTTTCAGCGAAACTTCAGGGGCAAAAGGGAAGCCTTCCCTTGGCTCTGACAGTTTATATATATACTCTTCTGAAACAAAAATCAATGATACAGATGAAAGAGAAAGAGAATTGCTGGGTGGTATTTTTGAGAAGATGACGTGCTTTACTGTACAAATTGATAGTTTGACCTTAGTTTTTCATCCGTTTGATTAGAACAGCAATTATGTAAGTATATGGTCACAAATATACATAGGTAGAAGTTATTTTCTAGTTGTTTTAATTTAGTCATTGAAATAGGAAGTATAGTTACCAGATGGGAGTGAAGAGGAGGGATTTGATATTGGGGAGAATAAAAAAATCAGGAAAGAGATGCTTAAGAAATTTGGAGAGTGAATGTATTAAGGAACAATTGTATTCTTACCGTGCAATGGTAAACACTTGTTTGAGATAAATGAACATGAGTGTTGAATACTAGTTGCATACATATAGAAAGGAGATTAGTGGATAGAAAGATTTAAACAAGATTGGAATTTGACCATATGAACACAGCACTGTTTGAGAGAAGCCACGGAGTAGATTTCATATACAAAAGCGTATTTTTAAATATTGTGAAATTTAAATATTATTTTAATAAATTTTTCAATTTACATGCTCCAGGGATAAGGATATGAACATATTGACAGATGAAGTATAAATTTTTTCATCCACTGCAACAAAGGAGGTAATGTTTTATAGTGATGCTACCAGTGGTGAATCCGTACAGGTCTGCAGCAACCTCAATTCTTGCCTCCTCAGAAGAAAGAATTCAACTGAGGGAAAGGCAGAAGAAGAGACAGAGGTAAGTTTTAAAGCAGGAATGAAATTTATTAGAAAGTTTTAGAGCAAAAAAGAAAGGAAGGAAAGTACACTTGGAAGAGGTCCAAGCAGGCGATTTGAAGGACGAGTGTGGGATTGAACTTTTGACTTGGGGTTTTATATGTTACCATACTTCCAGGGTCTTGCATCCCTTCTCCCATGATTTTTCCCTTGGGCTGGGCTGCCCACATGCATGGTGGCCTACTAGCCCTTGGGAGATAAACATGCATAGTGTGTTTACTGGAGTTGTATGTGTGCTCACCTGAGGCATTCTTCCCTTTCTGGTGGAATGCCCCAGGAAGGTCATATACCAGTTAAATTCCACCATTTTGCCTCTCAATGTGCTTGCTTGAGCTCATTCGCCCAACTCCTGAGATTTTATCAGGAAGCTACTGATCACCAGTGTCAGGTTTTTTCTACCTATTGGGAAACTCCCCTTCCCTGGGGCTGGTTGCAACCAATTATTGCTTTAGAAAGGCAGTGTGACGACTGCCTTTTCGTCACCTCATGGTCCCCTCACTTTCCTGGTGGGGTGTAGGGGCCCTCTCTTGCCCTGTTCATGTCTGCCTAGCTACCTACTTGAACAGCGATGGAGTTTACACTTGAGTGGGAGAGAATGCTTCTATGTAGTGTATGATTTCCATTAATTTATGTGTGGTCTAGTCATGTGCTGTAGCATTTGTATATTATACTGTTCTGAAATTTAAAAATGTAGTGAAAGTTGACTGAAGTGCTACATTAATGAGGAGATGTGGTAACTCATCAAGTATTTGGAGAATATTATATAACACCAGAGCGTGAACAACTGCTTAAGGTGACAAAATTATAATCAATTTCACCAGACATCTCTTTAAGGCATAACTAATGAAGGTTCTACCATTTCTTTTTCTTTTTTTTTTTTGGAGAGAACTGAGAACACCTTAGTGAAAGGAAGTGGATAATTTTTAGAGCACTGTAAACAACACCCATCACACTGAGGAGTGAGATGCTGAGGGAAGCGCCACCTAAAGACTAGCTGATTGTAGTAAGGGAAGGATGCACCACATCATGGTACAGGCTGCATTTCATCAGGGTGCCTGGTTTATGTAAATGGAAAATTCTTATGTGAGATCATGTAGCTGAGCCTATCTTATAAAAATCATAAGCTGTTCATTTTACTTATATTCCTTTCTCTTTGTCCTTTTCTTCCTCCATGCACGATTACTTGAACTTTGTTATTTAGGTAGAGGATGGTCACCAATTCACTAATAATTTATTCATTTGTGTCCTTACCCAGGAGGCTGCCCACAAGACTAGTGAATTTGTTTTCTTTCAAAGAACAATAACCCTTATATCATGCAGACCTCCTTGATCATGTCCAGACCTGGTGGATCAGCCCTTGCCACACCCTGAACTAGACCTGTTCACAGATGGAAGCAGCTTCATAGACCATGCATGTTATTGTGCTGGATACACAGCCGTTATATCTCAAGGTACTGTGGAAGAAAAAGCATTACTTCCAGATACCTCAGCTCAACTGGCCAATCTCATTGCCCTTACGCATAACCTGCAATTGGGTAAGGATAACATTTTTAATATTTATACAGACTCTAAATATGCTTTCTTAGTGGCACACACCCACAGAGCTATGTGGAAAGAAAGAGGGCTTCTGGCCAACCATAATAAATCAAATATGCCTCTGATATTTTGGCCTTCTTAGAAACTGTTAATGCCCCTAAATGGTAGCTACCATCACTGTATTGGTCATAACAAATGAGACTCCCAAATAGTCAAGGGAAATCAACTTGCTGACCTGGCAGCCAAGCAGGCTGCAAGAACATTGGACTTTGAGGCTATCTTATCTCTGTCAATACCTCTGGTTGATTTAAGTTCCAACCTTGCTGTACTGAGGGAGATTTAAAGAAGTCAAGGAATGGAGATTCACATCCCAAGCTCCAGCCTATCCTGACTAGAAATGTAATTTGGAAAGTATCATATTGGTTTCTGGAGCCCTCTTTAAAGATACAGCGAGCCAGTGTCATCAAAGCACCCATTAGGGAAAAGGTGCAACCCTTCAGTGACTACATGAGTATTTGGTCCCAATATGCAATGGGTCATTTAAAATGCGATCCATCAATGCAGGCTTAGTGCTCAAAACCACCCTACAATTTGATCCCCACACCCTCTTCAGAGGTTACAACATTGAGCAAACTCTCCATGCAAAGATTGCCAAGTAGATTTCACCACAATGCTGCAAGTGACCAGAGGCTACACATTTTTTGTTTTTTTGTAGACACATTTATGGGATGGGTGGAGGTGTAACCTAACCAAACAGAGAGGGCCTCCAAAGGAGCCTGCACGTACCCCAAAGAAATAATTTCCAGTTATGGTCTCCCTTTGACAATTCAGTGTGAGACAATGGAGTGGCATTCATCTCTCCGGTAGTACAGTGAGTGTCTCAAATCTTAGACATTGAATGGAAACTTCAAGCAATGTAGTAATCATAATCCACAGGAAAGTCTGAAAAAAATTAATCATACTATAAAAAGAAAAATTGCTAAAATTAGTCAGGAAACTAATCTACGTTGAGACAAAGTATTGCCCTCTGCCCTTTTGAGAATTTGACTTGCTCCCTAAAGCAGGCTCCAGTGGAGCCCTTTTGAAATTATGTATGGGAGACCCTTCCTGGCCATTCTTGGGTTACAATCAGGAGATTAAATCTTAGAAAAAGAAGGAGGCATTATTCTTTATTTAAAATTATTTAATGAAATACCAACCTTTGTTCATGAGTTTGCTTCTATCAGGTTAGCCTTTCCCATGGGCATCCACTTAATCCCTTCCAGGATGAAGACCAAGTCCTATTTAAGACAAGGAGGGAACTGGACCAGATCATCAACTAGCCCCTCAATGGTTAAGACCCTATGAGGTCCTTCTGACTACTCATTCATGTGTAAAGTTGGCCAGAGTTAAACCATGGATACATTCTACATGGATAAAAATTGCCCCTCCTCAGACTGGTCTGTCACATAATGGACCTGAATGAACCTGTGAAACAACTGAAAACCTGAAGCTGCTTTTTAAGAAAATCTACACAGATAAGTAAAACCTTTTGTCATTTAATCATGAGATTCTGGCTAATCCCCACAGTAATATATGGGGTTAGGCTGTTTGCTGAAACTAATCATTTCCTACCATGGGCGCATTATGCAGATAGCTGAAAACAGGAAACTTATTGGGTTTGGGGCTGTTCCAGTCTCTAGCATTTCTGGATTACCTTAGTGGGTCTCACCCCTACAAGGTAATAATGGATTACAAACCTTTATGAAAAACTATTCACAAGAAAATCAGACCCCTGGGATCCTAACAAAAGGAAATGGAAGGTGATGGCTTGGCATTAATGTAACCCTTCACCATGCATGTCACAGAAAACCTTGTATATACATCAGAGAATTCAACAAATTCTGAGTGTGGTATTTCTCTCCTGATGGAGTTTCCCTCAGTAGAACTCATAATTTTGTCTATTAACAGCTGCTATACTGAGGAAGGCTTTTATCAAATTTGGGATGATTATATTTGGATGACCCCCACTACCAGCCACTTACATCAAATTGCTCTCTTATGCTGGAAACCAAAAGTTATTCTTTTGATTATTGGCCAAATATTACTAAGAATGTGGGCTGGATGCCTCCACACTGGTGTGAAGATACTCCAGTGCTTCAATAAACCCACTGGTTCACTACTGATTGGACACAGAGGCTGTGTGGGACTAATGATTGGAACTCACTACTGAGTGGTGATTGGAAATCACTACTGATTGGAACTCATTGGCTATGTGGGACTAATCGTTGGCCCTGGCTGCCCATTGCATGGATAGAATGGTGCATGTTGGGTTTCCCATTGGTCCAGAACCATTTGACCAAAACCACTGGACAAACTGCAAATTTCTCTAATGTGTTGTACCAATGGAACAGACCAGTTTTCCACTGATAAGACCATGTCCTATCTAATTTTAATCCCCAAGTTACTTTAGAAAATATTATCTGGCATGTCAAGACCCTCACAAACTATAACCAACAAGTGCTAAAGGATGAATTCAAAGACATCTTTTTAGTGACTCTGAAATGACCACAAGGAGAAAAGCAGCCTTGCAGAATTTCATGGCCCTTGAAGTTCTCATGCTGCACAAGGGGGAACTTGTACCATAAACAAAACCAAATGCTATGTGTACATTCCAGACAATTCAGGAAACATCACCCTGACCCTTCAAGATATGCACAAAAATTTAATGCTATGTCCAACCCCACAATGTCACTAAACCAATAGTTATCTTTGTGGTTTAGATTAGAACCCTCTTAGTGGAAAACAATATTAATAATTCTAGCTGTGAGTATAGGAATAGAAATATTTTGTTGTTGTGGATTATATTGCTATTGTATTACATGTATGATATTGCAAGATTGCCTCTCTCAGAGGCTCCCGACAACCTGTTTAGTGATGTTGCAACAAATTGCCTCTGTACAACCTGGGACTCTTGAGTATTTCCAACTGCTGGTAACTAAGTTCCTTTCCTTGGCCCCATAGCAACACCCCTTTCGGAGGAAGTAGTTAGAATGAGTCAACACCCCAACTCTTCAGTACTGAGGCATGAAACAGTGACAGTGGGGATGTTGTAACTGAGCCTATATGATAAAAATCCTAAGATGTTTGTTTTACTTATCTTCCTCTTTCTTTGTCTTTTTCTTTCTCCATGTATGATAACTTGTACTTAAGTCATTTCAGTAGAGGTGGTCACCAACTCACTAATAACTGATTAACTTCATATCCTGACTCCTGGTGGCTGCCAATAAGATTAATGAACCTTTTTTTTCATTCAAAGAACAATAATCCTTATATCATGCAGACCTCCTTGATGTTGTCCAGAAGTTTGATCAGCCAAGGGAGGTAAGCAGCTTTGATCATTGAGGTCTCACCTCCTACATACCTACTGTATTCATAAATGTTCAAAGGCAGTAATGTTCAAAGGCAGGTCAGATTAAATATTTTGCCTGTCCTGTCTTGAGGATTTGGCCAAATTGTATAAACCTTTCTCTGCTCCTAAGCACTAATGTGTCAGTATTTGGCTTAGGATGCATGCAGTACTTGAAACTTGCTTTTGGTGTTCTACGGCAACAGTGCTTCCTCAGGAAACTTCAGCGTTTTATTCCTCAAAATCTCTCTTCCTACAAGGATTGAAAGAGAAAGTGTCAGTTTATTATTATATTTTCTTATTCCATGCTCCTCTGAAGAGTCTTCCCAACGTCCTATCTCTTAGCCTTGAAGAGCTTGCAATCTCATTGGAGATAAATTACAGAAAATAAGCAATCAGAATAAATACTTTTAAATTACAGGCTATGATGACTTTAAATTTAAGGGATATTAAGAGAAGAAAAAGATATAGACCAGGAATAAATAACATTTAGATGCTCAAGTCTGTATTTGTTTGAACACTTTCCTCTGGGGTCTGTGAGAGTTAAGGAGAGGACATAGAGCTTCATCAGATAGAAGAGATTCATTCTCATTATGTTGAAGGGTTTTCTATCTTGCCTAACCTTGTGAAGGTTTTGTTTGGCTGCTCTGGAGCACCTTAGCACATTTGTAAAAGCACTTTGGCAAGCACACTTGTCTTCATCAACAAAGGCAGTGACAGTCAAATGCTTTGTCTCCCAGTCTGTCATCTCCCTTTCTGCTTTTCCTGCACCATATCATATAGAGTTGTTGCTCAGGAACTTCCAGGCAGCCCAGTGTATCAGGCTGACTCAAACCTGTTTTAACAACTCTTAATAATGGTGACTGCCAAAATGAGAGTTGGGTGTGACTCAGTCATAAAGGAAATAAAATATTTCACCCCAAAATTTACTTCTTTGGCATATTTTGAGATGACTGTTCAGAGAGACCATAAACAGTAATACCCCTGCAAAGCTGCCTTTTGTCTGGGAGATTTGAATCTATAGAAAATTTGCATTGATGCAAGCCGGCTTTCTCTGAGGTCTTTCCTTGTCCAGGTCTAGGGAAGATTAACTGAGAGTCTGACCCCCTTAAAGCTCTAAAGAAACATTTTCCATCTATCTTCTCTGAGGGCTGCTACCTATGAGATTTCTTTTACATAACAAGATCACCTTTGCTAGCCAGGACTCCTCTTCTCTCTCTCTTATAACCTGTCTTACCACTATAACCTGATTTACCACTATAACCTGTTTTTGCTTATACTCTGATCCCCTATTCTTTCTGTAACTTCAAGATGGCATCTAAACTATTTTTTTTTGCCTGTTCAGCTGTGCTTTTATATCTATATACATATATACAGATATATATTTATAAATATATCTATATAGACATCCATCTTATATATGCTTTTATATAGAAGCTTATATATAAATGTTAATATATTTAGAAGCTTATATATAAATATTTATATATAATTTTCTCTATATATAATATATATTTACATATTTGTATATTTTGTGTGTGTGTGTGTGTGTGTATGTGTGTATAAACTTCTGTACCCCATTGCGAGGTTGGGCAATCACTCTGATTCTCCCTGTGTACACATTCATACATTTGTGTGCCATTTCTCTTGTTAATCTACCTTTTTTGAGTTGATTTTTTTTCCATGAAACTACAGAGGGCAAAGGGGAAGTTTTCCCTTGGCCCTTTTGGTTTCTCTCTCAGAAAGTCATCACCAACTAACTTTTGGGGCATACAGGACGTTTATTAAACATATATTTACCAGGGAGAAATGGACACAGCTTGTCTTACAAAGATAATGAAATTTCATGTTTCTGTTGTTTCAGATTCTTCCACCGCATCTTTAATAAAATGTTGACTTGTGTTAGGCACAATTATACAGGAAGCAGAGCTTAGTTCACAGAATAAGGCATCCTGAATCCTCTGAGTCAATAGCTAGACTTAGAAACATTTTGAAATAAACGTCATTCCTTATTCCTAAGGATTCAGACTCTGTAGCTTGCTATATGCAAGAGTAGAAAGTATATCTCAAATGTATTAGCCATTCACACACCCTGTACATCAATAATTTTACCAATGACAGCCCATTTCTAAAAGGTATTGTCATAATTAATGGGCCATTGATATTACAAAACAAAACTGATTTCCAAAATTTATTATAAAAATTAACAAACTTTGGTCATAAAGATAGTTGAAATATATAAAACACTGCCCTCTGTAGTGTGTGCTTTCTCTTTGAATGCTAGTTGACTCTCCTGAAAGTGTGTAAACTCCTGATTAGAGAACATGACAGCTCCTTCAGTACAGACAAATATGGAATTACACACACAAACACACATGCACACATTATATGTAAATATAAATGTACATATGCTGCTAACATATTATAAAATAAGTCACAAATGATTTAGCACGCTGGTTATTCAATATCAGGCCATAAAAGAAGCAAATCCTAGGGTAACTTACATTGCAGATCGAGGTATAGTAAATATTGTGAAATTACAAATTTCAATGTTTAAAATCTAATTTAATTTTTAAAAAGCAGAGAATATCCTCCTTTATTTTCCTGCATAACTATTTCATTCTTCGTTTCTTTTCTTTGTGAAAATTTATTTAGTTTTTATTATGTACTTGATACCACACTTTAATTTGGATTTGAAGGTGAAGTAGTATTATCTTTTCTGTCAAGAACTCAAATTGAGAATATTGATGCAAAGTAATTAAAAAATCAAACAAAATGTATCATTAGCAATAAAGAGGATTAAAAGAAAACCTAACTTTGCCTGTGAATTTTAGGGAACTCTTTATTAACTCAGTTTGATATTTGAAACAAACCTTTAGACAAATGAGTAGGCAGAGATAATCACTCTACATAGAATAAATTTTATATGCAAATGCGTAAGGTAGAGTATGGTCCTTTAGGGAAACACGAAATATTTCACAATATTTGTTGTATAATATAAGAACATGCCAGGAGATCAAGCTAGACAGGTAAACCAGGGTCAGATGACAAAATTCTTTAAAAGCCAAACTCAAATGAATATTTATCTTGAAAATAATGAGAGCCAATTGAAGGAGAGAACCATGAATACATTTACAAAGACAAAGGAGAGAGGATCTCTGCACTGAACAGACCACCAAAGAAAACATGGCTATGGGCCGGGCGCGGTGGTTCACGCCTGTAATCCCAGCACTTTGGGAGGCCGAGGTGGGCAGATCACCTGAGGTTAGGAGTTCGAGACCAGCCTGCCCAACGTGGCGAAACCCCGTCTCTACTAAAAATACAAAGAATTAGCCGGGCATCGTGGTGGGTGCCTGTAATCTCAGCTACTCGGGAAGCTGAGGCAGGAGAATCGCTTGGAACGGGGAGGCAGAGGCTGCAGTGAGTCAAGATCGCACCACTGCACTCCAGCCAGGGTGACAAGCGAAACTCCATCTCAAAAAAAAAAAAAAACAAGAAAGAAGAAGAAGAAGAAAACATTGCTGTGAAGGCTATACAATGATATCTAGCCATCTTACTCTCAAAAGTTAGATATAGATAAATATTTGAGTAATTTTGGCTATAATAAATGTGTTTATAGCAAATGTAGAGGAACTAAAACAACTTAAAAGGATTATTACAGATAAAAACTGATAGCTTTCTTGATCAGTTCTGTAATTGATTACAGAATGAATTTTCTAATGGGAAAGAAGAGAATTTTTATTTTTTTCAAAGTAGACAGCACAGGACAGACTAATTGCACCTGGGAAGTTAAGGAAAAGACAGAAAAGAGAGATTCTCAGATTTCTCACTGGAACATCTGGGGAGACATGTTGACATTCACTAAAATGGAGAGTTCATAACGTTGCAATACAATTAATAAAGTACTTTTAGACATTTGAGATGTCTGTGCAACTTCTAGAAAGATCTCTTTAGTGATTAATGCATTTGGTTCTCATTCTGGAAGATGTCTGTGGAGTATAAGGTGATTAGCACTCCTTCTTTTCCCCATAACATTCTCATTTTGGCTACTCTTTGTTTCTTTTTTGCTCTGTTTTGTTATTTCCCCAATCAGTAAATACAGAATTTCCTGTGCTTCAGTTCCTGGTTCTTGTTTCCTCTCTACATAAGCTCATTCCTTGGTTAATTCATCCTGTCTCATACCTTTAAAAAAACTATAGGCTGATGATTTTCAAATATAGATCTTAGCCTGGATCCATTTCTGAAATTTAGGCTCATATCATACAGTCTTGTTGGTATCTTATTTGGATATACAATAGGCTTCTCAAACTTACCATGTTCTAAATTGAGCTCATCTCAATATTATCCCTCTCAAATAATGGTAACTCTATTCCTGCGGGTATCACAACTCAGAATTGGAGTTCTCTTCTCCTCTCTGTCTTTTACAACCCGTATTAAGTCTGTCAGCCACTGATACTGTCAAATTTTCTCCTGAATAGTCTCTCATCTTTCATATTGTCTACCATTCAGTTGTCAACATAGGAGTCAAAAGACAATTTAGATCATATCACTTCTG
Source organism: Homo sapiens (assembly GCF_000001405.40). NCBI lineage: Eukaryota > Metazoa > Chordata > Mammalia > Primates > Hominidae > Homo > Homo sapiens. The sequence goes on along the minus strand of NC_000004.12, from coordinate 31,980,129 downwards.
TGCTTGAAACCTGCTAATGGCTTCTCTTGTCACTCAGGCAAAAAGGCAAAGTTCTTACACTAGTTCACAAGGTACTTCATAGTGTATTAAACTTTACTTTTAATCTACAATATGGTGACTCCTATATTTTTAATCTCCTATTCAGATCTCCCTGTGAATTACAGACTTGTACAATTCTACATTCTACTTCTTACTATATATCTCAACAAGAATCTCTAATAGTATGTCAAATCCAATATATGAAAATAGCATTTTGATTCTTAGTTCATCTCTTGCCTTTGTACTTTTTCTATTCAATGTATGCATTCAATTGCTCTAATAGATAGCTTATGAGTTGTGTCTCGTTTTGATCTCTCATTTCTACCTTCCCATCCTAACCTGTCTACAAATCCTGCCCATGCTATGAACAACTCTTTCTACTTTCACTGACATCATCATAGTTGAAGATACCAACATCTCCAGTATGATTTATTCAAATGGTAGCTTAACTAGTGTTTTTTTTCTTCTGTCTTCAGCTAATCCAATGACTACATAGTAGAAATATTGAATTCTGAAAGATTTAGATAAAATAATATTATTCCCAGCTTTATTTATAGGTCCACATTACATTCATTTAAAATAAACTCAAAACTGTACCATAATCTGTAAATTTCAATATGATCAGCCCCTGCCTTATTTTAACTTCATTTTATATGATTTTTTTCTCTCTCTCATTATGTTTCAACCATGTTGACTATGCTTTGTGAAAAGAAAAGAATTCAGACCCTTTTAAATTGCTTATGCCTATGTTATTCTTTCCCTCACATTTTACAAGACCATCTCATTTTATCCCTTTGAGCACAAAATAAACACAATTTCTTAAGAGAGAAATCACTGACTAACCTATATCTAACCATCCTCCTTCCCACTTATCTCACTGATAAGACTTACCAGTGTTTATTCATTAATTACATATGCTTTTAGTCATTTGTATCAATTCTTTAAAAATAGCAGCTGTATTAGTTTCTTATTGCTGCTGTAACAAACTACCACAAACTTGGTGACTTAAAGCAATACAAATTTATTGTCTTATATTTATGGATGTTGTAAATCCTAAAATCAAGGTGTCAGCAGTGCTGTGTTCCAGCTGTAGCTCTGGGGGAGAATCGCTTTCCTTGCTTTTTCCAGATTCTAGAAGTCACTTACAAATCTCAGCTTGTGGCCCTTTCCTTCATTTTCACAGTTTGGCAGCATAAAATCTTCTTTTGTCTCTGACCTTTTTCCAATGGCATGCCTTCTCTCTCTGACTCTGATTCTCCTGCCTCCTTATTATAAAAACTTTATGATCATTTTGGACTCACCCAGATAATCTAGGAAAATATTTCTCTCTCAAAGGGATTGTCTGAAAATCTTTCTTAATCATGTCTACAAAGTCCCCTTCACCATACAAGTTAACATAGTCAAAGGTGCTGGGGATTGGGATATAATAAAATAATTGGAACAATATTCTTGAATAATGGACCCAGGTCCAGTTTTCAGATCTGGGTGGTGCCAAGTGATCCATAGCATACAGGGTGTGAAAACTATCTGGTACTTGTGGAATTAGGAAGTGGATTACTCTAGGCAAATCATTGTTCTGTCTGCTATAGGAAACTTATCATTATTTTCCCCAACCCCGGGGGAATTTCCAGAACCTTAGTACCTACCTAGCCAAGTATGTAATTGATATATAATAAATATTTTCTGATTGAGTAAATAATATACTTGATTAAATGGAACTTTAAAATTACATTTTTCATTTCTTTTTTTCTTTTTTTGAGTTGGAGTCTCACTCTGTCATCCAGGCTGGAGTGCAGTGGGACAATCTTGGCTCACTGCAACCTCTGCCTCCCAGGCTCAAGCAATTCGCCTGCCTTTGCCTCCTGACTAGCTGGGATTACAAGTGTGTGCCCCCACACTCGGTTAATTTTTGTATTTTTTTAGTAGAGACAAGGTTTCACTATGTTGGCCAGGCTGCTCTTGAACTCCTGACCTCTGTTGATCTGCCCGTCTTGGCCTCCCAAAGTACTGGGATTACAGGTATGAGCCACCGCACCCGGCCTACTCGTGCCTTTTAAAAGAAAATATACACATTTTCAAACTGGTTATTAAAAAATGAGAATATTGCTTTAGTAAAGCTGAGCTAAACATTTTATTTATAGAAAAGTTTCATTTGAAACACATGCAGTCAGTGACCTTCATTCAACATGTTTAATACACTTTTGCCTGACTCACCTCTGAGCAGAAGGTGCCATATATTTATAATGACTCTTCCATGTACAGAAGAAGTTCAACTGAAATATACCAGCAAAATTATTTTTGTTTTGTTATGTTGTTGTTCATATTGACATAAACGTGCTCTTTAAAAGGTAAAACTTAAGAGGGGGAATATATAACTATGCATATTATAACAGAAGAAAAAGTGGAACATGTCCCCCTGTAATTAAGCATAAGCTTATTCATGCCAAATATTCACCATGAAATCACCTTCATTATAATTATTGATCTTTTTGGCTGATTATAACCATTATTCCAGTTATCTCATGATAAAGAAGATAGTGTTTGAAGGCCACTGACTATTAGCGTGTATTTTAAAGCAGATTTTCCAAAATACTGATATATTTATTACATTAAGAAACTTGCAGAAAGTGCAAAATTCCTTAGATTGACTGGGAATGTGCTGGTTGCATGGTATTCACTCCTGTGAAGTAGAGAAACCATATTGTTTTCCCTGAAATATTACAAAAAAAATTGTGAAATTCAAAAAATACTAGGAACAGGTGAAAAACTTCAAGTTGAATTATAAAAAATATAATATTTTTACAAAGAATTTTCTAAACTAACAGTATTTTATCTTAATATCTATCATCATGATTAAGGGATAATTATCATGCACTTAAGGGAACCATAAATTTCAATACATCTAACATATTTCTCTTTCTTTTAATGTTTCATTAAGTAAATGGTACATGCTAACAACACATTTTAATTTGGTATACTTTATTTCTTCTTTGTTTCTATTTTTGAATTATTTTGCTCTTACGGAACTTTTAAAAGTCTCTATCTCACTTTAGTGAAGCATTGTCTGCCACCTTTTTAAAAAACGGTGTCAACTTTTGTGTTACTGAAGGTTTCAAATTGTTGGTTAGATTTAGTACCAAGTTGTAACATTTTAATTGGAAGCTAAGCTTATTTTACACTTGGGTGTGGATTTTACCAACACTAGTGATTCAAGAACATTTAAAAATTGGTTATACACTTAGAACCACTCTTTCCTTCTTACATTACATATGGATTTTCTTTGGAAACAAAATTGATATTTGGAAGTTCAGATTCACAAAGAGAATGGAACTATTAAAGATAATTATTTGCACTAAAAAATATTCATGAGTGGATTACATTGAATTATACTTTCCTCTCATGCATTTAAAATAGGTTTTGATTTTTCAAAGTTAATTTATATTTTTATTAAAATATTTACTATATGAACTGTAATGATTCTTCTAAATATTTTATATCCATTTAATGTTTTCATTGGTACATAAAATACTCAAGTTATTTCAGAGCTTTAAGGAAATCGCCATCATTCTTTTTGTTAATATAGGTATATTAGAATTCAGTATAAAGGAATAACGTATACATGTTTTCAAATTGACCCAGTTTCAAGTTTTATCCTTCATTTCATGCAGTTAATCCTGAAAGATTCCCTGCAGGGTGAACAAAACTACTTATTTTGTTTTATATTTTCTTGCAAAAAAAAAGCAAACAAATAAACTACAAATTCATTGCTTAGTCTCAGTCATTATATCTAGAAATGAAGTTGGATTTCATCATAAAAATTATTAATTTGATTATCTTTACAGACACAATATTTTAATTTCATTGACGGTTCCATGGGTCCCTAGTATATTGTCAAAGTCTTCCCATTGTGTATATTACCCTTGACTTTTTCTTTTGCTACTTTTTATTATAATTTAAAATTGCTACAATCTGCCAGCCTAATGGGAGGGACAACACAACTTGAGAGTTGAACAGTGGTTTCTAGAACCTTATATGCCTTCATGAAAGTGTTGGCTCCACCATTTGACAGCTGGGTGGCCATGAATGAACCACCGAATATATATAAGCCCTACTCTTTATTTTAAAAGAGATATTATAAAACTATTTAACTTAACAGGGCTTTTATTATGATTAAATTAAATATTATATGTCAATATATTTGCACAAAGTGAGAACACAACAAATCTTTGTGAATATATTTGAGACTTTTTACAATTTGTGGACAAACATGAAAAATCTTCTTGGTTAAAGTTCTCAGTGTGAGCTTTTTTTTCTTAATTAGTTATTCAATGCACTTGATGCATTTTTGTAAACAAACACCAATCTAATCACCTTTAGCTACCTAAGAACTCAGAAACGATACCCCCAAGTGAAGTCCTCAGAAGCAAAAGTTTATTTTTGATCTTGTCCTGCCCTCTTGTCTCAGTCCCATTCTCCTCTGAAGCTAATTATAGACACTAGAATCTCTCTTTCCCCAATTCAGGCCACAGAAACCAGAATATCTTTTCTCTAAAGCCAGCTATAAAACCTAAAGAATATTAATTTTCCTCTGCCTTTCTGTGTATAAATTGGCCATAAATAAATTATCTGACCTATTTTATTTGACTGTAGGTCATAGACCCCATTCAAGAGGGTCCTTCCCCATTCCCAGAAGAAAAGAACACATGCTCACAGAGATGAAAATAATCTGGATGGACAGACCTCATTGGGTCTCCCTACTCAGTCTATTAGATCAAACACTTTTTGTCCAATTATATTTCTACATGGTTGTCCATACTTTGTTTAACCTAAGCGTAAAAGGTGACACTTTCTCCTGTATCTTTGAGCCTTCATTCTGAATTTCCTGAGTACTCATGTTAAATAAATTCATACGCCTTTTCTCCAGTTAATCTGCCTTTTGCAAGTTGGTATCTCAGCAAACTTTCAGGGGGCAAAGAAGAGCTCTGCCCCCTACAGCTAAGATACGCTCCTTTGCGAGAAAGCACATCTGATAAAAACCTGTATTAATAAACCGCACAGTATATCAAGGTGTTAGCAAAAAGGGGTCCCTATCCAGACCCCAAGAAAGGGTTCTTGAATTTTGAGCAAAAAAGGATTTGAGGCGAATCCATAGAGGAAAGTGAAAGCAAGTTTATTAAGAAAGTAAAGCAATAAAGAATGGTTACTCCATAGGCAGAGCAGTGGCATGGGCTGCTAAGCTGCTTATACTCGTTGTTACTTCTTGATTATATGCTAAACAGGGGGTGAATTATTCATGAGTTTTCCAGGAAAGGAGTGAGCAATTCCCAGAACTGAGAGTTCCTCCCCATTTTAGACTATACAGGGTAAATTTCTGACATTGCCATGGCATTTGTAAACTGTCATGGTCCTGGTGGGAGTGTCTTTTAGCATGCTAATGCATTATAATTAGCATATGATAAGTAGTGAGGAGGACCAGAGGCTACTTTTGTCACTATCTGGGTTTGGTGTGTTTTGACCAGCTTCTTTACTGCAAACTGTTTTATCAGCAAGGTCTTTATGACCTGTATCTTGTGCCAACCTCCTATCTCATCCTGTAACTAAGAATACCTTAATCTACTGGGAATGTATCACAGTAGGTCTCAGCCTCATTCTACCTAGCCCCTATTCAAAATGGAGTTGCTGTGGTTCAAATGCCTCTGACAAAGATTCATCTTGATTTTTCAAAAAGAGCTTCAGAATCACAATATCTAACCAATACCTTAATGAATACCTGAATTTCAAATGTACAAAATTATTTTGTAAAAACAACACAATAGACATCCAGGGTTAATATTACGGAAGGATATAGATCTGACCTACAATTTGATATTTCCTATTTCTGAAGCCTCTTTTGACATTCTCTTTGCCACTTCCATTATATTTATTATATATTGGGGATCAATGAAAAAATATTAATAATTGCTAGGATATATTTTTTAAACATGAATTTGAAAATCATGAATTCATCAAATAAAATCAAGCACAGAGATAAAATTATGTGATTTTAGCTATCTTTTATTTGTATTAGTAGTAGTAGTAGTAGTAATGATATCTGAAGATATCATTCAGGTATGAATGATAACTAACCTCTGAAGAGAAAACTCTGAAGAAAAAAAAATACCCAAAAAACTTAGTAAGAGTTCTTTAGTTAGAATACAGACTGAATAATATGCCCTAAAATAAATCACTGTCAAGTGCTACTATTTTTTGGTAATCAGTGGGATAATTATCAATTAACCAAGAGAGCATTAATATTCCTCTTAGCTTGACTGAGCTTCAGACAAATTTCTTTCTGACTGTAGGCCTTGATCAACTTTTTCTTAGAGCATTGACTTTAGAAATCTTATAATTGTAAATTCTTTCTCTGAACCTTTGAGATGTAAATTTTAACAAAAACTCCTGACCAGTTTTGCAAACCAGGAATGTCTTTTTTGAGAATTTGGGAGTCATCCCTTTCTTTGAAATATAACCACAGAGAAAGACAGTGCCTCTATCTCCCATTCTCTATGGGAGGCTAGGAGCCTAACTTCCCCAAGAGCCAAGTAGCAAACAGAGATGGCCTAATCAAATTGACCAACCTCCCCTGAAAAGTCCTCCAGCACATTTCCACTAGCCTATCCCAGTGCTTAAAAACTCTCATGCCATTTGTTTCAGTGGAATTGAGTTCAGTCTCTCTACCATATTGAAATAGCCTTGGCCTCCACTGCAATAGTCTTGAATAAAATATTACTTAACTTTATTCCGTGTAGTTTTTCTTGACACCATCATAAGGCAAAAGATGCTTCCTGTTGAAACATGGCCCAAAAGAGATTCTCAAGGCTCATTTCAGGCAATTAAATGTGTCTTGAGCAAAGCTTCTAGTAGTTTTACTCCTTATGGCTGAGTAAATCTTAAGCTTATCATCTCTACATTTATGAATATAAAACTCTACTCAGGGCCTTTTTATGCGATGAACATAACCTTTTCAAAATTTGAGGAATGATAAAAGAATAAAACAAATTTTCTCAGTAGAATTTAATAAAAGAGGTTATACATGGATGTTGTAATTCAGAATAATTTACATTTCATTTGATTTTGCAGGTCACTGCTCAAGCTTAGATGAGTAGCTCTGTTGTTGATTTGCTGACAGACGTTTGAAACTTGCTTATACAGCCTGAGAAAACAAGGCATATACTGCTTGAATTTAAGGCAAACTCAAAACTGAAAGTTAATTCAGCCTAAATGCTGTGGGAAATTTTTCTTTGGAGGAAAAAGTAGTACATTACTGAGAATACATGATTTATCTCTTTAGAATTCAGTTGAATATGTTCAATTTTTAAGCATCACACTCAACTTCATCTGCACAATTATCTTTTTATATTTAATTATTGAATATAATTGTTCATTATAAAGAACTAAATGCAAAAGTCTCTGAGGGTTATTTTCATCCATAGAGTCATTGATAGTATTATAGTTTGCGGCGTGGAATGACCGCAATGGTCTTATTTTAGTTAAATATTGTATTTGATTCACATAAAATTTAGGCCAACGGATTAATTTATTTATCATAGAAGTAAGTAATTAATTCCTCAAAACTGACCAATCTACCATCAGAAGATTGTAAGTTGACAAATGCTCAAGAAGTTAAGAAAAAGCAATTCTTCTGAATGTCTTTTGTTCTTTTACAAAGTAGATTTAAGGGAACTGTTACATATCTATAAACTAGAAACTCTCATGTAGGTCTTCTTTCAACTTTAGCAGATGCAGCTACTCATCTAGAAAACTGGCAGTGGTAGGTTGCTTGTCTTCATCACAAATAGCTTGCCAACTTTCCATTTCCCAATTCCTAAAAGAGTTAAATATTCCCATTCATAAATGTATGTTTATCTTATACTAAGATAACACTAAAAATGTTGAAGTGCAGGTAAACACACTTGATATTGTCAAAGAACATGCTTCAAAATGACAAAGACTGCACGATCTTTCTGCATACTTCATTATACTTAGGTAACTGCGGTATCCACAACCTGTGATGATAAAGTTACAATTTTAATATTTTTTTATTTTTTTCTGGTGTAAAAACAATTTTAGTGCAAAGAAGTCAAGAGATCAATATACAAAATTCAAATTATACAATATTCAAAATATACAAATTTGAAGGTAAAGATGTGGTCAATAAATGAATAGTATTATTAGTATCAACTGTGATATTGTGATACTGCTTTAGACTAGAGCTGATGAGATGTGTTTGTGGAACGTGAACAGGGTTCTGACCAATTGGACTACAAATTCTTCTTTGCTGTCTAAAAACCTGCTGTGTGAACATAAAGAATTTAAGTGTTACAGACTGTTATAGCTCTCATCACCTCAAATACAATATTGCTCCAAAGATATAAGAAAACAGTTCCTTCAATATTTTTTATGTAGGTAAAAATCTGGATTTTGGATAGTGCCAGAATTTTGCCTCATCAAGCTCAAAAGTTATTTCATCAAATCATTACATATTCTGTGATATATTTACATCTGTATGAATAGAGATACTTGAGAACACTTACGTAGTTTATTGTGAGTTTTTCTTCACAAAATATGAGGATTTTTACCACCAGCAGTATAAAAAAGGTGGGTCACAGTCATTTTAAAAGTGTATTTTGTTTAATAAGTGTGTTCCTTATTGTTTTTATATTGATAAGATGTATAGTAAATAACTTCTGAGACATCTCAGCACTGTGAATCTAAGAAAGCATTGTATCTTAAGATGGGACACATGAACTAGCTTCAGTGATAAAATACTGGTCAAATAGAAATGAGTAAGTGTAATGATAGTAAGTCTCAATGGTATACAAAACAATAGAAATGTAATATAAAATATTAGAAATTCAAGATGCGTCTCAGATATTTCAGCTGAAAGCCTACTTTGGATTTAAATTTGAGCTAAATCTACCCTTTCTTATCTTTCATAACATCCTCTATTTACTGCCATTTTTTCGTCCGCCTTATTAAGTTCACCTTATCAGTTTCTATGGTACCTACTTTGACTCCTTAAAGAGAAAGTCAATGTCTTATTATTTTTGATACATTCAACCAAGATTTGGCACAAAGAATATATCCAATAAATAATGGCTGATTATTGATTCTTTCCTTTTACTTACTAAACTGTGGTCAAATCTTTATACATTATTGTATTTTATTATGTGCTGTACCCCAGAGAGAAGGAATTTGAAGAATCATAAAACAGATGTGAACATGAATCTTATTGAGAATAGATTAAAAAGAGAGAGAGGCACACATCTAAGTGATTATCTGGAGAGAGCCTTAAACAACAACAAAACCCTAAAATCAAGGCCCCGGCAGGTAAGAAGACTGTGAGAATGTGACCGGGGGTAGGTGACTCTGGGACAGGAACAGTGTGCCAGAGCCCATACGGGAGGAGATGGTCATTTGTATGAAGTGGGGATATTGTGGAGGAGGTCATCCGTGGAGTCTCAAAGTACCTTTGTATAAATTATGTTTCAATTGCAAAATACAAAAAAAGAGTAACTTTATAGTGGCAAAGGTTTTTGGAAGACCCTGCCTAAATCAAGGATCAAAGTCAAGATCGTCAATACTAGGACATATTGAAATTGTAGGCCAGCTGTTGGAACGCAATGAGAAGAACACAGTATTACTTCTGACATTTTTGCTAATATGAGGAAACACTAGACAGACCCAAATTGAATGTCATTCTTCCCAACAATTGACTTATATTATTTAAAATTGTCCACATCATAAAAGTCAAGAAGCAACTATCACAGAGAAACAAAGAAAGTAAATGCAACATAGATTCTGAATAGTGTGTATCTCCTATAGAGAACATTGTTAAGACAACTGACTAAACTTGAAAAAAATCTGAAATGCAGATTTAAGTAATGAATCAATGTTAATTTCTTGACATTGATGAGTATACTGTAGTTATATGAGATAATATGCTTTCTTGAAGGAAATGCACTTGAATATTTAAAATATTGGGACATGTTGTCAGCAACTCTCAATACATTCAGGAAAAAAATCTGTTAGTATATATATTTTTTAACTTTTTCTCTAAGTGTTACATTGTTTCAAATTAAAACATTTTTAAAAGTGAAAAGGTAGTATATAAATATTATATATTTTTACTTCACATCCATGACAGATTAATGAAAGAATGTGTGCTTCTTTCATTGATATATTATTAGCAACATGCATTAAATCAAGTATGAAAGTTAGAAGCATACTCTGCCTTTGGGGTAAACTGAGGTTTCTCCATATGTGCTATTATTTTATTAAAAAATAGTTGTTAAATTTGTTCAATTGAATGTAATGCCACAGTGAGTTTATTCTATGATGTGGCTATACATCTTATTTTTTCTTGCTACCTCCGAAGATAATAGAAACATAAAAAGCATATTAAAAAGATATACACGGCTGGGCACGGTGGCTCATGCCTATAATCCCAGCACTTTAGGAGGCCAAGGCAGGCGGATCACGAGGTCAGGAGTTTGAGGCCAGCTTGGCCAGCATGGTGAAACCCCATGTATACTAAAGATACAAAAAATTAGCCGGATGTGGTGGCACACACCTGTAATCACAGCTACTCAGTAGGCTGAGGCAGGGGAATCACTTGAACTCAGGAGGTGGAGGTTGCAGTGAGCCAAGATCACACCATTGCACTCCAGCCTGGGCTATAGGGCGAGACTACATCTTAAAAGAAAAATAGATGTACACATGGAAGAATTTCCCATGCAGGCTACCAGGTATGTTGACACCATATGGCCTGTTTGAATATCAATAGAGGTGCAATTGTGTGTATGTGCATGTCTGTGTGTGTGTGTGTGTGTGTGTGTGTTTGCATATCCATGTTATATATAATAGCTTTGAAAGTCTGGGGACCAGGGGCACCCAACTGCTCCTATTTCCCTCTAAAAGGACTCATGAAGAAATGGCTGAATCTGAAATAGTGGAGTAACAAAGGTGGCCACAAAAATTTTGTTAAACCAGAAAGAGGAAGTGCCTCAGTACTACTGAAGTTATGTCAAAAAGACACAATGCCCTGTGGGACGGGGACCCTGGCCAAATTCTGTACAAATTGAGCATCCAAATGTGTAATCATGACAATAAATTATACTGAAACAGAATCAAAAATTTCGTAGCAATTAACAAAAATAGGAAGAAAGAAGTCATGCTTTTCTTGAGAAAAAAAAGTAAGTTAAACTTCAAAAATTTTTTTTACTGCCCTTACTATATGAAAAGTTTCAGATATATATCAGAAGTGGAGTTAATATGTGCAAAGGTCTGGGGATTCAATATACTTATTGCCTCAAAGTACCTTTCCATAGTGTATTTATCATTCACAAAAGGAAATAAATGTTTCTCTTAGAGTAGAGAGATTATAGACAGTGCCTCCTTGAGTAAGCGATAAAAGTAAGCATCACCAATATGGGAAAAAAATGACCTTCTATGTTTCTGGTATAATATAATGAGTAACACACCAGACCAAATACAATACCCTTTTGTAGTATTTTTACCAGAAATATTTAACTGACTTTATTTAACCACAGCAGTGAAGTACAGCTGGATTGCTGGAAATTCCACAAGCCACTGGCCTGAACTCCTCAATAGTATCAATATCATAAATGACCCAAAAAACTGTAGGCGCTCTTCCAGATTTGGGAAAACTGATACTAAATGACAACAAAATGCAATCTGTGATAGCCTAGGTTTGTGGAAAAGCAGCTATAACAAAAATTTGGGGGACAACTTGGACATTTTGAAAATATACTGTATATTAGATAATTCTATATCAATAGTAATCAACTTCCCTATATGTGATCATGCTATTGTAGTCATGTGGCAAATAACCTTTTTTTTTGTTTTTGTTTTTGAGTTAGATTCTAAAGGCAAAATCAAAAAACATGGGGAGGGGAAGAAGTGGGAAAGGGAGAGGTGGGAGAGAAGAGAGAGAAGAGGGCTGGAAGAGGTAAAGCAAAGTGGCAAATGTTACCAATTGGCGAATCTTCAGTGAATGGTATACTGCAGTTATTATTTTATACCTTCTTATTTCCTGTAAATTTCTATTTTTCATAATACAATTTTAGAAAATATATAAACAAGTGGGCCACCTATATCAACTCACAATATATTCATTATTATTCATAATATTTCCAACTTTGTCCACTTTTAAAGTTTTCTAAAAATGCAGACACATATGCCTCCCTTAAAACTTGTGCCTGCATGTCCAAAACACCAAAAGCAATGGCAACAAAAGCCAAAATTGACAAATGGGATCTAATTAAACTAAAGAGCTTCTGCACAGCAAAAGAAACTACCATCAGAGTGAACAGGCAACCTACAACATGGGAGAAAATTTTCACAACCTACTCATCTGACAAAGGGCTAATATCCAGAATCTACAATGAACTCAAACAAATTTACAAGAAAAAAACAAACAACCCCATCAAAAAGTGGGCGAAGGACATGAACAGACACTTCTCAAAAGAAGACATTTATGCAGCCAAAAAACACATGAAAAAATGCTCATCATCACTGGTCATCAGAGAAATGCAAATCAAAACCACTATGAGATATCATCTCACACCAGTTAGAATGGCAATCATTAAAAAGTCAGGAAACAACAGGTGCTGGAGAGGATGTGGAGAAATAGGAACACTTTCACACTGTTGGTGGGACTGTAAACTAGTTCAACCATTGTGGAAGTCAGTGTGGCGATTCCTCAGGGATGTAGAACTAGAAATACCATTTGACCCAGCCATCCCATTACTGGGTATATACCCAAAGGACTATAAATCATGCTGCTATAAAGACACATGCACACGTATGTTTATTGTGGCATTATTCACAATAGCAAAGACTTGGAACCAACCCAAATGTCCAACAATGATAGACTGGATTAAGAAAATGTGGCACATATACACCATGGAATACTATGCAGCCATAAAAAATGATGAGTTCATATCCTTTGTAGGGACATGGATGAAATTGGAAATCATCATTCTCAGTAAACTATCACAAGAACAAAAAACCAAACACCGTATATTCTCACTCATAGGTGGGAATTGAACAATGAGATCACCTGGACACATGAAGGGGAATACCACACTCTGGGGACTGTGGTGGGGTGGGGGGAGGGGGGAGGGATAGCATTGGGAGATATACCTAATGCTAGATGACGAGTTAGTGGGTGCAGCGCACCAGCATGGCACATGTATACATATGTAACTAACCTGCACAATGTGCACATGTACCCTAAAACTTAAAGTATAAAAAAAAAATGCAAATAAATATGAAGATGAAAAAAAAAAAAAAAAACTTGTGCCTGCTTCTCCACAAGCAAGGATATTTATATATATCCATAATTTATGCGAACAGAAATTGCTATTTGTCTAACACTGATCATTGTAGTGTCATGTTCATTTATGATGCTATTTAGATAAATAAAATAATGCTCCATTTGTTATGCATTTTATTGCACTCTACTAAAATAAACATTTAGAATTGATGTTTCAAATAAATGTTGAACTCATATTTATTATCTCTGTCATACATTCATAATAAAATAATATATTTGATGTTTCATGACATTTTTATAATCTGAAAAATCACTTCAATTAATCTATGAAATATTCACAACTGCTATATAGCAGAAAGAAAAACCATGTTTTAGAAGTATTTCACATTCTTAAAATGTGACAGCATTTTTTTCTAACTTAAAAGGCAAAGTCTCTTTTCCCATCACTTGAATCCAACTGTCCCTGTGAGTTGCTTTGGCTGTTAAAATACGGCAGAAGAAGTTGCACGCCAGGTCAGAGTCTAGGCCTCAAGAGGCTACATGTGCTTCATTGGGAGCTACATCACTCAAGGAAAGTAACAGGGTGTGAAAGTTGCAACGTCTCCGCAAAGTAACACCAGCATGGTCAAATATTCGTATCCAAAGGCTGTCACCACATTTTTATTCAGTTATTTTCTGCTGCTTTTTCATTTTTCCACTATTCTTTTTATGTCTAAATATTATTATTTGTTTTATATATACTGTATAATAAATCATAAGTATGTTTTATGAAAACTTAGTTTGATGCTATCTACGTCAGCCTTTTCTACTTCTGATATTTCATTGAAATTGTCATATACATGTGTGTATATATATAGATATATATAGATATAGATCATATATAGAAACATTTTATACATATTTTTCATATATATCTATCTAGAGAGAGAGAGAATATCAATCTATAGTTAACCAATTCAAATAAACAAGCTCTGTAATAAATTCACAGCCACCAGGAAGAATGAGGTCATCAGATCTCACACCTTTCATTTAGCTGTCTGCAAAAGCATTCAAAACCTCCAAAGAAATATTTCCCCTTAGTAAAGAAGATAAAGATGATGGGGACATACACGTTCTTGGTTAATATTGTAGTATTATTTCTTGATTCACTTTTGTGTTTCCCTTTCTAACTCTCCTGTTCTTTTTAATTAAATGAGTTAGAAAAAAAGTGCTGAAGTAGAAGTAAAAGTGGAAATAATCTCATTTACCAGGTGGAATTCTCTTCTGCCTTGGCTCTAATAAATTATAAAGTCCCCAAACAGCCATGAATCTTCATATTAATGTTGAACATTTTGTGAAGGAAAAAATAAAACTTGGTTCAATAAAGCCAGACAACTCAGCAAAAATAAGTAAGTAAATAAAATTTACTTAAAAACTGTTGATATAGAGAGGCTGAAAAAATAAGATTAAAGCTGTTTTTTTAATGTTAAAAACATCAGGTAATATGTATAGCTGCTAATATTCTTCATTTTTGTTTGCTAAAAGTTCTCAGAAAGGCCAAGGTTGAAGTCTCAACTTGGCATCTTTAAAATAGGGCTATAATAGGTGGAGTTCCAGAGTATGATAAAAGAGCAAACCTAACCTTGTAGGAATTAAGAAGAAACTGTAGTAATTTTTTCTTAGCTCCTTCTATCTTTTTAGGTTATAATTGTTAGGATATTTGAGGCTGCTTTTGATTAATGATGCTTGGAATCAATGAAAGAAATGTAATGGAGCTTATTTATGAATGATTTTTGAAAACTAATACTTTTTATTGGGACAATTTCTGCTTGACATTTTGTGTTTTGACTGGCATTTTCCTGTTGCCAGCTGTCATAAAAAGGATTGCGACACATGCCGTTAGCAGCATATGCCTTTTTGGGTGCTGAACAGCGTTTTCATACAAAAAAATCAAATGATCCATAACATATTATGCTGTCATTTGAAAGCAGCATCAGAAATGAAACATTTTTCATGCCTGTAATATATTTAGTTCCCCAAGGCTCAATCTAGCATTTCCTCACTAGTTATGAAAATATAATAAGGTAAACGTTTATTCTTTTAACTCACACTATTAGGGTTTTCAGAATACTAATTTTTTTTTTTGTAAGAAAAGCTTGCAGGAATACATTTGGAATGTTCCAAAGAGTATTTTCTAAATAGTAGATTATGACAATAGTGTATTCTTAATAGCATACTCTATTTTACAACTTTTTTTTTTTTTTTTTTTTTTTTTTTTTGAGATGGAGTCTCGCTCTGTCGCCCAGCTGGAGGGCAGTGGCAGGATCTCGGCTCACTGCAAGCTCCACCTCCCAGGTTCACGCCATTCTCCTGCCTCAGCCTCCTGAGTAGGTGGGACTGCAGGCACCTGCCACCCCGCCCGGCTAATTTTTTGTATTTTTTAGTAGAGACGGGGTTTCACCGTGTTAGCCAGGATGGTCCCGATCTCCTGACCTCGTGATCCGCCCACCTTGGCCTCCCGAAGTGCTGGGATTACAGGCGTGAGCCACCGCGCCTGGCCTATTTTACAGCTTTTTAAATAATCTTCTGTCCTTCAGGTATACCTTTACAAATACTTACTAAATGTCAATAATTATATATATATGTACATATATACACACACATATTTATACATAATACAGACATAATTATATATACATAATTATACATATATACATAATTATACATATACATATATACATGATTGTTATATATGTGTATATATATAAACACATATATAATATATATGTGATATGTTTATCTCCATGGAAAATGACACCTTAAAGACTATTTATTTAGCACTTTGCATTGGAGCTTACAATAATACATATGCAAAACAAAGAAATTGATTAAGCTATAGTAAATGGTTAAATGCATTAGTAATTTGACTTAATTTGTTTTATAATATATATTAAATAATAGTTTAGGATTTAAGGTATAGAAATATTATTAAAACTTAAAAAACTAAAATTAGTAAAACTTCTTTTTACAATTTGACCCTCAAACCTCGATACTGTATTTAAACATAACTTATTTTTTATTTTCTCTCTTCATTTTATTTTACTGAATCTCTAGAAAACCAACATTGCATTTTTTTTCTAGAGAATAGTCTATATTTGTGTTTGTCAGACAAAAACACGGTTAAGCATGATTACTGCCATTCTATATTTCTAGAGTCTGATGACTAGAAAAAGTACTAAGCTGTATAAAAATATTGTTGGTGTCTTTTAATTTCTTTTAGTTAAAACAGGATTTGCCTTAGCAATTAATCTTAACCATTTCTCTGTTCTTCCCAGCATCTGCTTTAGTCCTTGACACAAAAGCGCTAAATATTGTTTGAGGGATTCAATTTGTGAATAACAGAGGAAACACATAAATATGTTACACAATGTTGCTTTTTATAAAAAAAAATTTGAAAGCTGATTTATTACTGTAAAAATATTAAGCAAAGAGACATCATGCGATAGTTAATTTTATGTTTCAACTTGACTGGTCAAATACCCAGACAGCTGGTAAAACATTATTTCCAGGAGTGTTTCTGGAAGAGAAGAGCATTTGAAGAAATAGACTGAGTAAAGAAGATTCCCCTCACTAATGTGAGTGGGCCTCATCGAGTCTGTTGAGGTCTGAAATAGAAGACAAAGGTGGGAGAAGGGCAAATTCTGTTTCCCTCTCCTTGAGTTGACACATCCGTCTTCTCCTGTCCTCAGATGTCCGGAGCTCCTGGCTCTTGGACCTTTGGACTCTTGAACTTATACTAGAGGCCCTCCTGGTTCTCAGGCCTTCAGTCTCAAACTAAATTAAACCACTGGCTTTCTTGGTTCTCCATCTGGCAGACAGCAGATCGTGGGACGTTTTGCTTTCCATTGTCACATGAGCCAATTCCCATAATAATCTCCTCTTCTATGTCTGTATATATTCTATTGATTCTATTCTCTGAAGAACCCTAATACACATCATGATGAATTATGTGAATTATTAACATCATGAGCTGACTACTGCCTCTGAGAATCCCATAGTTCTTGAAGGCCCCTTGCATATCAAACATCACTTTAAAATGGAGGATTTAACATTCAGTGCCTACATCTGAAATGGAGGGTGCTTTTTGCCTAACTAAAGAGGTTTTGATTAGGCAGTTAAGATGCTGATTCCCTAGTCCCAACCTTAGTGAATGTGAAATATTAAGTCCTCATTAGTTGCCAGCACTTTTCATATGTGGATCTGGAGTGAGACATTGAGCAAGGATCAAATTTGCACTCTGTTTTCCACCTGGAGACCAAATGTGCTTCTAATTGGTGGATGCCTTACTGAAAATAGCTTTTAATACACAAAGACAGATAAGTCAGAAATGTGATATGAGTCGGTGCTTGTCCAGATATTACCCAGATTTGTAAAGTGATTTTTAAGAGAAGACTAAGAAATTTACCTTAAATGTCTTATGACCAGACTGTTAGGAGGTTTGAGTACTTTGTTGTGTATGCTTGTCAGTGAGGAGATGGTTCAGAAGAAATAAATTAAACTTAGAATGTTTTAAGCTGAAGGTATCATTGAGCAGGCATTTGGTTATAAATCAAAATCATTTATATTTCATGAAAAGAATTTTGTTTCTCTTGAAGCAAGGCTGATTCATGCCTAAATATTTTATTCATAGTACATTAATCACAACCATTTTGTATCATTGCTTACTAAGGTTATGGCATATAAGCAGAGAAGGAGACTAATGATGAGGTTATTTAGATAAGATGAAAACAGTGCTTTTGAATGAAATTTGTAAATAATGTAACACAAAAACATTGTTAAGAATAATAATCTACATGATAGTTTAAATTTGGTGCATATAAGATCAGTTAACTGATATCCTAATGATATGCTCTCACACATGGCCTGAAAGCATTTCAAAAATGGGTTATAATTTAAACTTTATGTTTAGTTTTAATTAAAGCATATTTTGAACATATAAAATAAAGTATAAAGTTAAATTGAATAGTGATAAGGTGTGGGGATTTATTAATATGATATTTATTAAAGAATTATTGCCTGTGTACATATAGTATATATTACTGAATCAAAATAAATTATATCTCTTTTCTTTAAAGAAGTATGTTGGCCGGGTCCAGTGGCTCACACCTGTAATCCCAATCCCAGTGCAAGGCTGGCGGATCACAAAGTCAGGAAATCGAGACCGTATTGGCTAACGTGGTGAGACCCCATCTCTACTAAAAACAAAAAAATAAAAAATACAAAAAATACCAAAAATTACCCGGGCATGGTGGCGGGCACCTGTAGTCCCAGCTACTCTGGAGGCTGAGGCAGGAGAATGGCATGAGCCCGGGAGGCAGAGCTTGCAGTGAGCTGAGATCGCACCACTGCACTCCAGCCTGGGCCACAGAGTGAGACTCTGTCTGGAAAAAAAAAAAAAAGAAGAAGTATATTTAAAAAAAAAGGGAGAAAGAATAAACATTTGATGTTCAACTGAGGTTGTTATCTGTCACTTCATATGAGAAGGAAACATATCCTGTATACTTTAAGTTGCTTATAAAATCCATCATCTTGCATCTAGCTATGTGTCAGAGAATCTGTATTCCCTATGGATTAAAGGAGAAGATCATATTTTGGCTAAACATATTTGTAAAAGAATATGAGTAAACTGGAAGAAAAAATAAAAAGCTTAGTGAGAAAATGAAACAAAAATTCTGAAAAGCATCTGATTTAATTGGAAAGAGAAAATAAATGACAAGTAAGTTCTGTTTATTTTTTTCTTAAATTGTCAATGAGTTTTTCCATGGTAACAGATTTGGTAATGTAAGTTTGGACAAAAGCAAGAGCGAATTAATAATGGAAGTGTTTTACAACAGCAAATTGCTCAACATAAAATATAAGGGGGAAGAAAGAAAATATTTTTTTTAATATTTTTTAAGCTTTTTGTCTCAGTCTTAATTTCTGACAATAGAAAAATATTTGGATCTGGCCAGGTGTGGTGGCTCATACCTGTAAACCCAGCACTTTGGGAGGCCAATGTGTGTAGATCACTTGAGGCCAGGAATTTGAGACCACCTGGCCAAAATCATGGTGAAACCCTGTCTCTACTAAAAATACAAAAATTAGACTGGCATGGTGGCACATGCTTGTACTCCTAGCTACTCGGGACACTCGATCTCGGCTCACTGCAACCTCCACCTCCCAGGTTCAAGCATGAGAAGGAAGGAAGGAAGGGAAGGAAGGGAAGGAAGGAAAGGAAGGGAAGGAAGGGAAGGAAGATGTTTGGATTTAAGAAGAGGTAGATATCCAATAGGTTAAAAAATAATGAGTGAGATCAGAAAGAGAATGATAATTGCTTGAACCTGGGAGGTGGAGGTTGCAGTGAGCTGAGATTGTGCCACTGCACTCCAGCCTGGGTGACAGAATAAAACTGTCTTGAAGAGAGAGAGAGAGAGAGAGAGAAAGAAAGGAAAGAGAGAAAGAGAAAGGAGGAAGGAAGGAAGGAAAGAGGGAAGGAAGGAAGTGGGGAAGGAAGGAGGGAAGGAAGGGAAAAAAGAAGGAAAGAAGGAAAGAAGAGAAAGAAGGAAGGAAGTAAAGAAAGAGAAGGAAAGAAAGATGAGAAAGAAAGAAGAGAAAGAAGAAAGAAGGAAAGAAAGAGGGAGGGAGGAAGGGAAGGAAAGAAGGCAGGAAGGAAGGAAGGAAGGAAGGAAGGAAGGAAAGAAGATAGATGTTTGGATCTAAGAAGAGGTGGATATCCAATAGGCTAAAAAATAATGAGTGAGATCAGAAAGAGGATGAAATTGTTATCTACTTACATTTTTTGTAACATTTCCTTATGGAGGACTGAATATATAAATGGACAATTGTTAGGCTACATATGAAAATGGAAACCCAAGCCACATCTGCTGCAATTGGGCCAGAACAGTCAGGAGTTGGTCAATAACTGTCAACTTTTATAATTTTTGTCACTTCCTCTCTACCTCTCATCTAGCTCAGGACTAACCAGAGAAAGCCAAATATGTTCTCCAAACCAGTAATGTGGGGAGCTTCATTTCTTGCTAGTCCACTTCCATCTTCCCCAAGTGAACACCCTCCATTCAGAGCCTACCTAAAGCCTTCCCTTTATTTCACTGGAAATCTTTTCTACTCCCCTGCTTGTCTTGAATTTCTGCCAAATGTAAGTGATGGTGGGTAACTCCGTTGATATAGCAAGCTCCGAAAAAATTGTCTGCATTTGTTTGTATTTGGTTTGTCTATGTTTATTTCTACATCTAAAGTCCTCACAAATTTATATTCCTTTGTAATTGACTATAATCCATTGTCCGATTACAACTGTGATATTATTGTTCTTATAACTTCGTGTTGAACTCAGTGCTAGAGTCACTTCATAATTAGTATTCTTTTAATTGAAGCTTCAAGTAAGCATATTAATAATCTACCTCCTTTAGAGTTCTTCACTGTATTTTATCTTGAGAAATGTTATGGTTGGTTGCCTTTCTTCCACGATTACAGATTATGTATGTCTGACTAGATGGAGTCACTAGGGTGGCTTGTGAGAAGTAATCATTCTACCCAGATTCAAATCATTTCTCTTCACTTGCCTGGACCTCCGTTTATAACCTACTAAAGAAGAATATCAGCCTATATTTTATATATATATATATATATATATATATATATATATATATATGTTTTTTCTTTTTACAATATTAAAACTTATATTTTAGACAAATATCTATTTGCTTCACTCACATTTTTCACTTAAATATCCTAAATATCTCTCCCCAAAAATAGGAGATCTCAATGAAATTTTTATATCCCTAAAAGTGACTTAAAACCCCTCATGTATAAAAAAATTCAAAATTGTCACTATTTATTAAAAGAGACTCCAATTTTTCCTACCAATGAATCACTCCTTTAATCCTTGTCCACAGGCTAGGCATAGTGGTTCACGTCTGTAATCCCAGCACTTTGGGAGTCTAAAGCAGGAAGATTGCTTGAGGCCAGCTTGGGCAGCATAGCAAGACTTCAGCTCTACTAAAAATTAAGAAAATTAACCAGGCATGATGGTGCAGGCCTGTAGTCCAAGCCACTTCAGAGGCTCAGGCATAAGGATCCTTTGAGTGACGGAGTGAGACCATGTCTCAAAAAAACAAAAACTATTGCCCACACTCTCACTAATGCTATCATCCCAAAACACCAATGTCATCTAATATTTTACCTAATTTAAACCTTTATAAAATCATGATTTGTGGAGGAAAATTCCAACATTTTTTATTATGATAATTATTCATTAAGGTAACTACCAGTACAGAAACTCCTTAAGTATAGAAATTTCACTGTACTCTTCAGTGAATTCATAGGCCCTACCACAGAATGAAAAATTTGGTAAGCATTCAAAAATGTAAGTAATAACAGAATGGAAGATAAATTTAACTCTGGGTTTTAACAGGAATTGAAAATTGTGTTAGTAATTTTTTTGCATTGATATAAAGGAAGAACTGAGACTGGATAATTTATGAAGGAAAATGGTTTAATAGATTCCCAGTTCTGCTGCTGCACAGGAAACACAGTGGTGGCTTCTGCGTGGCTTCTGGTGAGGGCTTCAGGAAGCTTTTACTCAAGGCAGAAGGCAAATGGGGAGCAGGCATATCACAGGGAGCAGGCATATCACATGGCAAGAGCAGGAGCATGAGACAGAGGAGGAAGAGGCCATATCCATTTAAACTACCAGGTCTCCTGTGAACTCAGAGCAAGAACTCACTCATCACCAAGGGGATGACACTAAGCTATGCGTGAGGGATCTGTCCTCATAATCCAATACCTCACACCAGGCCCCTCTTCAACACTGGGGATTACATTTCAACATAATACTTGGAGGGGACAATCACCTAAACCATATCAAAAGTTGCACTACAATTGGTGAGATATGGTTTGACTGTGTCCCCGCCCAAAT
Source organism: Homo sapiens (assembly GCF_000001405.40). Taxonomy (NCBI): domain Eukaryota; kingdom Metazoa; phylum Chordata; class Mammalia; order Primates; family Hominidae; genus Homo; species Homo sapiens. The sequence goes on along the minus strand of NC_000004.12, from coordinate 31,957,798 downwards.
CTCGCCTTGAATTGTAATAACCCCCATGGGAAAAGGTCAAGGCCAGGTAGAGATAGTTGAATCATGGGGGCAGCTCCCTCCATACTGTTCTTATGGTAGTGAGTAAGTCTCATGAGATCTGATGGTTTTATAAAGCAGACTTCTCCTGCATATGCTCTCTTGCCTGCCACCATGTAAGATGTCCCTTTGCCCTTCCTTCATCTTCTGCCATGATTGCAAGGCCTCCCCAGCTATGTGGAACTGTAAGTCCATGACACCTCTTTCCTTTATCAATTACCCAGTCTCAAGTATGTCTTTATTAGCAACATGAAAAGGGACTAATACATAGTGACATTGGATAAATTTCTCCCACTAATGGTCTTCTTAAGTGCAAATTTATCACCTACATAGTGACAAAATTTTAAAGAATTCTTCGGAAAAAGAAATACAAGTTGACAATAAAGTCCCATTAATATTTTGATCTGCAAAGAAAGCTGGAGGTTGTCCTTGGTCTTATCAGTTCGCTCCATGATATTAACAATCCCCTGACATCTATAATTAATATTCAGCTCATTAGCATTTTGAAATATTATTTTGTGAACATTCTTCCCAAAAGTATGGTATATTTGTTTTCTTTAACAGGTTTCAGCAAATAAAGTATTGTTTATACTAGAAAAAAATCATACAATTAATTATTTGCCTAATTATTCATAATGTTGCTCTAATAGATCATGCAGCTAAATAATGTCTTAGGAGTAAGATACTTTTAGGTTAAACTTTCCAACACATTTGCATACTTTTCAGTGATAAAATTAAAGCAATCAATGATGAGAAAATGTTTTTGAAAAAAGCATATAAAATACAAAATAAGTCAGATGTAACCCCAAAATATGGAAAATACAGAAACAAATAATAATTGTGATATTTTAATATTCTAAAACAAATAAAATATAATGGATTCTAAGTTAAATCTATATTTAAAACATGTTTTAAACATGAAAAAATAAAGCCAATATATTAAGATTTGCTATATGCTTAAACACAGTTGATCACCTGAAATTTTTTCTAATTGTGTAACTATTTATTTTTCCAAAAATGTGATACTGTTTTTAATTGCCTAATGAATAATTAAATGAAATTGTTTATAATATTGAAAAGAATTTTTAAATTTTTTTGAGTTTCTGATCTCAGTATTACAGTTAAGTAGAAATTATGCTGTTAGGTTATTATGTATAGGTAATGTGTGATAATTAAATTCTTTTTTGAGAAAACTTATTTTTGTATGAGTCTCCCAGCATCTATCAATGATGTAATATCAAGTTAAAAGGGAAAAGAGAAGTGCTGCTTCACTTTTGAGAAAGAAGCTACAACTTCCTTCTCTCTTGCACTAAATACTTGTCCCCTGAAAGTGTTATTGACACTTACTTATACTTATCTGTACCTCAATTTCCTGAATTATAAAATGGGATTTTAGAACTAAAATATTGAATATACTAATATTAAAAGGCTCAAAATAATTTTTCTTATTTTTCTTGCCTTAGAGTTTATATTAAGACTGTTGATTTGATTCTGTTAGTGTTTTTTTTCCAATTCTGAAAATATGACACTTCTTCAAGAATTGCGTGTGTGTGTGTGTGTGTGTGTGTGTGTGTGTGTATGTGTTTGTTGGTTTTCTTCTCCATGGGGACAGGTATTATTCTTCTATTATTGTTAATATGTAACCAAATTAAACTTATGTAATAAATAAAATCTTCACACTAATAAACATTAATGCAATTAATCAAAATTTTTAAAAATCTGTATTTGCAGTTACTTAATCTACTTTCGTTTCATAATTAAAATATTCATTTTCACTTATTCATTCTCATTAATTTACTATGAGAATACCTTCTGTTAATTGAAAATATATCTGCATCTCAGTGTTTTTGTCCTTTCCCTTATGTCTTATGTCATGGTTGATATATAAGATATATATAAGACACATAGTAAAATACATATAAGGGAAAGTTTTTCACACACAATGTAACATATAAGATACAAGAAACAGAAATGATAAAACCTATGTGAACTGCTTGATTTCCCAAGTGACTCTGCCACTGATTAGTATATATGCATTTGTAGACAGACCGTAAATTTGGAAGAGTTAGCTTTTTTAAAAAAAATCCTATCTTTTGGCACACCAGCAAGAACAGGTGTCACAAAATGTACAGAGACATGTGGAGTCAATGTGGCAAAGCTGTCAGAAAAGATAGACTTCCCTGTGCTCTTCCAACTTCACAGATGTTGTAAGGAAAATTCTGCAAGATGCCTTGCTTAAACTTCATATTACCTAGCTCCTCAGGCTGCTGCCAGTGCTGCCAAGGGTCCTACCAATCCTTGAGTAGGCCGTATGCCATGGAAACAGATGGGCAAAATTACAAGGCACTACAATATAAGTCCTGAAGATGAAATATATGTTTCTAAAGATTGTCATCTCAGGTGGGAACATTGAAATGACTGCTATGTGTAGAGCAGGTATTTTTATCAGTGGCAAATTCAAGTTAGTTTTAAAGGAAAACAAAACTAAAAAAAAAATTGTAAAACCACTTCTATATTATATAACCTGATTGCTCCTAGTTACTCTATTTCTCAGAGTACTAACAGCATGCATTTTTCTTCCATATTTCTAATTCATTATTTTCCTAAAGAACTCACTATTGCTTATTAAAAGCAATAGTGTTCCTTCTTTCTTTCTTTGCTTCTTCACACCTACATTCTTCACACGTCTCCTTACACACTTATACTTCTTATTCAATCTTGCTCCATTTGACTTCATAAAGCGTAACAACAACAGTAACCGCTTTCTACACAAACAACATTGATTTTTCTGTCTAGTCTATAGTCTAGTCTGTAACACATAAGTAAACTCTTTTTACAATTTAACTCTAATAGGTAGGGACAGCTCCTGTACCATAGGAGTTAGTAAGCTCTCGGCATAATGTGATTTCTTTACCCATCTACCCTGGGAGTTTTCTTCTTTACTATTTTGTTGTTATTGTTGCTCTTGAAGTCTTTCTCATTCTTTAGGTCCAACTGAAGTGCCATTTTTCTTGGGCAAATTAACACAACTTTTTTTTTTTCTGTATTCTCACTGTATTTTTTTTTTTTTTTAGAATTCAACAATAATTCTTATTTCATTCTTCCTTGTGTTATAAGTATTTTTGGTACTTCCCTTTCTCTGTAGTCAAAATATAATCATACTTTGCAGGGACATTGTTTGGCTTAACTTTATATTCCTCTTATTATAAGGAAGATTTTGGGTATGTAGTAGAGACTTATTGAATGTTTTCTTACCAAACATTATTTGAATAAAGCATATTTAAATGGACAATAATGTTTTAATTATTCCATGTGAGAAATCTCATAAGATTTCTAACCATGAGCTTTGAGGATATTAAAGATCTCTAAAAATTTTATAAGCACATTTATCAATTTGAATTAGCATTCAATTGATTTAGGGCTAAAAGTCCATCAAATATAACCATAAAGGCAAAGATGTTAGGGTGACTATTAAGTATTTGCTTTATTTTTGGCATAGAATTAAAAACATTCAAATTGTGAAAAAGGAAGATATCTATGAAATATAAAGTAATAAGAAGTAGCTTAATATTCCCTGGCAAGCATAGCACGTCAGACAAAAGAAATAAAAATAAAATGTTTATTACATAAAACTAATGAACTCACTAAAATGTTAAGCTAATCTCTATATAGTTGCAGCTGGAAACTTTTCAAATTTGAAGAACAAAAATATATTCTATTTATTGCTTTTATGTATGTTTTTTGTATATTATTTCATGAATTTTGACTATGAGCAAAATGTAGAAATTATTTTTCCATGGTAAAGTTGAAGAAATAGCATCAGTTAAGAGTTGATTTTTTTTCCACAGGTATATCTAATTCTCAAGTTTAAGCATCATTGATTGCTACGTCTGCACAAAATATAGCCCCCAATCTACAATCTAGTTTTAATAAATTCCAGCAGAACTTTTCCTGCAATATTTTAAGGCTGTGTTTTCACTATGCCTCCACCTCTCCTTTATTAGTGAGACAACAAATTATTTTATTTCGAGTCTCAAAATATACAGAAGTAATAACCTCACTCAAAACATTTGGACTCTATTAAAATAATTAGCTTTATAATTTTAAAATAAGTAAATAAAAATATGTAGCAGTACCTAAATACATTGCATATTTGAAAATATTGTGAAATTCTAAGTAAGTTGCCAAACCTTTGATATTCTTGGGAGAGTCCTACAAACTCATGTGACCTTTTGCTGATCTATAACACTTATGTCAAAACCATTCTTAATGTTGTAATTTCAAATAGAATGTTCAAAACTTGGATTTAGATTCCAGATCTTTGTTGGCATACAATGACACTTCCTTCAAAACAGTCAAAATTAATTAAATGCTTATTAGTTACAATAGGTAGGAAGAAATAAGACAGCTAGTTGCCCATATGACTGTATAGTTAACTAATGTGGAATAGCATCAAACAGATTGATCAGAGAAAAAATAAGTACTAGAAGAATATACTAAGAAATAAGTTATAAAATGCGAGTGATATAGAAAGCAGGAGATATGATTCTTATTGCATGCATAGGAATAGGGTATAAGAACAGGAATAGGAAAAAGGATAGAAGATATGATTCTTATTCTATAGCAGTAAATATGATTCCTATTGGTGGCAACAAACAGCTTATTTAAACAAGGACATCAAATAATCATTGTGAAAATGTGTGTAATTTTCCCTCTTAAATTATGGGTATTTCAAAAAATTATATATAAATTTCAAAAAAATGTCAGATTGGCAGAGAAGCAACATCCTAAAAAGTGAAAACTACAGCACTTTAAAGTTGTGTATAAACAAATGAAACAATGAATGAAAACAAGTTTTAGTAGCTTCCAATTATTTATTGATTATGATGGGGCAAGCTATGTATCAAAGACATTATATACTTTCATAGGTTGAATTCTGTAACTAATCTGTAGGATAAGTGTCAGACACATACTTTCACATATACATTTTATAAATAAAGATACAGACTCAGTTTAAGTAGCATGCTCAGGAAAATATGGGTAGTAAATTGGAGCTTCAAAATTTTAACTCAGATTTACTGATTTCAAAGCCTTTCATTATAAATCTAAGAGGCAGATGCACAGAAATATGTTTGTCTGCAAAGAGTTATGCATTTTTATGACTGTATTTAAAGAAGTAATACATTGCCAAAGACATAAAGGTTGTATACCTAATGTGTTGTGATTCATTGTATATTTAATCTATTTGTAACAGTCCTTGGTGCACAGTAAAAACTCAAAAAATATTATTTTAATTTTTATTATTGATACAATGCTGAACAATTGAAAATACAAGATTTTAAAAAAGGAAAATTTTATTCAAGTCATATACTTGTAAAAAGGTAGATAACTGAGGTCTAACACTAAATCTATTTTAGTTTCTTAATTATTCAATTTAGTGGGGTAGATGACCAAAATGAAGCAAATAGTGACCATGTAGTAACTATTTTCAGGAATGTTTATACACAGCTTATTTCTTTATAGCAACGGTGAACCAATTTAAATTAGCATCACCTCTACCTAGCACTACAGAAAATTGACTGATACAAGAGTGTTGGAGGTGTCAAAGCATAGATTGCATGATAACACACAGCAGGCAAACCTAGTCTTTCGCCTGAATATGATATGCTTATCCAAGTTGTAGTGGTGATTGCACAAATCTATGACTTACAATAATTTCCTTGCATTTAATCTATTCAATATTTAACGTATAAAAATTGTATAGATGGATTATATTGAGTATATCATATTTTTATTCTAATATGTGTAAAACATAGGTATTTCCACTAGAAAAAAAGTGTTATCTATTTTATCAAAATATAATATTAAGCTTATTAAATTATATTATAATCTTTATTATAGGATTTAGCCAGACTATAAGAGGATTGCTGCTCTTCCTTGACTATAAAACCAAGTACAAACATAAAGAATCAAAGTTAAAAAGAGGGCTGTTAGAATTCCTTTGAAGAATGTAAAAAGACTCAATTTTTGCTACCATGGCGGTGGAGTGAAATTGGAGATTATCCACTATGGGAGTAGCGAGGTTTTAAGGTGAGGCATTCAAAAAGCTCTTCTTTGAATACATTTGTTGTGCTTTTGATCTTTTCTGGGGAATAAAAAAAAAAAAGAGAAAAAAAATCACATGTTATGCCGAATATGACAAGAGCTTTAGACATAACTGGAATTGCACTGCATTAAATCTATTGCATTAAAAGATATAAATATTGCACAAGTGATGGTTTGGAAGTAGCTGAATGGTAGTCAAGTGTAAAATGTACTATCTATTTTTTTGCACAATTTCTCAAATGACATGAGCAGTACAGAATTCAGTGCAGTGGTTGTAACCAATTTTATGAAATTTATTGACAATTGAAATAGTCTTATAGCAAGATATATTCTGACAGCTGTTCTCTGATATGGTCTGCTTTCTAGACAGCAGTCAAATGACAGTTTTGTTGTTTTTTTTTTTACTATTGCTGTTATGTTTTCTGTAGTTGCAACATAGCATATTTAGATATTCTGTTGTCAATACTGAAAATAAAAATACATAATGAGACCACCTACTTCTTCATTTTACAATCTGTTAACAATGGAGATAAATTTATAATACTTTTGGCAAATCTGTGTTGAAATCTCTCTCTAACATGCAATAAGGAAATAAATACTTCAAAGGATAAATGGGGTTCACCGTAAGCTTGAAAATCAAGAAAGTTACATGTATCTAAATTGCCATCCAACTAAACAGGCTATTTCAATTAAATAATAATTGCATTTGAAAAGAGCAGTTTCAGTTCTTTTTATAAGGATTCATGAGCATTCAAGGAAGATGAGTCTTCTTGGTTCTCATAGGAATGACCTTTCCACATGAATCAACTCTCTTTTTAATATTCCCAAAAAACTTCTTTTCCTTCCATGTGAAAAAAGGAAAATTGTAATAACTTTAGATATCTTGACAAACACTTTCTTAAACACTGCCTGACAGGTACATTGATGATTTCTGGAAAAAGATTAAAATGAAAACCCATTAGTGGGAAAAGGAGAGAAACTGAATTATCGATGTCCAGGCAGAAAGATCATCTGTTGAGATAAAGTCAACACGGAAAACATGCTTAAGGAACACCAGGATTTTCCAGCCCAAAACCCTCATTTAGGCCAATGTTACTCCTGAACTGGAAAAAGAAAGCATGTGTTTCACCTTGCTAGTAAGCTGAGATTTGTATTCGAATTGTTGTGACCGTATGCTTATAAGACAAAACATGTGCATATGTGAGGCTGTGTCGGCATTTGGCGGAAAAGTGAAAAATTCGTCAGGAATTTGTCTTATTTATATAATTTCTATCAGACATCCAGCTAGTATAAAAATAAAGAGACCTTTTTTTCAATTACCTTTTTACAATAGCGATATGTGGGATTATGGGATGACTCTTGTTGGCCACTGTTCTGGTAATAAGTTTCAATCAGGCTTTGACCAGTCACTTACAGTTGAGATTTGACTTTGCCACTACTAAGACCTGTACCTAGTGCTTCTCAATTCCCATACCATGGCTTCTCTAACACTGTGGTGTGTGTTACATCTGCAGGAATTCTTTCACATTCTAGCACAAGCAGCATACAAGTGCAGCAGAGTTAACACCTGAGGAACCAACCTTGACCAATGGGAGAAAGAAGTCAAGGGATACATTCTTTCACTTATTGTCTCCTGGGAAAATAGTTTTGAGATGCATAATGCTTCTCTGACCTACCTGTGAGATTGGGCACTAGGCACCTGCAGTGGTGGCCAACTCAATAACTATGTTCATAAAGTGGTTTCCTTTCCTTTTATTTAAACTACTGGTCTCCTAACCTTTTTACTAGAACCTGCTAGTCTTTGTCTTTGGAGAACCCAAGGTAAGTTAGTGGATGCATCTTGTTAGAGTAAGTGATATAATGTTTTTCTAGGTAATGACTTTTTCTTAACTGTCTATCTGGTAGTTCCTCTATATCTGAAAATCTATGAATATTAGTCAATTTTGTGTTTTTGTTTGTTTTTAATAGTTATACCATCAGCCTTCCTTATATGCAATTTTCACATCTGCAAATTCAACCCATCTTGGATTGGAAAGATACAAAGCAATAATAAAAATGAATATCTATTAGAAATATAACAACTATTTACACATAATTTATATTAGATTAGATAATATGCATAATCTAGAGAAGATTTAAAAGTACACAGTAGAATGTACATAGGTTATATAAAAACACACCATTTTATATCAAGACATGTTATCCTCTAGGGGGACGGGGACACCCTGGAGCCGATCCCCCTATGGATACTTAGGGCCACTGTACCACATTAAATTGAGCCATCCTAAAATACTTTTATTCCTTGCCATTGTCTATGCAATAAAGTCCAAATTCTTTAACCTGACTCATGAAACATTCAGGATCCCCGGAATGCATTTCTGGCGTTCTTTCCTGTCACCAGCCACCAGCAACCACCCCTTCAACAAACACACACATTAACACAAAAGGCAGACACTCATATACAAACGCACAAAGTCTACACTTTAACAAAACCAAAATAACATTACTCACTGTTCTCACAGCCCATTATGCATTTCCATGTTTCTTGGCCTTTCTGTATCTTATTTGATTCTATAATGAATGATCCCCTATTTGACATCAAATACATCTACTATTTATTTTGAATATCTAACACGGAATCTTTTTATCTCTCAAATAAATTTATATGATTGTCAATGAACTTATAAAAACTTTTTCTATGTGGCCTATACAAACAATGAAATAGAAATCCTATCATTTGCAGCAGCATGGGTGAAACTGGAGGTCATTATGTTAAATGAAATAAGCTAAACACAAAAAGAAAAATATTACATATTTTCACTCATATATAGGGGCTAAAATACTGTAGCTTATGAAAATATAGAGTGGATTGGTTACCAAGGCTGGGAAGGGTAGGGCAGATGGGAAATGAAAAGAGGTTGATTAATGGGGACCAACAAACAATTTGATAGAAGAAATAAGACATGGTGTTTGATAGATCAGTAGGGTAAATATAGTTCACAATAAACTGTTATAAATTTCAAAATGCTAGAAGAGAATTATTGCCAATGTTCCTAGCATAAAGGAAAGACAGATATTTAAGGTGACAGACATCTCAATTAAACTGATTTGATCTTTAAACAGATATGGATGTATTAAATTATCATATGTACCCCAAAATATGTACATCTGATATAAATAGGCTTTGTGTCTCCACCCAAATCTTATCTTGAATTGTAATCCTCAGGTGTTGAGGGAAAGACCTCATGGGAGGTGACTGAATCATCGGGGTGGTCTTCCCCCGTAATGTTCTCATAATAGTAAGTGAGCTCTTTCAAGATCTGATGGTTTTATAAGGGGCTCTTTCCTCTTCATTTTCTCTCTTGCATGCCACTAAGTAAGATGTGCTTGCTTCCCCTTCAGCCCTGATTGTAAGTTTCCTGCGGATCCTAGACATGCAGAACTGTAAGTCAATTAAACCTTTTTCCTTTATAAATTACCCAATCTCAGGAAGTTCTTTACAGCAGTGTCAAAATAGACTAATACAACATTTATTATAAATCAAACATTTTTTTTAAAGTTTTCATGTGCTGACTGTATAATTCAATATTTAAATAAGTGCTTATTTTAGTGTATTGCATATTAAACTGAGGACAGGGCTTTGTTCTGTTTATAGTTCTATCTCCAATGTGTCAGAGAAGATGGGTTATAAATATTTGAGAATAAATTAATAATTGAATTATGATAGAATTTAGACCTCTCCTAAATATCTAATTTCTCTGTAGAGTTCTTCATACTGATAACATTGGTTGAACTCTTATTAAATAAATGAAAGAGCATATCTCCATATTATGGCTCAGCAAAATAAGTTTGTTTTACATGCTTTAATTTCAAAGTTTTCAGGTTACTTCTATCATATTATAAACTCTTTTATAATATGCCTATTACATGTAAGGCACTGAGACAAGCACTTGGGAACAAAGAAATAAACATAGTGCTTCTTTTCTTAAACAGTTATTTAGAAAAATAATTGTTTTCTTGCACTCTAATTTCAGTCTAAGTGAGGAAACCAGAAATTAACATCTGAATAGGTGTGTTAGGACTTTTTTACTTTACCAAAAAAAAAATAATAACAAAAACTGGGTAATTTATAAAGAAAAGTGAGTTAATTGACTCATGGTCCTGCAGGCTGTAGAGGAGGCATGGTACTGGCATCTACTGGGCTTCTGGGTAAACCTCAGGGAAGCAGAAGCAGGCATGTCACATGGTGAGAGCAGGAGCAAAGAGGGGTGGTGTCACATGGTGAGAGCAGGAGCAAAGAGGGGTGGTGTCACACACTTTTAAACAACCAGATCTCTCAATGACTCACCCTCTATCATAAGGACAGTGCTAAGCCGTGACATATCCACCCCCATCACCCAAGAACCTCCCACCAGGCCACACCTCCAACACTGGGAATTACATCTCAACCTGAGATTTGGAGAAGACATTCAAACTGTATCATTCTATTTCTGGCCCAAAAAAATCTCATGTCCTTCTCACATTGCAAAATACAATCATGCCTTTCCAAAGTTCCCTAAAGTCTCAACTGATTCCAGAATTAACTCAGAAGTCCCAAGTTCAAAGTCTCATCTGGTGATGAGTTCCATTCATCTATGATTGTGTAAAATTATAACAAGTTATTTACTTCTAAGATACTATTGGAGTATAGATACTGGATAGACACTGCCATTAAAAAAGGGAAAAGTTAGCCAAAAGAAGAGATCTAGAGGCCCCACGTGAGTCTGAAACCCAGCAAGGCAGTCATTAAATCTTAAAGCTCCAAAATGATTTCCTTTGACACCATGTCCTACATCTAGGGCACGCTTGTGCAAGGGATGGGCTCCCAAGGCCTTGGACAGCACCACCCCTGTGGCTTTGCAGGGTTCAGCCCCACCCCTGTGGCTTTGCAGCGTTCAGCCCCACCCCTGTGGCTTTGCAGGGTTCAGCTCCCCTGGCTGCTCTCGAGAGATGACATTGAGTGCCTGTGGCTTTTTCCAGATGACAGGTGCAAGCTATCACTGGATCTGCAATTCTGAGGTCTGGAAGATGGTGGCTTCTTTCCTACAGCTCCACTAGGCAGTGCACTGGTGGGGACTTTATGTGGAGTCTCCAACTGCACATTTCCCCTCTACACTGCCTAGCAGAAGTTCTCTGTGAGGTCTCCGCCCCTGCAGCAGACCTCTGCCTGGGCACCCAGGCTTTCTCGTATATCCTCTGAAATCCTGACAGAGGCTGCCGAGTCTCTTTCATATTTGCACTCTGTGCACTTACAGGCTAACACTACATGGAAGCTGCCAAAGCTTGTAGCTTGCACACTTTTAAGGGGTGGCCAGAGTTATATCTGAAGCCCTCTGAACCAAGGCTGGAACTGGAATGGCTGTCATGTGAGGAGCACTCTCCTGGGATGGTGCAGAGCAGTGGCATCCCAACACTGGCCCATGAAGCCATTCTTTTCTTGTAGGCGTCTGGGCCTGTGATGGGAGGGTTTCCTCAAAGATCTCTGAAATACCTTCAAGGCCTTTTTTTCCATTGCCTTGGCTATTGGCATGTGGCTCCCTCCTAGTCACGCAAATCACTCTACCAAGTGGTTGCTCCACAGCTCACTTGTATTCCTCTCCTGGTAATGTTTTTTCTTTCTTTGCCACATAGGCTACAGATTTTCTAAACTTTAATTCCGTGATTCCATTTTAATTATAAATTCCAACTTTAAGTTATTTATTTGCTCCCACATCTGAGTGCAACCAGGCCACCTCTTAAATGCTTTGCTGTTTAGAACTTTCTTTTCCATATGCCCTAAGTCATCATTTCTAAGTTCACACTTTCATAGATACCTAGGGCATGAACACAACACAGCAAAGTTTTTTTTTGCTAAGGCATAACCAGAGTGACCTTTGCGCCAGTTGCCAGTAAGTTTCTCATTTCCATCTGAGACCTCATCAACCTGGACTTCTATATTAGCCCATTTTCACACTGCTATGAAGGCATTCCCAAGACTGGGTAATTTATAAAGAAATGAAATTTAATTCACTCAGTTCTGCATGGCTGGGGAAGCCTCAGGAAACTTACAATCATGGCGAAAGGAAAAGAGGCACATCTTACATGGTGACAGGAGAGAGAGAGAGAGAGAGCAAATGAGTGAAGGAGGAAAAGCCCCTTATAAAATCGTCAGATCTCATAAGAACTCACTCATTATCACAAGAACGGCATGACAGAAACTGCCCCCATGATCCAATCACCTCCCACCCGGTCCAGCCCTCAACACATGGGGATTATGGGGATTACAATTTGAAACAAGATTTGGGTGGAGACACAGAGCCAAACCATGTCAATTTCACCATCCATATCACTGTCAGCATTTTCGATAAAACTATTTAACTAGTCTCTAAGAAGTTCCAAACTTTCTCTTAGCTTCCTATTTTCTTCTAAGCCTTCCAAATTATTTCAACTTCTTTCAGTTACCTAGTTCCAAAGTTTCTTCGACATTTTCAGGTATCTTATAGCAATGCCCCACTCCTTGGTACCAATTTTTCGTGTTAGGCTATCTTACATTGCTATAAAAAATACCAGAGACGGGGTAATTTATAAAGAAAAGAGATTTAATTGTCTTATAGTTCTGCAGGCTGTATAGGAAGCATGGCACTAACATCTGCTCAGTTTCTGGGGAGGCCTCAGGGAAGCAGAAATAGGCATGTCCCCTGGCAAGAGAGGGGTCCCGGGAGGTATCACATACTTTTAAACAATCATATTTGTCAAGAACTTACCCACTATCACAAGGAAAGCATCAAACCATGAAGGATCTACCCCCATGACCCAAACACTTCCCACCACACCCCACCTCCTGAGAGAGATTATATCTCAATATGAGAGTTGGAAGGGACATCCAGACTCTATCAGTAAGTAATTTAATGACAAGTTATGATGTGTGATATAAAGATAGTGAACAGCTTGTAAAGAGAAAGATCAGCTTTAAAGAGGTGAGGGACAGCTTAATTTAATAATTGACTGTGAAGCTATATGAAGAGGAGGGGGAAGACAATTTACAGCAGAAGGGAAGGTATATAAAAAAATTCTGATGTGGCAAAAAACTGATTATCTTCAAAGAACTAATGGAAAAATGGTGTGGATAGACTTGGTGAAGCAGAGGAAGAGCTGGTAAGGCATGTATTCAGACAGGAAAGTAAGGCCAGACCAGGTTAACATAGGCTATCTTCAAAATTGGGCTCTGTTTGGGGTGCAGTGGGATGTTTTTGAAGGTTTTGAAGTACAAGTGTTACAATATGTGCTGAATACTTTATAAATAATTGGACATACTACTCTGGAGAACAGAGGGGAAGAGATTACGAGTAGAATATAAGTTAGCAGTTAGATAAATGTATCTGCAGCTAACAGAAAAGTTGCACATGAGATACAAATTTGTGAGTCAATATTTAAATTTTATTTCAAAGAAAGTAAATAGATCGGCTCACCAAGGGAGAAAATGAGAGAAAGAAATAAGGGGAAGACTATCCCAGAGAGGATTCAGCAAAGGCAAACCCAGACTGTCCAAGAGAAATTCTAAAATATTTAGTGTTCCAGAAACTATAAGATGAAAATGTTTGAAGATATTGAGGAGTATTAGCTATGTCATGTACTTTTGAGAAGTTCTAGAAAGTTTATCACCAAGTTCATTATTTGAAATTGGTAAGGGCCAGGTACAGTGTTTCACCCCTGCAATCCCAGCAGTTTAGGAAGGCCAGGAGGGCACATTGCTTGAGCCCAAGAGTTCAAAACCAGCCTGGGAAACATGGCGAATACCCATCTCTTCATAAAATACAAAAATTAACAGGACATGGTGGCATGCACCTGTAGTCCCAGCTACATGAAAGACTGAGGTGGGAGGATCTCTTGAGCTGAGGAAGTTGAGATTGCTGTGAGCCAAGATTGTGCCACTGCACTCCAGCCTGGGCAACAGAGCAAGAGTCTGTGTCAAAAAAAAAGAAAAAAGAAAGAAAGAAAAGAAAAAGAAATTGGCAAAATGTAGGCCGTTGCCAATTTTAGAAGAAAGTGATTTCTACTTACTTGGTGAGGAAAACATCAGATATGAATGACAGAATGTTAAGAATGAGTTGTATTGTATATTTATTTATTTTTTGTAGTAAGTTTGTTTGCCTACAATGAAGCAAATGCTGGGTGCTTCAGCAGTATGGCAACAAGGATATGAAAATCAGGGTGAGCCAGTCAGAGAGTCAGAGAAGACTTTTTACATAAAGCAATTGCTTAGCTCCTTTCCTAGAAATGAATAAGAGCTATTCAGCCATTGTTGACAGATGGAACAACACTGGGACAAGGTGGAAGCAAAAGGGGAAATTATAATGAATTGGGGGAGTTTTCACACAACCTTCATCCATTAAGGCATGAGAGCTTACCATTTCCTCAGAATAGTATCCAAATTCATCAATTCAGTTAAGTTCAGATTCATATTTTTCTTCATATATTCTCTTTTGAATGCATGGGAATTGGAGGGATTGAATCTCTGCAGGAGTACTAGATCCACAGGTTAATTTGCAAATAAAATTTTAGTAAGTATTCTTCTGCAAATATTTAACTATGTTTGATCTTCAATTTTTGTGGGCTTTTTAAAATTTTTAAATGTAGTTGTGTTTTCTAAAGTCAAATTAAAATACCTATTTTTGCAAGTTATAGTTTGATTTATGCCAGCTCAGTTCAATTTGCAATCTAACAATATATATATTTAAAATATGCTATTATTTAAAATACTAGAAATTAAATATCATATTCATTTTCTGTATAACTTTTTAAGGTCCTTTATTGGAGGAGAATATTATTACTTTATATGTAAGTTTCTTCTATTACTTTTCTTAAAGGATCAGTGATAATAAGATGCCCAGGTACATTAAAGAGTGAATGATGTGCTAAATTTTTAAGGGAACATTCAGGCAGGTGGTCTCTAAGAAAAATCTACACTCTTGAGAGAGGTTTTTATTGGGTATTCTGATGAACATTTTATATTGTCACTATGTCTTCAGTAACAGAATATGTTTTCTAGGAACATCTTTGGCTATAAATTCTGGAAACAGTGGGATTGATTTATCATTTTTGATCAGAACCCAATAAACTGAAAAGAGAAAGACTCATTTTCATTTCAACATTCTGGAGAATAAGGCACTGACACACAAAAGTCATACAACTATATGACCTTAGTTTGGAAAAGTAATATTAAGAAGGAATCTTGCCCCCAGTTGCATGACTTGGGATTTTTTTGTCTCTAGTCCTCAATATAATACTGAAATACACATTATTGAATTAGTTTATTGTCAATGAAAATAAGGAGCATATGAAAAATTATTGTTAAGATGATCTTGATTAATTGCTTCTCTATCCTTGTAAAGAACAATGCATAACAGCAACAAAAAATGAAAAAATAATTTTCTTATAACTATTGTGGAAACAACATTTGCATTTAAGTGAGGTCAAATTGATTATTTCCAATAAAAACTTAATAAACAATTTCTTAAATTATGATATTACACTGTGGTCTTTTTAAATTTCTTCATTTCTTTTTTTAAAAGTTACCTATTTCTATTGAATCTATATTTATTAAATCAAGTGGTGTTAATAAACAAGCAATTACTTTTCAAAACTTGACTGTTTTCAAGACCTAGAACAAAAATCGTTACTTTAACTGATAGAAATAAAGCTGAATTATTACATATTTAAGTAAATAATAGGTATAGAATATTTTTAATATAGAGATGCAGATACTGGAAGCTAGATATAGTCAAAGGGACGTGGATAAACTAGAGTCAGGGAGCTAGCTTGTTCGCTAGCAGCTTGGACCTTGGTGGTTACTACCTATTTCCCCAAGGAGCAGTGTGCAAATCATAGAAAAACATATTAGTTGGTATATATTAGTTTGCTTGGGCTTCCCTAACAGAATATTACAGACTGGGTGGCTTAAGCAAGAGCCATTTATTTTCTCCCAGTTTTGGCGGCTAAAAGTCCAAAATCAAGGTGCTGGCAGGGTTGGTTTCTGGTGAGGCCTCTCTTCCTGGCTTGCAGGCAAGCCACCTTTTCACTGTGTCCTCAAGCTGTCTGATCTTTATGAAGGTACAGAGAGAGAGAGAGCAGAGAAAGAGAATCTGCTATTTCTTCTCTTTTTATTAAAAGGACACCAGCTCTACTGAATTACATCCCCACCCTTATAACCTCATTTAACCTTAATTACCACCTCAAAGGTCTTATCTCCAAATACAGTCACTAAGAGTTCGAGCTTCAACCTCTTAATTTTAAGGTGACACAAGTGAGTTCATAACAATAGGTACAATTTTAGGGGGTCAGCATTTATTCCAGATAAGTGCCCAAGCCAATGATGTTTTCAGTCACCAATGGGCCACATTAAGTGAATAAACTGTAGATTTGAATAGTAAACTGAGAACTATTTTCACGTGCTGTTTCCAAACTCTTAAATTTATTTCCACTTGAGTAGTGCCATTTATTGAATCTTTGACAATGAATTGCAGCTTCTTAGTTAACAATAATTTTTTGGTTAATCATATTTTTCCATAAAAAGTGGATATTTGATGTGCTTAAATCTAAATCCTTATTTTAAAAAAAACTGATTTTGGCTCTGTGTTCCTTCCAATTCCATTTTCAAAGACTGTACTTATATTAATACTTATATTCACTACCGTGAAAAATATATAGGAAGCAAAATTTTTAAATGCTGTTGGGCTAGGGACAGTGGCTCATGCCTGTGATCCAATAACTTTGGAAGGCCTAGATTGAGGCATTGCTTGAGGCCAGGAGTTTGAGATCAGCCTGGGCAACATAGTGAGATGCCATTGCTACAATAAATTTTTAAAAATTAGCCCAGTATGGTGGCATGTGTCTGTAGTCTCAGCTACTCAGGAGGCTGAGGAGGGAGGAAACTTGAGCCTAGGAGTTCAAGGCTGCAGTGAGCTATGAACTCCAGCCTGGGTGACAATGTGGGACCCTGTCTCTTCAAAAGACAAAGTAAAATAAAATAAAGTAACAAATATGCCTTTTATATTATCTATTTCTTCAGACTCCATCTTCTAATAAAACACATAGAAAATGCATTGAGTACAAAGTCTTAATGAATTACCAGGTTTTTAACTAGCTGTAGCTACAAATTATTCTCTTTTCATCTTTCTAAGAATTTTAATTTTGAAGGCCTCTGGATGACTGTCTAGGTTATGTTTTTTTATTATCTATAAATTTATTATATTTATGTTTTTGACATTTCAATATTGTTGCACCAAGAAACATTCAAAATATTGGGAGAGGATATAGGAAAAAATATGAAGAAAACGGATTGTAGTAATAGAGCTGTAAAATATACAGGTATAGGAATCACAGTGAACTTTTAGAACTTGAGAAATTTTTTTACAAAGACAATGTCTTGTTAGTTGAACTTATAGAAAGGAGAGTATTTTAATAGATAAGAAAGTAGTTGACCAAAATATTCCTACTTTTTTCCACCAGGAGTAACAGAAAATATATGATATTCTGAGTTAATTAAGTTTTGTTTAAAACTGAAAACATTTATAATTTTTTAAGAGAAACCTAAAAATTCTGTTGGCATACATTTTTATATGTGATTTTTCAACAAAAATTAAATTTTGAAAGTATCACTTAAGGCTGGGCACTGGGCCTCATGCCTGTAATCCCGGTACTTTGGCAGGCTGAAGCAGGTGGATCACCTGAGGTCAGGAGTTTGAGACCAGCCTGGCCAACACGGTGAAACCCTGTCTCTCCTAATAACACAAAAATTACCCGGGCAGGGTGGTGCATGCCTGTAATCCCAGCTACTCGGGAGGCTGAGACAGGAGAATGACTTGAACCTGGGAGGCGGTGGTTACAGTGAGCCAAGATCGTGCCACTGCACTCCAGCCTGGGCAACGAAGAGTGAAACTCTGTGTCAAAAAAAATATATCATTTAAATAACACCAATCTATCTGCGTATAATTTTGATGAAATAACTGGTACTGGACTTGCCCTGCCAAGTGTACAAGTGTAAAATTTGACACAATAAATAAGAGAACTGTTCAAGTATTGGAAAACAAACAGCATATGACTGTGATCTTTTGCATAAGTAAGCTGCTTATTTTTTTGCCTGGAGTCACTCTATGGACTACTACACAAAGAAGAGAAACCCGAGCAGAGCAACTCGGTTTTGGCATCCACCTGCTTAGCAAAGCCTAACATCATTTAAAGGACAACAACAATATCCAGTGAATTGGTAACATAAAACATGAGGTAAACTATTTATTCAAAGATTACTAGATATGCAAAGAAGCAGGAAATATGACCCATAACTAGGGGAAAGTTAATCAATTAAAACAGCATTAAATGACAAAGATAAAATTATTAGATGGTTGTATAAAAGAGCTATTACAAATATATTTAAATATTTGAAGGAAAATCAAGTTGGTGATAGAAATGGATGATATAAAAATAACAAAATGCAATACCTTGTACTCAAAAATACAGTATTAAAAGTAAAAAATAAATCACAATATAGTCAGTTTAGTATCTCCAGAAAAAAAAAAAAGATTAATGAACTTGAAGATAGAACCTACATAAGTAGATTCTACCAAGTAGAAACTGCCAAGAATCTACGTAATCTATAAAACACAGAAGGAATAAAAGGCAGAAAAAGATTAATAAAAACATAGTCTGATGTGCATAGTATTAAACAGATTCATATAAATATTGTTGAACTGCTTGGAGAGAAGAGGAAAATTGGAGCAGAACAATATTTAAAGAGAATGATTAAATTTCAAAAAATTGATACAAATATAAAGATAAGATTATTAAAGTTTTAATAATGAAGACAGTATGCTTTCAGCATAAAGGTAAGCAAAGCAGATAAACAATACCCAAATAATAGCTCAGAAATAGTCCATATTTCTACAATCACTTGATTTTCAGTCAAGCCACTAAAGCAAAAAGATAAAATTGATCAAATAGACTTCCTTACAATTAAAAAATTCTGAGAATTAAAACTCCAATAAAGAAGGTAATAGACAAGCCAAAAATTAAGGAAATATTTGTAAAATATATTTCAGACAAGATACTTGGATCTAGAACATATAAACCCTACTTATAAGTCAATACTAGTAAGACAAATGACTCAATTTAAAAAATAGAGAACTTAGATAAGCATTGTACATAAAGTATTCAAAATTACATGTCATCAAGGAAACACATATTAAAACCATAATGAAATACTGATATATATCCACTAGAATGGTTAAAGTGTAAAAGATTGACACCATCAAGTTACTGACTATTAGAAGCAACCAGATATGCATATCTGGTGAGAATATACACTGGAAAAACAACTTTGTAAATCAGGTTTGGCAATTTTTTATGAAGTTAAACACACACCTGCCATATGACATACCAATTTGGCTTCTAGCATTTTTCCCAAGAGAAATGAAAACATATCGGTACAAAAAAATACTTGTACACAGATGAGCACATCAGCTCTATTCATAATAGTCAAAACTGGAGACGACTCAAATGTCTATGAAAATGAGAATGGATAAACAAATTATTTTATAGGTAAATAGTTGAGTATGAAAAAATAAAAAGTGGCCAAGCTATTTATGTACATGACAGCATGTATAGATCTCAAAAACATTAGGTTGAGTGAAAGTAGCCAGACAGAAAAGAATGCATGCTGTATGATTTTATTTATTTGAAGTTCTAAAGCAGAAAAAACCCACAAATATATGGCTAAAGAAACCAGAACAGTCTCTATTGTTGAGGGTGGAATTTTCTTGGAAGTCTCTTAAGTGATTTTTCTGAGGAGATGAATTTGCTATATACGTTAACTGACAGTCAATGCACATGTAAGCAACTGACAAAACTCACAGAACTGTACTGTATCATGCACATACATATGTACACACACATAGACAAACATTTTAATACATGTGTCAACATATACATTTGGTATATTTAATACAATTTGTTTATTTTTTTATAATTCTGAATAAAAATATTAGCTACAAGAATATCTATTACTTCTTTTAACATCACAATCTAAGTCCTTAGGTCCTTCATTACTAATCAGAAATTTAAAAAAAATTCTTTCCAAACTATAATTTATTTATCTCGTACAATTAAATAAGCGAATCCAATCAAACCAAACCAAATAAAACAATGAGGAGAAAGGAAAACACACCATATTTTCCATGGGTACATTGCATTCATACATTTTTTTCGACTACACTGGGCAGTATGTTCTTTTCCTATTACTGCACTCTTCTCTTCTCAGTGATCAAAATGAAGATTTGGAAAAAAAAAAAAAAAAAAACAGAAGTAGATCTTGACATTAGAGTTGCCATACAGTGAAACAGGTTTTATTTTATTTTATTATTTTTCCTGTGGATATTCTTTCATTATGAATTTCAATAGTTTTGGGGGTACAGATGTGTTTTGGTTACATGGATGAGGTCTTTAGTGGCAAATTCTGAGATTTTAGTGCACCCCTCACCAAGCAGTGTACACTGTGCCCAAATGTAGTCTTTTATCCCTCACCCCCTCCCAATCTCCTCCCCACCTGGAGTCCCCAGAGTCCATTACATCACTCTGTATGTCTTTGCATCCTCATAGCTCAGCTCCCACTTATAAGTGAGAACATGCAGTATTTAGTTCTCTATTCCTGAGTTACTTCATTTAGAATAATGGCCTGCAAGGAACTCAAACAAATCAGCAAGAAGAAAACAAATAATCCTATCAAAAAGTGGGCAAAGGACGTTTCTCAAAAGAAGATATACAAATAGCCAACAAACACATGAAAAAACATCACTAGTCACCAGGGAAATGCAAATTAAAACCACGATGAAATACCACCTTACTCCTGCAAGAATTGCCATTACTAAGAAGTTAAAAAAAAAGATATTGGCATGGATATGATGAAAAGGGAATACTTTTACACTGCTTGGGGGATGGAAATTAATATAACCACTATGGAAAATAGTATAAGAGTTCCTTAAATAAATAAGAGTAGAGCTACCATTCAATCCAGCAATCCCATTACTGGGTATTTACCCAAAGGAAAGAGGTTTTAGAAATTAGTCAATTATGAGTGTAATGTATTCCTCCCTGTTCTTTCTGCCTATGGTAGTATTTCTGAAATGGTCTGGAATAGCTATCTTCAAATTCAAACCTTGGTGAATAGTGAATGACTTAAATATATTAACTTAGAAATATCTTAGCAGATTCTTTCATTAGGTTAAGCCTGAATCTATCATATGTAATTTATTCTATTAAATATTGTATGTCATCAGTATATATTCATATCGTATTAATATTATACAGCAAATGGTAAATAAGTAAATGGTTGCTAAATGCCTTCCTGAATAGATAAAACTGTCCTAATACAACATAACCCTTCAATATTATCTTAGAAACTTCTCCCTAAATTCCTGTGGCTCTTCTAAATTTTCTTCCTTCATTGTTCATGTTACTTGGGAGCATGGTGATTGGCTGTTGTATTTGAGAGCCTGGAAGTTTGGAAAGAGAAATTGATAATTAAGTTATCATAGTCACAATGCTTGTTGGCATTAAAATTGATCTGGCCATTCCTTTCTGCAACAAAAATCATTTCAATAAATATCATTTCTCCCTCAGATAGTAGCATATTTCAATAGTCTAAGTGGCACAATTAAAAATTTACCTCAAAGCAACTTAGTATCAGAGAAAAGTGACATATAAATGGAAAATCTGGAGGATGAAGACGTAATATAGATAATGGAGAGATGGTGAGATGATGAGAGTAATGGTACGTTGGCAAAAAATCAAACAGAATGTACAGATCCTAACAAACAAGGCAGACAGCTGGAAATGATAAGGCAAGACTAGATCAAAATTGCATTGCTTCTGGTGCTAAAAATAGAAAGAGTTTATAAAGAGGTAGTTATTGACTGCTGAAATATTACTTGACTATTACTATATTGTTAGTTCCACATAAAAAAGGTTTTAGAAAAATATTAAAATGTGATGAAATAATGAACTACAATTATTTATGGAAATTCCCCAAATTGCAAGTCATAAAAATTCAATTTCATAATAGATAAAATATCCCATTTAGAATATACTTATAACATCTTAATTTTTATGTGCTTATTAGATTTGCATGTAATATATGAACACAGCATAAATGAGAGAGTACACATTATTTTAAAGCCTGCTTTCTTTTTTCTGCTTTAGTTAAGTCTTTTATTAAGGTGTCAAAGTAACCAATGATTTAATAATTTACTATATTTAAAATGTTTTCTACTAAAACCTTATGGTTCATTTAACATTATTTCAAATTGTGTATCTATAAAATTATTTTCCATAATAAAAATTCTGTACATTTGCACTTTGACTTTAAGAGTGTTTGCCGTTTGTTCAGTTTTTGAAATATTGTACCCTTTAAGAATATAGAGTACCTGCAAACAGTTGCTATATCTACATGTAGCTGTACATTTTCAGCTGTTTTATACAGCATGTCTTTATTTTTTAATATGCACACAAATGAATTCCTTTTACAGTAAAAATCACACGCTTTCATGTAGACACTACATAGCCTAAAATAAAAAGAGTTCCTTGCTGTGAAATAGAGACATAAAAATATGTTAACTGGGAGTTATTGTAAAGTTATTTTTTCTAAGCAATATTTTCTTGTTATAATTACTTTTGCTACATCAACCAAACCAACTTAGAATCTCAATCTTTATAAGCAAAATGAAATAAAACATTAATTTTGTAAACTGGAAATGATAATAAAGCCAATTTTATCCTTATAAAAATATATTACAATCTAATTTCCTCTAGTAGAAAGACTAGATTGAAAATGTCGAAGGCAAATATTATTAAACTAAATCCAGACATGGTAAATTTGAAAATAAGTTACTGTATTTAATTATTTAGAAATATAATCAATATTAAAAAATAATCTCCTGCCAAACAAAGATGAAAATGTTGAGTTAGAGCAGTTATTACTTTCCCCAAAAAAAAAAAAAAACTCCAGAGCTGAAAATTATACGGGAAAGAGAAAACGTAAACTAAGAATACAACAAAAGAATGATTCTATATATTTTATAACATGAATATCAAAAGTGGTTTAAACAGGAGTGTGGGGCCTCCACTTTCAGCTGTTTGATAAGCTTCATATTTTGAAAAAACTTAAAATTTAAAACCAACTTTTAAAATATACTTACATATTCTTAATATATTACAACAAACAGTCTACTAAATGAATAGCTAAACTCTCAAAAAAAAAATGGCTAGAGAAATCTCTAGGGTGCAAAAAATAGCAAGTGTTTGAAACCAGTAACTGAGTATTCAAATGCTAGTAGTATTTACCAGTATCAGAAATGTTGAGCCTTGGGTTCTAGTTGCAGTTGTTTGAGAAAAGAGAAATGCATAAATACCATTTATAGTGGGGATTGTACCATTGCACAGAAACAGGATCTTCAAAGGCTATACTCTGATGTGAAGACAGGAGTGAAATTTACCTGGCATTAAAAGGATACAACTTGGTAAACTGTTGCACATAGGAATGTCCTTTCATCAATGAGTATTGCCCTGGGTTCATAGTTTAGAGGAGGTTATTCCAACCTGTGGAGCAAGGAAAATCACATGGCCAGTGGGACTGAATCACCAAAAATCCATGCTACATCTAGATCACATTCTAAAAGTCAGGATCCCCAAATCCCCTGCCTAACACCTATAAGGCTGCAATCAGGACCTTTCAATGAGCTCCTTACCTGGTTCCATCCTCTCAAGGAAGAGCCCACCATCAGCACACATTATCCCTAGGCTGGCAGCTTAGCCAAGAAATGCTGGCTCTCAGCTAGGCTTGGAGATGAGGTGAGGTTTAGGGAAGTTGAGACATATGTGCTGCTCTGTTTTGTAGTCCATAGGATTGTGTACACGGTACTTCTGGTTATGGAACACCACTGGGGCCTGGAAGAAATAAGTGGACTGCAGCAGGCCAGAGTCCTACATTTGTGCCCTTACCCCTGACACACAGATGTTAAGTGATGCACCTAGTCTCAGGACCTATTCCAGCTTGTGAAATGAATGGCCTCCATAGGAATTAAAATCAGAAGCTTACACTATCAAAATGCAAATGGACACTATGTGAGTAGCATAAGGAGCACCAAGAGCACTATCTCTATGTGTTCCTATATGGGTAGTACTTGAAAATGACTGGACACAGAAAAAGAAATCTCTGGAAAAATGCAATTCTTCCTCCCCAATAATGAAAAGATGAGCACCCCTCCACCCCAGGAATCAAAATAATTTTATGTCATAGGTTCTAAAGTAAAATTAAATATAAAAAAACCCTTAATGTTTTACTTTTTATATATTATAATTCCTTTGGCTTTCCATCCAGTGATGTGTTTTATAGTCTGAAAGGTAAAAATGTTTTTATGTTTTTAACTGTTTGAAAATAATCAAAGAAGGATATTTTTGGACTTGAAAATGGTGTGAAATCCACATTTCAGTATCTATACGTAATGTTTTATTAGTATACAGCTTCTCTGGCTCTACATTGTCTCTGGCTGCTTTTGCACTACAGCCTCAGAGTTCTGGGAACCAGAACTGTCTACGCGGACACTTGACCTAGACAGAATGCAAATGACACCCTTGTCTACATTAACATGACTTGCTATTCCACTGTCTTCATTAACATTCCTTTGCTGTCCCAGGACATTTCTGTGCAAGCGAATGGTTTGGTTGTTCATTATAGAATCTGGAAGACCCATCAATTCTTCAAAGAGAAGAATCAACAAGCAGTTTGTCCCCTAAGATCCTTTGAATTATTTACTCGAATCCTTGCTCTGCTCTTCTCCCCAATTCAGGACTGTCATATTGTCATTCTTCCCTAATCCTAATCAAAGTCCAACATTAAAGGCCCACCATAAATCACATTTCCAATTCTCAGCAAATTCAGACCTTACCTTTCCCCATCTGAGATACTGCCAATGCTTTGTGGAAGTGGCATTCTCCCTTACTGTTGTAAGCAATAAACTCAGCTTTGCTTTATCAACAGATTGTGTTGGTGATATTTAGGGAGACAGCTTTCAACAATTTAGTAGTTGCCATAAAGACCATATGGCCCATAAAACCTAAAAGTTATACTATTTGGCCCTTTACAGAAAAAGTTTGTCAATCTTTGTTTCAGATGAATATTAGTCCCATTGTAATTAAAATGTCCAATTGAATCTCGTATTCAAAATGTATTATTGTTTGTTTACTGCCAATAAGAGTCTCTTTCCTTGTGGATTACAAAGTAATTTCTGGCAAAGTGGTAGACAGCTGGGATGCACCTGGACTATATGCATATAAAAGAGAACCTCTAAATCTGGTTTTAAGAACAAAGGTGAAATAGTCTCCTGACTTTTATCTGGGCGTCCTCTCCTCATTTTTTCCTGCAATGCAGAATTTTTAGTAAATGGCAAAATCATATGTCTAAACATTCTAAGAGTATGATGTTATTTCTGCCAAAATTTGGTGCAGTCTTAGCAAGTTTTGATGCCAAACCAACACCAAATGTGGCAAAGTAGGTTACAGGACAAGAACAGAGTTTGCATATAATCAAGGCCCTTGATGTCTGACTTTTATTTGCTTCTGTGGGAATATATGAAAATATTCAAATGAGCACAAACAATATTTATTCAGAGCTGCCTATATATTCAGAGCTGGCTATAGCAAGGGAGTCAGCCACCATCATTTGTATTTGGCAGAGACTCAAACACTGTCAGGGGAGTGGAAACATTTTGTATTGAAAAAAAGAAGGCTCAGGTATGCTTTGATTAGAAGTTGTTGGCAGGAGGAAGCTGGATTTAGGTTAACTAGAAACGGGGCATATTAGTTGACTGATATGGGGAACATATATATATATTTTTTTTTTCCAAGGATAGATTCTGAGTTGGAGGCAGGAGCAAACAATTAGGAAGCTGGCAGTCATTGACACATCCTGACTCTTTGGACCATTGCTGTTGCCCTTGTGTTTTACATTCCTGGTCTGCTTGCTACAGAGATTGTGGGTCAGAGTGTTTCCATATATGGTCTAGTCATTGTTTTATAAACAGATTTTTATTCCTCCCTTTCTCTTCCACACTGAGAAAAAATTCCATAGCAAAATTTAATTCTGAACTGTTTGCTTTTCTTCAAAACTTTTATTATTTAAGAGTAATCACAGTCTGCAATTCTGGGCTTGTTATTGAGCCGCTCTTAACCCTTCCATTCTTAAAAATAAAAAGATGCATTTAAAACAATTTTTTTTTCTACATGTCTAATTTATATCTTTGGTCCAGATTGATTTTCTATGCTTATTTTTCAGTGCAAGGATCAAGAGGGCAGAGAACAATATATTCTGAGTTATATTTTAAAACTGTTGTGGTCCTTGAGCTATAAAATAAATTGTATTTAATTTGGCATTCTAGAGATAGGTCAAAAGTTTTTTGTTTGTTTGTTTCCTTTTTCGATGCCTCCCAGTATTGTTATGTCCTGAATTACCTAAAAGAAAATCTGAAAACCAAAACAAAACACGTCTCCAACTGTAGGAAGATGAGGTTTAGGAAGGGATAAAATTCCTAGTCGCCTCCCTTAAATATATTCAGATGAAAATGCAAAAACACAGAAATATATTGAGTGGGAAAAGTGAATATTTGAGAAGAATACTCGGATACCATGAAAAAGGCCAAAGAGTTCAAAACCAAACACTAACATCTTTAGAGGAGGTGTAATTCCCAATCCCTCTACTAGTTCATGTAGATAAATTATAACTGTTGAAAAACCAAGAAAAGTAAAAAAAAAAAAAAAAAAAAAGAACAAAATGCAATCTGCCCAACAGAACACTGATGACATGAATATACCACAGGAAACTGAAGACTGTACTCCTATTCTTAAAAACACCTTTGTACCAATTCCTGATAAGCTTTTCTGTTTTTCTTCTCTTAAGATCCAAGAAAATGAGCTATCAAATTGCCTTAATGTAAAATTAAGCTCTCAATTTATTCTTACTAAAGTCTCAGAACCTTTAGGGGAGTATGTTGTTGAAATAATGGCCAATTGTTGCTTTTCATCTTCACTAAATTAAAAAAAAAGTTTTCATAGAAGTCCATTTTACTGACATTCATTCTTTAATGACTATCTATACACCAATATAAAACAGATTATAGTAACTTCCTTCTTCAGATTAATTGAGATAATGAAGGATCATTTGTGTAAAAATAAAAAACAAAATTAAATGTTTTTAGTCCAGCAAGAAGCATTGAAGAGATGCTATATTTAAATATATATAAAATTAAGAAGCTCTATTTTAACATGTGAGTTATCCCAGCTTTACAGGAAAAAAGTTGATGCCAAAAAGTAGAAGTATTTAAATTTTTTGTGTTGTTGTTAGAAGAAAAATATTCAGTGATTTCTAGTTGCTAAGTCATGTTTGTTTGGAAAAAGAAATCCCTTTAAATAAACAAGATACATATGGTACAAGTATGAAATATATGGTGAGTTTACAGTTTAATATTTTGACTAGATGGGTTTTTTTGATATCTAGTTACAAATTAAAATGTGACATTTAATGCCTAAATATGAAGTTAAAATTTATACGAATTTGACTTTAAAATCATTATTCTGGTTTTCATATAAATGTTTTAAGCTGGAAAAGAGAGATTGGGAAATAGAAAATAGCTACTGGCCAAGAGATGCAAGATGGCCTGAAGCCAACCTGAGGAGTCAAATTATAACTATTGAAAACAAAACATAACAAAACAAAACTATCCACTGGAATGCAAAACTAAAATTTTGGCATATGGCATATTTTACTTTATTCAAATATGAATGTATTTACCAATAGATATTCCACCAAAAAGGTAAGCTATTAAGTAGCTATAATTATATAAAAATGTATTCTTCATAATTTCATTTATGTATAATTTATTCCTATGAATTATAATTACCCAAATGTGACATAAAACATAATTATACTTGAATTTGGATAAAATATATTTTGTATAAAATGCTTATAGTAGGACCAAGATAATTTGCAAGTTGTACACATGTGTTAAAGAGTTTTTACTTAAAGGTTTTAGGCATGGTTAAAAAGTGTAATATGTAACTGCCTGATGAGTTCTTTCTGCCCACTGCACCAAATCAATCCACTAAGACATAACATTACAATAAAGAATGAGTTTAATTGACATGCAGTTGGCCATGCCACATGAGAGACAGTTATTACTCAACTCAGTCTCACCAAAGGCTTGCAGGTTAGGGGTTTTTCAAAGATACTTTCGTGGATAGGGAGCAAGAGTGTGGATGCTGCTCATTTGTTGCAGATGCAATTATAGGAGTGTGAGAAATGGTCCTCCTGTGCTGAGTCAGCTTCTGGGTGGGAGCCACAGGACAGGTTGAATCAAAATCCAGGTGAAACCACCCAGATATCTGAAATGCAACAGCCTGAAAAGACATCTCAAAAGACCAGTCTTAGGTTTTATGCTAGTAATGTTATTAATAATTACAGGAAAAATTGGGGAGGTTACAAATGTTATGGCCTCCAGAATAATGGCTGGTCATCATTTAACCATGTCTACAACTTAGCAGAATTAGGCCCCTCTCATAATCCTAACATTGTGGTCTTTCATTAATTTAACAAAGGTGTTTTACTTTTGGGAAGGGCTATTATCATCCTTGCCTTAAGGTTAAAGCAAGAGTGAGCAAGTTATAGCTTGGAGGTTCGAAGCAAGATGGAGTCAACTATGTCAGATTTATCTTACTGTCATAATTTTTTCATCCATTTTAAAACATAATTTATTGTAGCTAATTTTCGTGTTTTGGTTAGGTCATATCGGGGGAACCCACCCCCAACATTTCAAGGTAGGTTCTTTCTATTTTCCATAAGGGTAGGCTGGCTGAGAAATAAAGAGAAAGAGTACAAAGAGAGGAATTTTGCAGCTGGGCTGCCTAGGGTGACATCACATATCAGTAGGACCGTGATGCCCACCTGAGCCTCAAACCAGCAAATTTTTAATTAAGGGTTTTAAAAGGGGAGGGTGTGTAAGAACAAGGAGTAGATCACATGCTTCAAAGGGCAAAAAGGAGAACTACTGATAAGGGTCTATGTTCAGTGATGCATGTATTGTCTTGATAAACATCTTAAACAACAGAAAAGAGGGTTAAAGAGCAGAGAACCAGTCTGACCACAAATTTACCAGGGCTGGGTTTTGCCCCACCCTAGTAAGCCTGAGGGTACTGCAGGAGACCAGGGTGTATCTCAGTCCTTATCTCAACCACATAGGACAGACATTCCCAGAGCTGCTGTTTATAGACCTCCCCCCAGGAATGCAATCCTTCCCCAGGGTATTAATATTAATATTCCTTGCTAGGAAAAGAATTTAGTGATATCTTCCCTATTTGCACATCCATTTATAGGCTCTCTGCAAGAAGAAAAATACGGCTCTTTTTGCCAGACCCTGCAGGCAATCAGACCTTATGGTTGTCTTCCCTTGTTCCCTAAAAATCGCTGTTATTCTGTTCTTTTTCAAGGTGCACTGATTTCATATTGTTCAAACACACGTTTTACAATCAATTTGTACAGTTAACACAGTTATCACAATGGTCCTGAGTTGACGTACATCCTTAGCTTTTGAAGATAACAGGATTAAGAGATTAAAGACATAAGAAATTATAAGCGTATTATTTGGGAGCTGATAAATGTCCATATTAAAATGAAATCTTCACAATTTATGTTCCTCTGCCATGCCTCCAGCGGGTCCCTCCATTTGAGGTCCCTGACTTCCCGCAACAAGGTCACTTAAAATTTCAAATCTCTTGTGTAAAATGTTAATTTTTATAGCATTAAGGTACAAGTATTTATAATATTTCAAAAGTTTTTGAGAAATTGAATAGCTAGTATGTGCTTACAATGAAAATAAATATACAATAAAGATATAAATGTGTGTTGTGTGTGTGTGTGTGTGTGTAAGAAATAGTTGAATTTTAGCAGAGTGTAAAAAGTAGATTTTGGGTAAAACTTTAGGTTCCTGTATATCAATCTGTAATTCTTTACTAATCACAGATAATTCTTAGACATTTAGTATTTCCTTGGTTCCCCTGAAGAGAATTTAAAAAATTTAACTGGAAATAAGTCATGAGAATACTAATTGAGAAAATCATTTGTCATTACATGCTCTAAACTTTGGCATAGCAATGCATTACCTGACATAAGTTTAGAAATATGCCACATATATTTTAAATGAAGTAGAACTTGGAAGTTTCAAAAAGGAGCAAGATACAGTAAAAAAAAAAAAAAAAATAGAAGATCAAGATAGGCTAAATGTAATTAATATTAAGTAATTAGCAATATAAAAATGCACAAGTTCCAATATTACTAGAAATAAATCAATATGCAGAAGTATTGGTTTATTCAGCCAGAAAAAATTATATATATGAATCCTGTTCATTTAAGTATGTATTAACTCATCACAGATGGACTAGAGATTGGTGAAGTTAAATTATTTTAAGTAATTTTTAAAAATTAAATTGTTTCTATTATTTCAGATAAAGAAAACTTTTCTCTATTCTAATATCTGACAGCTCCCTTCAGGAATAATAGAAGAGTCAAGCTTTTATCATTTAGAAAAACTGTAAGTATTTAGAATGCCATTGCCCTGAAGTTGAGAGCAAACTGAGTCAATAAACTAAATTATTCAACAGTTAATTCTACCTATATTCATACAGATTAAGAACAATTAATGATAGCACAAATCTTATTCAAAGGCCAGGTGCAGTGGCTCACACTTGTAATCCCAGCACTTCAGGAGGCCAAGGCGGGTGGATCACGAGGTCAGGAGATAGAGACCATCCTGGCTCACACAGTGAAAGCTTGTCTCTACTAAAAATACAAAAAAATTAGCCAGGCATGGTGGTGGGCACCTGTAGTTCCAGCTACTCGGGAGGCTGAGGCAGGAGAATGGTGTGAACCTGGGAGGCAGAGCTTGCAGTGAGCTGAGATTGTGCCACTGCACTTCAGCCTGGGTGACAAAGCAAGACTCTGTCTCAAAAAAATAAATAAATAAATAAATAAATGAATCTTAATCAAATGTAGTACAAATTAGAGAAGATAATACCAGAAAAATATTTGAACTTTATTAATTATGCTGTTTGATTTAATATTCTATATTTTTAAGTATTTTATTAACTTTTAAAAAACAAAAAGTAATGAATTACATCAATTTTCTTAGGGAGCTAGATTTTTAGTATAAAGCAAAGGAGAAATATTTATATGTAAGAATTTATGCACTTATGGTACCAGGAATTAGGAATATCATTATGAATGTGTGCATTTTCAAAAATTGTCAATTAGAATTATACATATTTTTTTACGTCTGTTCACAGAAATATCCTAGTATGAAAGATACCCATACAATGCACCCTAGTGAATAGATTTTGGGAAAAAAAATAGGCTAATTCAGTCTCTGGGTCTGAAAGATACAAAGTGAACCTGCTACACTTTGTTGTATCATAAAGCAGTGAAGCTTTCAATGATTAATGGGGTTATGTTGAAAGGACACAGGAGTCAATAAAAAAGGGACTCCAACTGCCCAAAATTGAAGCAATTTGAGCATCCAAAGAAAACTACTAGGATAATTTGATTGACATGTAATAAATCTGAAAAATCATAAGTACATAAAAACCCAAACAGAAAAAGTTAAAAAAACTATTATAAAAAAGTAGCCAAGTTGAATGTATTTTTGTTGAGTTATTCAATAACTCTGGTATCCTTGACTCATGTAATGTACAATGAAGAAAAGAGAAGGTAAACATTATTACATAGGCATCTTTCTGCATCAATACATTTTCAATAGAATAACCAAATATGTGGTGATCTCAAGTAAAATCAAAATATTAAAAATTCAATTTAATATAGCTTGGTTTCTTTAAAAGTTAGATGATCCTAGTAATAAGAAAATATGTAATTTTTTACCAAGTTCTGATGTTTTAAAAATTGTGTTTCCTAGAATCTTGTCAAGTTTTTAGATCTAGAGTTAAAAAAATAGACCTTTACTTATCTTAATAACTGATCAATGTGGGCAAGAGAACAATATTTTATTAGCTAAATAACAGTAATGTTTAAAACTTGAATCTTGTGGACTGGGTGCGGTGGTTCATGCCTGTAATCCCAGCACTTTGGGAGGCCAAGGTGGGCGGATCATGAGATCAGGAGTTCAAGACCAGCCTGACCAACATGGTGAAACCCCGTCTCTACTAAAAATACAAAAAATTAGCCAGGTGTGGTGGTGCGTGTCTGTAATCCCAGCTACTCAGGAGGCTGAGGTAGGAGAATCACCTGAATCCGGGAGTCACAGGTTGCAGTGAGCCGAGATCGCGCCACTGCACTCCAGCCTGGGCAACAGAGAAAGACTCTGTCTCAAAAAAAAAAAAAAAAAAAAAAAAAAAAAAAAACAAACCTTGATTCTTTGAATCTTGGGGGATAGACTAAGACAGTGATCATTCTCCTATTGAAATTAGAGGATTAGTAATAACAAAATTATAAGGTTCAATGGATCTGTCAACTGAAGAATCACAGGGCTCATCAATTTGGAAATGAGAGCTTTATTTTTCATAAAAGGTTGCAGCCAATGAGACAGCCAGTGGGAGGGGATCCCCAGAGACAGTCCAACTGGCCTGCACACTGGGAGGAATGCACACTGGGTTGGAGCCACAGAAGTTTGCGCCATGTGCAGCAGAGAGTAGTCTGGCCCCTCCTCTTCCTGGATGGAATCTGGGATTCGATCTGTGAGGTGGCAAGCCCATGGGCAGGAAGCATACTCTTTTGCTTCACTAAGAGTCTCCGTTTCCCTTTTTTTTCCTTTTTGCACAATAAATTCCGTTTTTCTCGCTCTTCAAATTATCTACAAGCCTAAATTTTCACGGCCATGTGATAAGGACCCGTCTATAGCTGAACTAAGGAAAAAGTCCTGCAACACCTTCAGGATGACCACCCCACAGGCTGGGAAGCTTAGCTAGGGCGTAAGCCGAGAGCAAGCACTTGGAGGGAGGAGTGAAGGGCACAGAAATTTATGCTGAGCAGGGTGGCTGATTATACATAGTTAATAAG
The DNA here is from genome assembly GCF_000001405.40 of Homo sapiens. Taxonomy (NCBI): domain Eukaryota; kingdom Metazoa; phylum Chordata; class Mammalia; order Primates; family Hominidae; genus Homo; species Homo sapiens. The sequence continues at coordinate 31,924,464 of NC_000004.12, read as the reverse complement.
CTGTAGGAGAAGTGTGTTAATCTGTTTTTGTGTCACTATAAAAATACTTGAGTCTGGGTAATTTATAAAGAAAAGAAGATTAATAGGTGCACGGTTCTACAGGAAGCATGACATCGCCATCTGTTCCTCATGAGGACTTCAGCAAGCTTACAATCATGGTAGAAGGCAAAGGGGGACCAGGCTCATCACATGGTGAAAGTGGGAGTGAGAGAGAGACAGAGAAAGAGAGAGGAAAGGAGGGGGGAGGTACCACACTCTTTTAAACAACCACATCTTGAGTGAATTTAGAGCAAGAATTTATTACCGTGGAAGTGCATCATCTCATCAGGGATGCACCCCCATGACCCAAATGCTTCCTACCAGGCCCCATCTCCAACAGAGGAAAACATATTTCAACATGAGATCTGGTGGAGAAAACTATCCACACCATATCAAGCAATCATGAATATTTACAAAAAAAAAAAAAGAAGCATGCACTTGTACAATTGAACTTCCTGCCTTTTCATGGGTCACATGTTCAGAAAATGGCTGCATTAGCATGACCTGAGGGTGGAGTTTGCGGTCCACTCATGTCAAAAGGAGAGAATGAGGACACAAAAACCATCACTGCATCTTCCACAAGTCAGCGAAAACTAGTCTGGAGATGATTGTCAGTTCTTAGAAATACGATGCATTGTGAAACTGGTGAGCTGTTGCGAAGAAACTGCAAAGAGGGAGGGGAAGCCAGGTTATGGCTTTAGATGACTGGCTGAAGGTGATAAAGGAATGAGTAGTCCATTTCTTGTTTTCCAGGGCTAGTCTCTGCTTACTCCTCAGGAATGAATTCTGGTGAGATGTTAAGAAGGAAGGGCACACTGAGGTGTGTCTCGCCTCCCATCCCATCATGGCTGCTAACTTAGTTTTGAAGGTTTCTCTGGTGTCTCCTTGGTCAAGAAGGTGTCCATGAAGTCAGCTGGGAAACTGGGATTTGATTTTTATTTCTCAGATCCCATCTTCTACATAAACTAGGCTGTTAGCAGCATTCCTATTAATAGCAAGTAAAGTTAATAACAACTAATAGCAAGTAAAGGCAATTGCCTTTAATAGCAAGTAAAGGCAATTGCCATGAAAAGGAAAGAAAAAAATCAGTCTTTCTACAGTCCAAGACCTCTCCAATATGTAACAATTAATGTAGAGTACAGATCCAAAGATGAGAAGATACAAGCCCAAGATTCCTTCAACCCATTTCAGGCCGTTGCCACCCAACATGTAAAATCACACTTTCTGTCTTTGTCAAATACTCCCTTAAATGTGAGCTACCAAACTGCCCAAACTGGAGGATATTAATATACATAAAGGAATTATTGGGAACGAATTTACTGGAGGAACCACACCAACATTGCTGTCAAAACGGTGAGCCTTCTTTAAATTGTAGAGGGCACATTTGTCCCTGAAAGCCTAAAGGAAACTGTGTTTTTTCACAGCGCTCTGGCAATTAAACCAAAAAGTTAAAGAGGCATGCATGTATGATAGACTGAAAGTCTGGAAAAAGCACGTGGAGATGCAGACACAAATCTTCAGGATTAATGATACAAACTGATGAATCACTAAGTTAATATGGACAGCAGCATGCATTTATCTTTGCGTTGCTTAGAATTGCAGTTTGCTGGTACTTGATAGAAAGACTCTCCTTCCCAACCAATCACCCTTCCTACCTCCTTCGGATGTCTCTTAGAATGATAGTAGAGAATCACAATTCCTAAACAACCCAATTTATGAGACTGATGTGCTGCCTAATGCTCTAAGGAGGAAACTCCTAAACAACCTAATTTATTTATGGTTGCTATATATACAATCTATCTATCTGTCTATCTGGTTGTAAGTGTATAGATTTATGCATGTAAATATGGGGAGAAATGATGAGGATAATCTGTGTCTCCAGCCAATCAAAATACATTTTATGTGTTAAAAGATTAATCAGCTCATCTGAAAAATAAACAAACAAAACTTAATGTTTTATTCAATCAGTGTCATATTACCTAAACTTTTTGGAAAAAATAATGTAATTCTTTTTCTTTTCAAAATCAATCTAAATTTATTTCTAGATGTCTAGGTTTACCTGTCTTCACTGTTACTCCTCTTAGTTTCTCTCTCTCTCTTTACACACACTGTCTCTCTCTTTCTGTCTCGATTGCTTTGAAAATAGGCTTTTGAGGTTGTTTACTTGTGAGTCTAGGAATCTTCCTCCTCTGTGAATCCCAAAATAATTTACGGAAAGGTTAAGTGTGTGTGTGTGTGTGTGTGTGTGTGTGTGTTTGTGGTGGGGAGCAGGGGATGGCTGCTCCATTCTTAGGCTGCTATGAAAAATACTCAAGACTGGGTAATTCATGTAGGAAAGAGGTTTATATATATTATAATACATTCTATTTCATTCTGTTCTATTCTGTCTCATTTTAGCGCTAGAAAAAGCAATCTGTTTTTACATAGCAAATATATTTCACCACCCAATGTATGAGTTACTACCTCTGAATGGAAGACACTGCCTTATTTGAATGTTTTGAGTGTTCAAATTTTGAACCATATACATAAACTATTTAAAATATAAACAAGTTTATAATAACAATCCCAGAAGGAGCTTGTTAGTATTCATTCTGATTATTTTCATATATAGTACCTTGCTAAGACAAAAAAAAATTTAAAATTTACTGATATATTCAGAAACATATTTCAAGCAAATGTCAATCCTCAGTAATTGAATAACAGTGAAATATGCATTTGAACTTTTAAATAATAGTAAAATAATTTACCAAATTAAATATGAAATTAAAAAATAAATCAGAGCTTCTTAAGAGTATATGAAGATCCCAGTATCATGCTATAAGTGTGGCAGAGATGGTTTTTCTAATATTTATTTTCTCTTTTATGATTTTAGTTCAACCTTAAATTTTAGCTCTGAAGATGGCCAGGCCTTATAAAAATTAATTTTCAGCCTCTCTCAGAGCAACATTTTGTCTTTTCACTAAGATCTAGCTAATGGTATTGAATAGATAGAGTGTGTGCCACTTTTGTGTTGTATCACTAACTGGAATGTGTGCCCTCTAGGTTCATGGTTTCTCTCGTTGGGTTGGCTGGAACATGGATATCTTCATCCATGGGAAGAAGGGTTACCTCCAGATTCCAGAACAAGAAGAAATAAGTGTGCAAGATCTCAGGCATCTTTCTGAACCACCAATTTGCACTTTCATGTGAGTAAAAAACAACTATTTTGCATAAGCCATTGTATTTTGTTTTTAAAAATTCTGATTGTTTATTAACAGCAGCTTAATCTTCATTCCTACTTATAAAGTTGAAGCTTATTAAGTATAAGCACAACTCTGAAAACATATTTTGTTTGAGGCAAAACGAAATAATAATATTTAAGTTGGATATAATTAAGCAATTAACAAATTTCTCATTTGTATTAAAAGAGAGAATAAGAGCATAATATACTTCATACAATTACTTTAACATTTAATGATTTAATCTATGAAATTTTAACATTGAAGTTATTTGTCCATCGTTAACTTACAATAAATGTTAGCTTCTGTTACATGATCAACTGCAATAATCAAATTATCTTTAATCTTGAACAACACAATTTATATTGCTTTTAAGTTACTTCGAGGAAGCATTAAAACCGATTTTAAAAGTAACCAAAACTCTGCTGGTCTTGGTGGCTCAAGCTTATAATCCCAGCACTTTGGGAGGCCGAGGTGGGTGGATCACAAGGTCAGGAGTTCGAGACCAGCCTGACCAACATGGTGAAAGGCCGTCTCTACTAAAAATACAAAAATTAGCCAGGCGTGATGGTATGCGCCTGTAATCCCACCTCCTCAGGAGGCTGAGGTGGGAGAATCACTTGAAACTGGGAGGCAGTGTTTGCAGTAAACTGAGATTGTGCCACTGCACTCCAGCCTGGGCGACAGAGTGAGACACCGTCTCAAAAAACAAAAACCAAAAAAAATCCCACTTCATTTTGGAGCATTTAATTTGAACAAAAATATTCAGAGTACATTTCAACAAATACATTTTTAAACAATATGCAGTAACTATTAACAAATTGATGGTTACCTTTCTAGTTTTTAATGTTTTCATGTGAATATGTACATTTTCTTAATCTTTGGTTTACAAGGTGATACAGTTTATACATTATTTTCTTCTTCACGTACCTCGAATGTTCTCATATTACATATTCCAAATCATAAGTTTTAATAAAGCTATAGTTTCCTGCTATTAATCAACACTTTATTTGTACAATAGTCTATTATCGAACTTTTGAACCACTAGTTTTTGATTTTTTTTCAGAATGCTATAAACAATGATTCAGAATACCTTTCGTATGTAAATGTGCATACATTTCTATTTATTTGCTTCTGTTGAATTTCTAATAAAGGAAAATCTATGTCAAAGGATATAAACAATTTATAAAGATTCTTTATAAATCGGTAATAATTATTTAGCTCTCGAATTTTGGACCAATTTGTATCCTTGTAAACATGATATGAAGGTTTTATTTCTTACACCCCTGCCAATATTGAAAATTATTTTTTGAACATTAGATAGACAAATGCTTTTTCAATTTAATATAACGAAACTCAAAGGTGAACTTCACATAGTTTATTACAACAGGTAGTAAAACTTGAATTAAATATTTGTAAGTCTCACAAAAGTACTTGATTCCTATATGTTCAGTGAATTCCACAGCCTCAAAGACAGAAAACATGATTGTTGCATCTTCTAATAATCTTTAATCTCTTCAAAATGGAATGCTGAAAAAACATTAACATAAATTAAATTATCCTGCCATCAATTTAGTGGATTTCACATTTACCATTATCAATATCAAGAAAGTGTTTCTAACGTGATCAAGAAAAGCTTTTATCTTGTGATATGTAGGTTATTTTTGTAAAAGCATTTATTAATATATTATGTATCTTTGACATCATTTTGGCTTCCATCTTTATAATTGACATGGTAGATTTTCAAGAACTTTTTTTGAGGTAAAGAAATAAAGCATAATTTAAAATTCTGTTTTCACTTTTATTTTTTAAAAAACAATGAGAATCTGATGGATATACTTTTAAGTTTTGAGGAAATACATTTGTTTATATTATGAAATCCTATGAGTTTTATTTTCAAAATAACAGTCACTAAAGAAACATACGATTTTCTTAATATATTTCAGCACTTTACCCACAAAAAGATAAAAAACCCGTAAGTATGTATGGTCTCATCCAGGAAAGAAACTAGTTTAGTAATACCCCAGGATATAAATAAAATATTTCAACATAGACTCAATTTCATCAGCTTCATCATTTGCACAGCAGACGTTTTGAGTATATCTTACAGAGGCACTTCATTTGCTTCCTGCAGTAAGTTTGATTATTCATCATTCTATAATTACTCAGAGGTTCTTCTTCACTTAAGCCACTTTGTGGCTTAAGCCACAAAGACTCTGCAAAATGAGAGACTCGAGTTGGTCATATATGAGGTTTTTTTACACACACACACACGCACACACACACAAATGCACACACACATGCACACATACACATATATATGTTCAAAATACAAATTTGAGGTTATATATGTGTTCGTGTGTGTGTATGTGTATGTGTGTGTGTATATTTTATACATGTCTGTGTGTGTGTGTATATATGTGTGTGTGTGTGTGTGTATATATATATATATATATATATATATATATATATATATGTATTTTTTTTTTTTGCTGAAATACCAGGTCCTTTGGTAAACTGGCTTATGTTACAAATGTAGATCATACAGATTTAAAAGAAAAAAATTGAAAGATGTTTCCACTTGCTAGAGAAATAGGAAATAGCGAAGTTGAGACTGAAAAGGGACAAGATACACTACTGCCCCACTTGGTATTCTCCATAAGTAGAGCCTGAGACAAAAATTCCAAATGGATAAATAATTTTGGGGGTAAAGAGAACATGAATAGAGACTGAGAAAATGTTTATGTGGGGGAGTAAATGAAGTGTGTTTTATCAAGACAACTACCATTGGTTATGACTGAAACTTAATTCAGCGAGTAATGAATCTGGGAGTCACTGGAAAACTCACCCAAATTGTTCCAGAAGTGGAACTTAGTTACTCCTGTCAATCATTAATTGAGGGTTGCTTCTAGGGGAAATAATTATTGAGCATTTTTATTCTACCATAAGATCTAGGGAAAATATCTTGAGGAGAAAAACAAACAAAATAAACTCGACTAAACAAACAAACAAAAATGACAACAAAAATGTTGGGACATAATTCTCTGAGTTTTTATTTGAGGCAGACAGGGAAGGTGGGACTGGTGATCCTTTCACACTTCATTACACACTATACTGACTACAGCTGCATCCAGCTCCATAACATTGCAACAACTGAAGCTTTCTTTCATAAAATCAACCAGTCAGACCTAAAAAGAAAAATAGAACACTCTGACCACAAACATCCAGGCCATCAACGTAAGGACTTTCCAAAAGACCCTCCCCAATGCAAGTGCACTGTAGGATTGTAGCTTTCCCTAATCTAACATTTGCTTCATTTTAATAGTAAAAATCACACCAATGTGCAGAGATTTAAGATACTAATTAGACATGGGACATATGAAGAAGCATGATGGGAGATTGTGCAGGTGCCGCCAACAGACCACCAAAAACATGTACTCATATCAACTGGAGGAGGCCTAGAGAAGAATAAAAACCTAGGTTAGTTTGATTTTGGGGAGTAAGCTGTGGCCCAGGAAAAAGGTCAGGCATGCTTATTGCCCATTAGGTAAAATATGGGTTCTCTAAGTTCTGGATACCCATCTGCAACATACTTCATTATGTGTGCATATGTCATCTAGCCCTCTTTACATCACTATGTGGGAATTAGAGCTCAATGACTCAACACAAAATACCCTCTGGCTACTACTATTGCCATGATTAGTAAGCTGTCTGTATTAGTCTGTTCTCATGCTGCTATGAAGAAATACCTGGGACTAGGTAAGTTTTAAAGAAATGAGGCTTAAGTGACTGACAGTGCCACATAGCCGGGGAGGCCACAGGAAATTTACAATCATGGAGGAAGGGGAAACAAACACATTCTATTTCACATGAGAGCAGCAAGGAGAAAAATTAGAGCCAAGCAAAGGGGTGAGCCCCTTATAAAACCATCAGATCTCGTGAGAATTTACTCACTACTATGAGAATATCATGGGGCAAACTACCCCCAAGATATAATTACCTTCCACAGGGTCCCTCCCACAACACATGGGGATTATGGAAACTACAATTCAAGATGAGATTTGGATGGCGATACAGCCAAATCATATAATTCCACCCTGGCACTTCCCAATACTAATGTCCTTACATTTAAAAACACAGTCATGCCCTTCCAACTGTCCCCCAAATTCTTAACTCATTCCAGCACTAACTCAAAAGTCTAAGTCCAAAGTCTCATCTGAGATGAGGCAAGTCCCTTCACACTATGAACCTGTAAAATCAGAAGCAAGTTAGTTATTTCCTAGATACAGTGGGGGTACAGGCATTGGGTAAATACACTCATTCCAAATGGGAGAAATTGGCTAAAACAAAGAGGCTTACAGGCTGCATGCAAGCCCAAAATCTAAAAGGGCAATCATTTATCCTTAAAGTTTCAAAATGATCTCCTTTGCCCCATGTCTCAAATCCAGGTCATGATGATGAAAGAGGTGGGCTCCAACAGTCTTGGGCAGCTCTACTCCTTTGGCTTAACAGAGTACAGGCTGCCTCCTGGCTGCTTTCACAGCTGGCATTGAGTGTCTGTGGCATTTCCAGGCACACAGTGCAAGCTATTGGTTGGGCTACCGTTCTGGGGTCTGGAGGATGGTGGCCTTCTTCTCACAGCTCCACTAGGCAGTGCCCCAGTGAGGTCTATGTGTGGGGGCTTCAACCTTACATCTCCCTTTTACACTGCCCTAGCAGAGGTTCTCCATGAGGGCTCTGCCCCTGCAGCAAACTTCTACCTAGACATCCATGCATTTCCATGCATCCTCTGAAATATAGACAGAGGTTCTGAAACACCAATTCATGACTTCTGTGTACCCGCAGGCTCAATATACTACATGTAAGCCACCAAGGCTTGGGGCTTGCACCCTCTGAAGTAATAGCCAGAGCTGAATCTTAGTTCCTTTTAGCCACAGCTGGAGCTGAAGCAGATGGGATGCAAGGCACCATGTCTTGAGGCTGCACAGAGCAGGGGTCCCTGGACCCAGCCCATAAAACCATTTTTTCCTCCTATGTCTCCAGGCCTGTGTTGGAAGGGTTGCCCTGAACACCTCTGATATGCTCTGGAGACATTTTCCCCCATTGTCTTTGCAATTAACATTCTGCTCCTTATTACTTATGCAAATTGCTGCAGCAAGTTTGAATTTCTCCCCAAGAAATGGGTTTTTCTTTTCTATTGCATTGTCAGGCTGCAAATTTTCCAAATGTTTATGTTCTACTTCCTCTTGAATGCTTACTGCTTAGAAATTTCTTCTACCAGATACCTTGAGTAATCTCTCTCAAGTTCAAAGTTGCACAGATCTCTAAGACTGAGACAAAAAGCTACCATTCTCTTTGTAAAAGCACAGCAAGAATCACATTTATTCCAGTCCCAATCAGTTCCTCATCTCCGTCTGAGACCACCTCAGCCTGGACTTCATTGTCAGCATTTTGGTTAAAGCCATTCAACAAGTCTCTAGAAAGTTCCAAACTTTCCCACATTTTCCCGTCTTATTCTGAGCCCCCTTGAGCTGTTCCACCTCTGCCTGTTACCCAGTTCCAAAGTTGCTTCCACATTTTCAGGTATCTTACTGCAGCATCCTGCTCCCTGTACTAATTTACTGTATTAGTCCATTCTCATGCTGCTGTGAAGAAGTACCTGAGAGTGAGTAATTTATAAAGAAAAGAGGTTTAATTGACTCACAGTTCTGCATGGCTGGGGAGGCCTTAGGAAACTTATGATCATGGCAGAAGGGGGAAGCAAACATGTCCTTATTCACATAGAAGCAGCAAGGAGAAGAATGAGTGCCCAGCAAAGGGGAAACCCCTTACAAAAGCATCAGATCTTGTGAGAAGTTACTATCATGAGAATTGCATGGGGAAACTGCACCCATGATTCATTTACCTCCTGCTGGTTCCCTCCCATGACAAGCAAGGATTATGGGAACTACAATTCAAGATGAGATTTGGGTGGGGACACAGCCAAACCATATAACTGTCCTTTGTCTCTGACCCCAAGAGTCTGTGTCATATGCCAAGAACTATGAAACTTGCTAGCTAATTTTTTGAAATTCTGAGTAAAGTCTCATAATCTTCACATTTTTTGACAAAAGCCTGGTGGATTATGCTATGCATTTAAGTAGATTAGGACTCTGACTTTTGGTAAACAGTGTCTAGTGATAGAAAGAAATCTAAGCATAGGTGTAAAAAACAGAATTTTTAAATTCAAAAGAAAAATACACAACTTTTATACAATGTTACTGTACTGACTGAACAGTTCTGTATAGCATTCATATAATCTTACAGTGTAAAGACAGTGTAGTGGGTTGAACTGTGTCCCCCAGAGAGATATGTTATAACAAACGCAATTAGGTGTAAGTAATTTATAACAACCTGCTCCTACTTTCTCAAACCCTAGAAAATATAAGGGGTACTTGATGGGAATGTAATCCTGCGTTTAAACAGTACTATATTGAGACCTAAATATTCTGTAGGATATTCTAAAGGATATCCCATAGAGTCCTTTAGAATATCCCATAAAATCCTTTAGAATATCCTACAGAATATTTAGGCCTCAGTACTATAATTGTTTTAACATAGGATTTTAACAATTTTAGCAATTTAACACAATCGTTTTTGATTCCTTCATTTATGTTTTATTTTACTTTTACTTCAGAAAAGCTGTTTCATCATATTGAATACCTAACAATTAGAATTAAAGTTTAAACTTGAAGAGTAAATGATTATGAGTGCTCTTTCTAGTGCAGCTAAAGAGAAAGATGTTTATTATTTGCACAGGACTATTACATGCATAATAATGTGATATATAGAATATATAGAATATATATCACATGATACGTAGAATATATACGACTCACACATATATAGAATATATATCACATGATATATATGTAGAATATATTATATCACATTATTATATATCATATATTACATATATATCACATGTTCAAAATGACAGCACAGAACCTTATAATGACTCTAAATGGAGAATATCCATTATGAACCAGTAACATAATAATTACTATTTGAAGTGAACCTCTTTTAAATTTTCACTGGGTTTTTCTTCAGAGGAAGAGTAAAAATGTCATTTGTCCTCAACCAAGCTCAAGTTAGTAACAGGCACAGCATAGATTTTTCTTAAGAATTATGCAGCTGGGCATGGTGGCTCACGCCTGTAATCCCAGCACTTTGTGAGGCCGAGGCGGGCGGATCACGAGGTCAGGAGTTCGAGACCATCCTGGCTAACACAGTGAAACCCCGTCTCTACTAAAAATACAAAAAAATTAGCCAGGCGTGGTGGCAGGCTCCTGTAGTCCCAGCTACTCGGGAGGCTGAGGCAGGAGAATGACGTGAACCTGAGAGGCAGAGCTTGCAGTGAGCCGAGATCGTGCCACTGCAAGATGAGATTTGGGTGGGGACACAGCCAAACCATATAACTGTCCTTTGTCCCTTGGGCCACAGAGCGAGACTCCGTCTCAAAAAAAAAAAAGAATTATGCAATTTTACCATTTTCATATATAAATTATATGATACTTTTTAGGGGGCAGAGTATGAAATTTAATTAAGTAATATATTTTATTCATGCTGTGATAATCAAGTAATTTTGGGAAAACATGGTTCTAATTGAATTTAGTTGTAATATTAAAGAATGTATGTTTACCTGTTTTAAAGTTTTCTGTATGATTCTAAAATAGAGTTGCATTAAGAAATTATCTCTTGGGGCTGGGAGCGGCTCACACCTGTAACCCCAGCACATTGGGAGGCTGAGGCAGGCAGATCACTTGAGATCAGGAGTTCAAAAACAGCCTGGCTAATATGGTGAAAACCTGTCTCTACTAAAAATACAAAAATTAGCAAGGAGTGGGGGCACATACCTGTAGTCCCAGCTACTTGAGAGGCTGAGGCAAGAGAATTGCTTGAACCTGGGAGGCGGAGGTTGCAGTGAACTGAGATCACACCACTTCACTCCAGCCTGGACCACAGAGAGAGACTCTTCCCCCCTCCCCTACCGCCCCCCCACCAAAAAAAATTATCTCTTGGGATGTCAGCAAGATGGCTACATAGGAATGCCTAACACTCAACCTCCCTCTATGAGAAAGGACCAAAACAATTAATACATAATCACATTTCAACTAGAATATGTGAAGGAAAGCACTGGAGTATCAGGTGAATGACAGAGACTCTGTGGAACATAGAGATCAGGATGGCCACAAGAAAAGGTGTCTTTACCAGTATATCTCCTCAGTTGGGATCAGCTCAAAGCCAGCAGGGACACTCCCATGGGGAAAATGGTAAGCAGCAGGTCTCCAGAAGTGCCTCTTTAAACCACAGACACCTACCATCTTTGTTGCTGAGCACCCTGCAGTCATCACAGGCTCTCAGTCCAGTCTAGAGAGCTATCTGAAATATGTATGGCTGCATTACTCCAAAGAATAAGCTCATATGTGTCCCATTCCCCACCTACCATGATCCAAGATGCAGCTAAACAACACCATCTTCAGACTGAAGCCATTACTAGAGGGCATCCTTTTTTGGGGACCAGTAGCTACTGCACATCCCCATCCCTGAGGTTCCACTGTCACTACATTGCATCAGCACGCAATAGTGCACCATTCCCCACTGAGCAGCTACACCTGCCTATTCCCAGAAATAAACAGACTAGGTGGCACTCCAGTGGCTGGCTGCAGTGTTCTAACCCCAGCTACACAAAGCCTAGGCCAAGCAGAACAGGTTACAGCTGTAACTCTGGCACCTTAGCCCACATGGTACCCAGCCTCTCAAGGAACAGGTGTTCCAGCCAAGCATGAAGGAGCCTTGAGCTCCACCCAGAGTGGAGGCTGTGCCAGGCAGAACAGCCACACACACTCCTTCATCCTAGGCAACTGAGGCATTCTCTCAGGCATAGGCATTTCTGATGTTGCCCACAGTCTAAGAGCCTGCACTGTGGCTATTCAAAAACAAATGCACCCTACCAAATTGACACTCTAGAACACATCTGCAGGCAAAAATCTATACCTACAAAAGTCACTCTATAAAATTGAAAAAGGTTACTATTCCACCAGATGCACAGATATTGATGCAGAGACAAAGGTGTTAAGAACATACATTGGGGAAAGAACAGTCTCCTCAATAAATGGTGTTGGGAAAACTGGATATCCAAATACAGAATAACAAAACTAAGCTCCTATCTCTCAGAATATACAGAAATAAACACAAAATGGATTAAAGATTTAAATGTAAGACCCAAAATTATGAAGCTGACACAAGTAAACCTAAGAGAAACACTTCAGGACATTGGTCTGGGCAATAATTATTTGCATAAGAACTCAAAAACATAGGTAAAAAAGCTAAAATAGAACAAACTAAAATTTTTCTGCATAGCAAATAAAATAATCAACAGAGTGAAAAAATAACCCACAGAATGGTAGGAAATATTAGCAAACTATACAACCGACAAGGGATTAATATCCAGAATATTAACTCAAACATTTTAAACATCTCAAAAACAAAGAAACCTCCACACAAGCAATCCAATTTAAAAATGAGCAAAATATCTGAATAGACATTTGTCAAAAGAAGACATATAAATGAGCAACAGATATATTTAAAAATGTTCAACACCACTCATCATTGAGGCAATGCAAATCAAAATGTCACCTCACCCCAGTTAGACAGCTATTATAAAAAAGACAAAAAAAACAATGCTGATATGGATGTGGAGAAATGGACACTCTTATACACTGTTGGTAAAAATGTAAATTAGTACAGCTGCTATGGGAAACAGTTTGTAGATTCCTCAAAAAATTAAAAATAAAACTACCATATTGTCCAGCAATCCCACTACTTGGTATTTATCCAAAGGAAGTGAAATTCGGCCAAAGACCTGTCTGTACCCCTATTTACTGAAGCACTTTTCACAATACCCAAGATGTGACAGCCATTAAGTGTCCATCACTGGATAAATGGATAAAGAAACTTGTGGTGTGTTTACACAATGAAATACTGTTCAGTCATAAAAAATAATAAAATCTTGCCATTCTAAAAAACATGGAAGAACTTGGAGGACATCATGTAAAGTAAAATAAGCCAGGCACAAAAATAGAAATACTGCATAATCTCACTTTTTTGTGGAATCTAAAAAAAGCTAATTTCATGGTTGTATAGTATAGAATAATGATTACCAGAGGTGGAGAAAGGTAGAGGGAAGAAGGAGATGTACCAACACTTACAACATTTCAGTTAGCTAGGAAGAACAAATTCTGGTGTTCTATTGCACAGTAAGGTGACTATAGTTAATAATATTCGATTATGTATTTCCAAAAAACTAGAATAAAGAATTTTGAATGTTTCCACCACAAAAAAATTAATAAATGTTTGAGTTGGTGGACATGCTAAATACTCTGATTTGATCATTACACAGTGTATGCATGTATCAAAATATCACACTGTATTCCATAAATATGTACAATGATTATGTGCCAATTAAAAATAATATGAAACTCAGCCTGGCACAGTGGCTCATGCTTGTAATCCCAGCACTTTGGGAGGCCAAGGCCAGTGGTTCACCTGAGATTAGGAGTGCGAGATCAGCCTGGCCAACATGGTGAAACCCCGTCTCTTCTAAAACCACAAAAATTAGCTGGGCGTGGTGGCAAGTGCTTGTATTCCCAGCTACCCAGGAAGCTGAGGCAGGAGAATCACTTGAACTTGAAGGCGAAGGTTGCAGTGAGCCAATATCGTGCCACTGGACTCCAGCCTGGGTGACAGAGTGAGACTTTGTCTCTAAATTAGATAGATAGATAGATAGATAGATAGATAGATAGATAGATAGATAGATAGATACATAAAATAAAAATAAGATAAAATAAAATGAAACTTAAACAGAAATAAATTATCTCTTGGAATTAAAAAAAAAGTCTAAAAACTGTGTTAAAAAGGATATAATTCTCCAGAGGGGTGGTATTCCCCATTGTTATTCATACTAAACACAGTACATAATAGCTAAATATCGCTGCAATGTAAAAATACACACATTAAAATTTTTCTGGTAAAATTTTGTGACTTTTTTCATTCACTTTCAGAAAAGATGATATATTGTAACTTGCTGTTTAGTTCATCTACTTATGCAATTATCAAATGTACATTTCATTTAAAACAATGGAGTAAGATGCATTTTTTACTTTATTGTACATTTACATAAGATTAACTTTGCAAACGGGAGTTTATCATTTATTTAGTAAGATTTTTTAACATTTAAATTGAAGAGGACTTTATTCTTAATACTGAAGCTCAAACTCATCAGTAAATGTAGGGAAACCTTGAATAAAGATGATTTATTCAAATTATTTATTCAAATACCCATATTCTTTGTTAGTAGGAAGTACGGTTCCTCTCTTAAATTCTACGCATCTCAAAACTTTACAAGTCCCATAGACATAGGAGATTCAAAAGGCATTATTTGTTCTTTTCCACTCAAAAAGGAGAGAATTTGATTCAGAGTACAATATGACATTACTCAGCATACCAGTGACCATAGATAGATAGTTTTGGTTCTAAAACCAAGACTTGAGCAGTTCCACAGATAACACGCATCATTGCCAAGCCTTTGTGCAGACGACTGTGTTTCTTCAAGCAGAATATTCAACTTCCTCAGTGATAAACTTGAACTAGGTATTACCTGTTCATCTAAAGGTAGCCTGGCGTACAGTTCATGACTCTTAGCTTTCAAATCACGTACAATAAAAGCTTCTTCTAAGAGTGCCAACGAAATTGAGGAGCACAAGTTTAGAACTGGTTTCTAGTATTATCAAACACAACATCTCAGAACCATTAACAATATGGACATTTCCTGAGATCAAATCTTGAATAAGGGATCAGTTTATACTTTAAACCTGTACAACACAAAACCTTTTGCTACACCTTTTTTCCAATGTCACTCAGGCACCTAAATAATGGTCAATATGATCTGGGGGAACGTTACATTCACTCATCATGTTGAAACTCATCTGTGATTAGAAGTGGAGTTTTGGCACATTTATATTTAATCTATATTGTGGCATCTGACTGAAGTTTAGCCTGAAATGTTAGAGTCAATCTTCTGAGGCAGATAATATTTAAATTCAGAAATAATAAGCAACTTTGCAAAAGGTCTAACAACAGGCTTTATCAGTATAGAAGATTATATTTCCAGTAAAATAAAAATAACTCTATTTAAATGTCAATATCTCAAACAGACTGCATTGTCTATTAATTTAGCTGAAGCAGTCTTTGACAGAATCCGATATTATTCATTTAGAACTGCATTCAGCTACAGAGGAAACAAAGAATTGTATAAAAACTGCAGTTTCCTTATATAGCAGGTATGTCTATTATCTCTCACCAGCATGTGGCTAAAATTTCTATTCACAGCCCAATTATTTTTTATTCCCTTGAAAATTCATTCACTAATATGGATTTCATCTCTCACACACCTTAGGCATCATTCTAGTTTCTTAGTTACAGTGATGGACAAAACAGACATTATCCAAGGTATCTTTGGGCTGACAATATAGATGCAGAGCTTTGCTAGCAGCAATTCTATAGTGCACTCTAAGTTCCCTATGATTTTGTTCTGCATATGTTAGAAATGGCTCTACAGAGGTGATTCTTTTCTTGCTGTGTCTCTGGCCACATGCCACAGTTTCTGTGACATCTGGATCCTATTGTAGCGATCACCTTGTGTACATGATTGATGGCATTCCTTAGGCTGACGTTGCTGCTTGTTGTTGGCTCCATTTCTCTCTACACCTCTTTTCTATTGCATCTGTAGCATGGAGCAGGCCCTCACCATATGTCTTTATAGCAGAGTGGAGAATTGTTTGAAGCTTTTAATACGATTTACTGAATATTCATGGATAACAGATGAGCATGATAACCCAACTTCTAGAATTTTCTCTTTGTATAGCCCAAAGGCCAGTGTATTGAGTCCAGCTCCTGGTGAATCTCTTCCCGGCATGGTCAAGTAAGTGCAGCACAAGGAAGACGCAACAATGTCTGAACTGCTATCAAGGCCAATTTATAAAAAGTCTCAGAAAAAAAGTTAATGTGTACTTATTGTATGCTTAGACTTCACCAAGCCCATTTCCTATCCCTGTCCTCCTGTCCCAGAAGATGCTCCTAACTAAATTCTGGTCTGTTTACTCACCAAACTCAGTGATGTCATATCCCCTCTGGTTAAAACAGAGCAATTATACCACATTAGAAGAAGCTGACATCAGTAAATTTTGTAATATTTAGGAATAAACAAAGTCACATATAAGACTTTAGCCATCTAGTCTAGAGTCTTAATAGTGTCCTCTCTTATGCAGGAAGTAAAAATGTTGACTTTATATTCTTTCTGTAATAATTTTCATCTTATGACTTCTAAGTCACCAGCTCAAACAAGAACACAAATGATAAAATTAAAACAGCCAACGGTTTTAGACAGAATGAAATATATTTACATGCAATAAGTATTTTCTCCTCTGTTTCCAATGCCCCCTTCTCAAAAAATAGTTTTAAAAAATTGAGAGACCTATAGATATACAACCATATGTCATAATTTACCATGCAAACAGGATTTTTAGTTTCTCAGTCATGTATAAGGCAATTTCTTTCTTAAGATATGTCTATGGGAGCTTCCTATACTTTTTTCCCCTCAGAATAAAAGGAAAAAAAGAATGAAAAACTCATATAAGGCTCTTAATTTTATATGACCCAAAATTATGAATTAATGTAAATAACAGCTTCTTCTGACTCTTATTGTTCAAAATATGTCCATGATTAGTCTTAGTCAAAATATGTAATTGTACTTATTCTTAATTTTAAAATGTCAAATCTATTAGGGACACACATTATTAAATATTAAGTGATGCCAGCATCCCTCCCTCTTACCTTTCTAAAGGAAATTCTATTTTGGAGTGCCTAGAACTCCCCAACTCTACTTTTTACTATTTTTTTGTGTGTGCATTTTTGTTTTGCCTTGGCAGACTAGTTACTTTAACTTTTGTGATATAAAACCAGTCATAAGGAGACAATATGAAAGGGAAAAAGTAATAAGAGAAGGTGTAAAGTGATGGTTAAGCCAGGATAGGAGGTTAGGAGGATTTGAAATGAAAGAGGCTGATATGGTTTGGCTCCGTGTCCCCACCCAAATCTCATCTTTTAGCTCCCATAATTCTCATGTGTTGTGAGAGGGACCAAGAGGGAGATGATTGAATCATGGGGTTGGGTCTTTCCCATGCTGTTCTTGTGAGAGTGAATGGGTCTCATGAGATCTGATGGTCTTAAAAATGGGAGTCTCCCTGAAGGAGCTCTCTCTTTGCCTGCTGCCATATACATAAGATGTGACTTGCTCCTCCTTGTCTTCCGCAATGATTGATTGTGAGACATCCCCAGTCATGTGGAACTGCAAATCCAATAAACCTCCTTCTTTTGTAAATTGCCCAGTCTTGGGTGTCTTTATCAGCAGCATGAAAATGGACTAATACAGTAAACTGATACAGGTAGAATGGGGAGCTGCTGAAAAGATACCCAAAAATGTGGAAAATCCCACTTTCTGAGGAGAAATTCAAGCCAGTTGCAGAAATTTGCATAAGTAACAAGAAGCTGAATGTTAATCACCAATACAATGGGGAAAATATTTCAAGGGCATGTCAGAGACCTTTGCAGCAGTCCCTCCTGTCACAGGCCTGCAGGCCCAGGAGGAAAAAGTGGTTTTATGGGCCTGGACCCAGGGTCCTCATGCTGCGTGCAGGCTAGAGTCATGGTGCCCTGCATCCCAGCTGCTCCAGCCATAGCTAAAAGGGGCCAAAGTAAAGCTTGCGCCATGGCTTCAGAGGGCACAAGCCCCAAGCCTTTTTAGCTTCTGGGTGGAGTTGAGTCTTCCAGTGCACAGAAATCAAGAATTGAGGTTTGACAACCTTCACCTAGATTTCAGAAGATGTATAGAAATGCCTGGATGCCCAGGCAGAAGTTTGCTGGGAGGGCGGTGTCCTCATGGAGAACCTCTGCTAGGGCAGTGCAGAAGGGAAATGTTGGGTGGGAGCCCCTACACAGAATCCCTACTGGGGCACCGCCTGGTGGAACTGTGAGAAAAGAGCTACCATCCTCCAGACCCCAGAATGGTAGATCCACCAACGGCTTGCACTGTGTGCCTGGAAAAGTTGCAGACACTCAGTGTTAGCCCAGGAAAGCAGCCAGGAAGGTGGCTGTACCCTGCAAAGCCACAAGGATGGAGCTGCATGGAGCTGCCCAAGATCATGGGAATCCAACCCTTGCATTAGAGTGAACTGGACGTGAGACATGGAGTCAAAGGAGATCATTTTGGAGCTTTAAGATGTGATTGCCCTGCTGGATTTTGGATTTGCCTGGGGCCTTTAGCTCCTTCACTTTGGCCAATTTCTCCCATTTGGAATGGGTGTATTTACCCAGTGCCTGTATCCCCATGTATCTAGGAAATAATTAACTTTCTTTTGATTTTACAGGCTCAGAGGTGGAAGGGACTTGCCTTGTCTTGGATGAGACTTTGGACTGTGGACTTTTGAGTTAATGCGTATATGAGTTGAGACGTTGGGGAACTGTTGGGAAAGCATGATAGGTTTTAAAATGTGAAGATAAGAGATGTGGGAGGAGCGAGGGGCAGATGATATGGGTTGGCTCTGTGTCCCCACCCAAATCTCATCATGTAGCTCCCATAAACTCCAGGTATTGTAGGAGGACCCTGGTGGGAGATGATTGAATCATGGGGGTGGGTCTTTCCTGTGCTGTTCTTGTGACAGTGAATAGGTATCATGAGATCTGATAGTTTTAAAAATGGGAGTTTTCCTGCACAAGCTCTCTCTTTTCCTTTTGCCATCTATGGAAGATATGACTTACTCCTCCTTGCCTTCTGCCATGATTGTGAGGCCTCCCCAGCCATGTAGAACTGTAAGTCCAATAAGCCTCTTTCTTTTGTAAATTGCCCAGTGTCTGGTATGTCTTTATCAGCAGTGTGAAAACAGACTAATACAGAGGCTCAGGTGTATCTGTTTTGAAAGGAAAAAGGAAAGAAAAGTCAGGTAGAACATGGTGTTTATAGAGAGCTCCTTAATGATGAGAATAGATGCATCCAAGTGGCAAATTATTTTAAATTACTTTTTTTTCCATACCATGTATTTTATATGCTGGGACTACAACTTTACATATCATATAATCTGAATTCAGAAACACTTTTCACATAGATAAGTTAAAATTAAAGTTTAAAACCACAGTTTTCTGGAAGATTGAGTCCAAATCTTTCATTACATAAGAAGAACAAGCTTATCAGGGTTCAGTAAATTATCCTAGTTCCACATCTAAGTCAGTGACATTTCTAGAATTAAAACCATGTCTTTCTCTGGATTTATTCAGAACTCTTTCTAATATATATCAGTCTTATTTACTAATCATAATTATTTTTTCAGTTGCAGTTAATTACATTTACATATAATCATATTTACATAGACTTTATCAGCCATCAAAGGAATCTAAAACATCCTGATTATTTCTTTTGAATTTCATGAGATTCAACAGCATACCTTCCAAACTCTTTTCTCAAATTATTTGCTTCAAATTGACTTTTGCCTTGAAAAGTAAATCCTGTTTATGACAGTAGAGCTAAGTTTTAGACATGTCACTCTTTTGAACCAGGACCCAGCAGCAACATTGATGTTATTGCCTAGAGTATCACTCTTAGAATGGTTCAGTGCTGAAAGGGAATGCAGAGCTCTGCTTTGCTATTCTAAGTCCACTGGAGGTTACTCTCACTCTGTACCTGTGATGGATGCTATTGTGCCTTTGGACAATGGGAGCTGCCTCACAGGAATACTCCCTTTCATTTCACCCACCTCTACCTCTACCACAAACTCTGTACCACCTCCTACAACCAAAGAGCATAGCCAGGGAAATGGAAGCGGGGAGAGAAGCTAGACCATCTGCTTCAAGGTAAGTTTCAACTCTGATATGATT
Organism: Homo sapiens; assembly: GCF_000001405.40. NCBI lineage: Eukaryota > Metazoa > Chordata > Mammalia > Primates > Hominidae > Homo > Homo sapiens. The sequence continues at coordinate 31,904,182 of NC_000004.12, read as the reverse complement.
TGTGTTCTAGGGCTTACTCTAGAATCAGACAAAAAGTAGTCTCCATCTGAGCAATTTCCTATCCAAAATAAATTAAAAAATCTTTATCTCAGGTTTTGCTTCTAGGGAACCTGTTTGGAGACAGTATTTTTTCCAACCATATTTGTAGGAGAGGATGCCTGTTTCACTTCATTGTGAAATGATAGCCACATTAAAAATAATTCCTTCAAAGTACATGATTTATTATTAATAGTATTATTATTATTATGAGTCATCATTAATTCACTTTGACAATGATGTATGTGTGGAAGGGTGTGTGTGTTGGAGAGGGTTTATTCTAGATTATCTTAATATTTCATGGAAGAATAAAACGTGGTATTTTATTTTTTACCCTTTTAGAGCGATCTTTCATGGCAGGCAAGGCACAGATTGAAGGTGATTTTCTTAGTCGATTCAGGTGGCTATAAGAAAGTACCATAGACTGAGTAGCTTAGAAACAACAGAAATTTATTTCTCACAGTTCTGGAGGCTGAGAAGTTCAAGATCAGTGTGCCAAAACAATCAGTTTCTAAAGAGGGCCCTCTTCTGTGTTGCAGACTGCCAAGCCTTCATTGTATCCTCACATTGTGGAAGGAATAAAGAAGCCTAATTCCATTCATTAGGGCTTTGCCATTATAAACTAGCCACTTTCCAAAGACATCACTTCTTACTACCATTACATTGAGGATTCGGCTTCAATATCAGAATATTTTTTGCAGGGGGGATAAAAACGTTCATATGATACCAGTAATGATCCATGGCTCCCTCAAATCATTTCATGTTGTTGAGATCAGAAAACACATTTCCAAAACCCTGACCCACCACCATTTTATTTACAAATTTAAACTTGGCCAAGATTCACTGAATGATGGGCTAAGTGTGCAGCACATAACCAATGTTCATTAAGTATTTGTTGACTGTACAGTACTCAGTCAATAAATATAGTGATCATGATGCTATCAGGCTATGACTGAAAAAAAGTGTTCTATTTACCATGCTTTTCTTTCTCTCAAGAAGAGCTTCAGCAATTTATACCCCTCTAGTTTAAGTGTCAATTAAATTAATCACACCGCAAACAATTATTTCTCTCTCTGACTGTATTCACCTTTTTCTGAAGTAATTCCTGCCTTCAGACAATCATTCAGCCAATATTAACTGGCAGTCTACTATATGTCACCAACTCAACTAGAAACCAGAGTCAGAGTGGTAATGTGGCTCCCTCTAAAACAGAGCCTCAAAAGGATAACTCATTTTGCTGGACATGGCTATTTAGAATAGAGACAAATACCTGAAAAACTCCCCTGCTCTGTCTTTATTTGTGAGAATCAAGAGGATGATTAGTTCTTTATTATCATAAACCTAAAAACTGTATGACAAGCCATCTCCCACAGAGTCTTCTCAAATGTCCTTCCATCTCCAAGGCAACCAGACAGATTTCTAGGCTTTAAAGTATTTCTTAAGCTTAGATTCCTCATATCCTCGCCAAACAACTTTGAGTTAGAAATTAATCCCCACAATAAGCTCATACATTCTGTTCCTTACACAGTATCATTTTGTACTTGAATATGGTAATTTAATGGTATTTGACTAATTGTTTATAAGACATCCACTTACTCTTTTATGTGTTGATCTTCTACATACTCCCCACATGGATTTTTTTTTAAATAAAAAAAATCTGTTAGACTCTTTTGTAATTCTACTTCATTTACAATAATACAATTCTTTGATGTTTTACAGAGAGTAATAAATAGATAGTATCAAAATATTCTAAGAGAGATGATTGGATCTGAAGAGGTATAACTTTACTTTCTAAAAGTGCTGATAGATAAGATGTAACTTATTTCATTTCTTTAAATAAAAATAAGCATTTCTGGATTATCATGCTCTCACACTGCTAGATATTAACGAAAGAACTCTGTTTCATTATTTCCTGAAGTTTCTGTTCTCTGTGTTATGACACTGAGTGAAAGTATTAAGTAGATAAATCTCACAGATAGATATGTGTAGGATTCCTAATCACTTTCATGAAGGTTGGTAGAAGCTCATCTCTACTAAATTCAAACTATTCTCACAGTAAGACAATGGCTTAACACATCAAACAAAATGAAATTTATGAAAAGAAGTGAAAACTGTAAAATAATCATCACTTTTTATAAGAAAAAACTGATTGCCTAGTGATGTTGTTGTTCATCAGCTTTTGCTATTTTGACTACTAAAAATAACTTTCAACAATTGATATGAATATATTTTAATTCCAAATTCATCTGACATCTGACAATTATATATACTTTACTGGATTTAAACTAAATTAGTCACAGCTACTTAAATTTTAAACATATTTGGAAGGTATTCTATCTATTGGCATCAACAAACATCCAAAAACGACATGATTTAGGCTACTTTATAGAGAACAGGTATTAATTTAGATAGTTGCAGATAAAAATATAAATATGTAGCACTGGTCTCTTGCCTTTTAAAAATCAAATAAAATTTGAGCAAAAAATCCCAGTTCTGTGTAGATTAAGAAGCAAAATTCTTCCCAACTCAGAATTTGTTAATGTTAATGAGGTGTATCTGTGGGAGATAAGTTGCTTAAATTTTTCAAGTCATCTTCAACTCTAAGTTACTTCTTTTGAATTCATTCAGCTTGTGGTATATTTCCTCTTCTTGCTTTTGATGTTCTCTTTTATTGCAGCATTCACATTAGTCATCTTCCTTATTTCTTTACTCCTCCAAAACCCTCAAAACAAGTTGATAGAATGTATTTTTAAAAATGATTGAGAAGTTTCCCTTCCAAATATAAATTTCATTATTGACATTCTTTTTTTCAGCCACACTGTCACTAGGCATTTCTTACTTGTTATGTTTACTCCAATAATTTATTCTTTTTCTATGCAAAGTATTTTTCTTTCCATCCATACCTCTACTTTCAAATCTAGGTTAAGGTTCTGTGTGTAAGAGTGTGGCTGTCTCATTCTTTTGCTTTGTGTCCAAAATTTAATTATTTGGCTTCCCTGAATACTGTGGTCCTGGCTAATACCTACTGATTCCCACTCTGCTTTCTGTGAAGTGTCAGATAATATTTCACTAAGGATGCTGAGGGCTCTAAATCCTTCCTTTCTGTATTGCAAGACAGATAGACCGGACTCATGAGCAGAACTTTGCAAAACAGATGTTCTTTTTCTGTTTTTCTTGTTTTGAAAAACTGTTAATTTTTCACACAATAACTCTCCAATTATTTGAAGATCTAGTTAACCAGTAAAGAACAGCAAAACAGAGAGAAAACACATGAGTGAAAAAAATGTGTTTCAAGCATTTTAAAGGTAATCTTTGCCACTTATTCCCAAATCCATGACAACTTACAAAGGTTTTTAAAACACCTTACAAAGGTTGTTTAGGGATGTACACACTGATTCAACTTCTGTGTGAAATTAACAAATGTGGAAAAGAGAGCAATGAATAAAGTTTAAAGCAAAATAAAAAATAAATTTAACTACACTTCTTAAAATTTGTTGCACCAAACAACTAATCAAACTGCCAACCAACCAAACAAAAATTACCAGATAATTTGCATATTTATAATATAAATAAATAAAGTAAATTAAGGACCACCAAATGATTTGACTGTGAGAGAAAACAGGCACACAAACATTATTTCCAAAGGGCTAGTCACATACGTTTCCTTGGGAAAAATGTTTCTCCACAACACTTAGTTTGAGTAATAACACAGAGTAGTGGTTTTAAAAGTGTGTTCTATGGTCCAGCACAGCATCAGCATCACCTGGGAACTTGGAGAAATATAAATTATCAGGCCTCTCAGCAATTTCACTGAATCAGAAACTCAGGTTGTGGGGCTCACTTACTTTTAATCAGTTCCATAAGTGATTCTGAAGCATAATAGGGTTTGGAAACCATTGGTATAGAATATAGCACTCTCTCAATTTTGGTTATAGGTGAACCCTAAAAAACAGCACAGATGTTACCAATATTAAATCAAATTGATATTCAACCACATACATGTCTCAGTTAGAGCAGTAAATAGGTAATGTAAAATCTTCCCTCCTCTGATCTATGGGGGATCCATCACACTTCTTTCTTTTTCCCTCCTTTACACTTTCCTAGAATTTGGCTAGAATTAACAGAAATAAAATTTTGACTTAGTCTTCCAGGTACCATCAACGTTCTTAAGTACAGTGTTGCAGTACTGTGATAAATGCATCATTGACAATTAGAAAGATGATGTTTATGTGAAATACAGATCAACTTTGAAAAAAATTAGTCAGAATAAATAAGACCTAGTGTTCAATAAATCACTACATACTGACATAGTAAACAATAATCAAATAATTAGTAAAGAGTTATTGAAATGTTCCCAGCATAAAAAGGTAATGCATATCCTAATTACCCTGATTTGATTATTTCACAGTGTATAAATGTTTAAAAAATCACATGTATCCTGAAAATATATACACCTATTTTTATACATACAAAATGAATAAAAATAAAAGCTAAAATTTTAAAAAGTATTACTTGTGATCTTCATATTTATTGGGGTTGATTATAAATTTTCCTTTATAATTTTGTCACTGTGATGTGTATTGACTTCTCAGTAAATTCTCCAGTACAGGTTGAGCCTTCCTTGTCTGAAATGTTTGGGACCAGGGTGTTTCAGATTTGAGATATTTTTGGGTTTTGAAATATTTGCATATACAAATGAGCTATCTTGTGGATGGTACTCAAATCTAAACCTGAAATTTGTTTATGTTTCATATACATCTTATACACATATATACATAGCCTGAAGGTAAATTTATATAGTATTTTTAATAATTATGTGGCTAAAACAAAGTTTTGCCTCCATTTTGACTGTGTGTTACCATATGAGATCAGATGTGAAATTCCATCTGTGGCACCCTATTTACATGCAAAAATGTTCTGTTTTGTAGTATTTCAGATTTGAGATTTCAAATTTTGAACTTTTGGATTAGGGATACTCAATCTATAATATTCTTTAAATCACAAATTTTCTCTTAGTTTGCATTTGGTCTAGATTAGCTTCCTTATAAGTGAACTTTTACTTCAATGACTATATCTCTTAATCTATTTCACTTTGTATTGTCTTTTAGAAACTTCTGCCCATTTTGTTTTACTTTATAGTTTATTGCTTTTTTATTTTAAAAAATCCCTTTATTTATGTTGTTGACATTTTAAAATATACTTACTCTGAAGACTTTGAAAATTTCCTGTAAATTTTATTTTATTAATCATTTCAAGAATGATTTCATGTTCAAATGACAAAGTTGTTGGCTGCTCTCCTATACAGTACCTTTTGTATATATTTTATGATTATTTTCCGGGCTCATTTTCACTGAGATATTGTGAGAACAAAGATTATCTTAATCTGGCTCCTCCTTTTTAAAGGAGGCTTTCTAAACACCTTAGCCGCACTGTTTGATATCTCAATATTCATATTACTTCAAAGATGGAGAACTCACTAAATTCTAAGTAATACTTTCTTTTTTTTGAGCAATTATTTTTATCTCTTCATGTGTTCTTATTTATTTCCTTTTCTCTTTTTTGTTTTTTCTAGACAGGGTCTCACTCTATCATTCATGGTGGAGCACAGTGGTATGATTAGAATTCACTGCAGCCTTAAGCTTCTGGGCTCAAGCAGTCCCCCAACTTCAACCTCCCCTTGTAGCTAGGATTACAGGCATGCACCACACCACCCAGCTAATTGTTATTTTTATAGAGATGGGGTTTTGCTATGTTGCCAGGTCTGGTCTTGAACTCTTGGTCTCAAGGGATCTTCCTTCCTTGGCTTCCCAGAGCACTGGGATTACAGTGTGAGCCACTGTTCCAGACCCATTTCTCCTTAATCACCTTTTTATGATCAGTAGTTTATGGTTGTTCCCATTATTCCTGTGCTCTTCTGTCATTCCAGATGGCATTTCACTGCTTCTGCCTGCAATGACATTGAGGATAATTGTATTAGTTCATTCTCATGCTGCTATGAAGAAATACCCAAGATGGGTAATTTATAAAGAAAAGAGGTTTAAGTGACTTAAAGTTTCACATGGCTGGGGAGGCCTCAAGAAACTTACAATCATGGCAGAAGGCACCTCTTCACAGGATGGCAGGAGAGAGAATTAATACCCAGTAAAGAGGGAAGCCCCGGCCAAGCGTGGTGGCTCACACCTGTAATCCCAGCACTTTGGGAGGCCAAGGCGGGCGGATCACAAGTTCAGGAGATCGAGATTAGCCTGGCTAACATGGTGAAACCCCGTCTCTACTAAAAATATGAAAAATTAGCTGGGTGGGGTGACGGGCACCTGTATTCCCAGCTACTCTGGAGACTGAGGCAGGAGAATGGCGTGAACCCTGGAGGCAGAGCTTGCAGTGAGCCGAGATCGTGCCACTGCACTCCAGCCTAGGTGACAGAGCAAGACTTCATCTCAAAAAAAAAAAAAAAAAAAAAAACAGAAAAAGAATAGGAAGCCCCTTATAAAACCATCAGATCTTGTGAGGAGCAACTCACTATCGGGAGAACAGAATGAGGGAACCACCCGCAAAATTCAATTATCTCCATTTGGTCCCTGACATGACACATAGGGATTATGGGAACTACAATTCAAAATGAGATTTGTGTGGGGACACAGAAAAACCATATCAAAAATGTAGACCAACTGGGCCATTAGGTTCACCTCATGAGGATGGCTATGCATGAGTCCCCCTGCTTCATCAGCCAACAGCTTGCTAAAATCGGAAGTAATAGCTTATTGGAAACATTTGTGGGATTTTTGTTTGTTTGTTTTGTTTTTGCTTTTCACCAGACATCTTTTGGCTTCATGTCCATTTCTGTAGGAGTTTTAGTTCCTTCATCCTGCAGATGCTGAGTTCTGAGCTACACTTTCTGTTCCTCTCCTTGATCCTTAAAACTAGCAGGACTTCACTTTAGCCATTAATCTTAACAGTCTTGATCCTTCTTCGGCACATTAAGATGTTTATCTTTGTCCTTAGTTGCCCTTTGTCTATTTTATTTTCAGTTCTGTACTTTATCTATTATTGCTGTGTATTTGAACCAAAAGGGATGTATCAAAGAGAAAATTTATGAACAACTTGGCTGGAAGTCACTTACTTTCAATTTCCAAACTTAAGCCATGGTTTTCTATGGAAAAACCATTAAATGTACAATAAATCCTTAAGTTAATAGTTAAGTTCAGCAGCAAGCTGTAAAAGATGAGTCAGAAGCTAAGCAGAAACTAAAAATATAGAGATGTACAGACCCCAGGAGGACAAACAGGTCTGAGACAGCACCTGGGACCATCTGCTGCATGGTCAAGAGAGGGCCACAGTAGCAGTAACTACAGTAAATGAGAGCAGTCCAATCTCTCAAAGCAAATTAAAAATATGCTATAGAAATATGAAGAGAAGGCTGATAAAAAAAATCTACAGTGCAGATCCCAAGATATTTCTGCAGTCTTTCTCAAGTCATGAATTGAGGGCATGTGATGTCTGATGCCCCTGATCTGTGAGGCAGTGCAATATATAGGTAGGGCCAGGACATTGGCAGTAGGTTCTGCTTTATGGTTCTATGACTTCATGTTGTTTCTGCCAACATTGTTGTGTTCAATGGTGTTATCTTGTATTATCTTACTTAAGGCAATGTTTTTAAAGTAAATATCCATAAAACTACCTTGTTTTAAATATATTCCTTAGAACAGAAAATTTGAAGCTGGTCCAATACTTGGGGACTTGTTACTCTTTATCTTGGTTTTACAAAGACTACCAGGAAGTTTGTAAACCATTACTAACAAACTAATCAGAACATTTCAAGAGCTATTTTAAGATTGATCCAGGTAATGGCTCAATATTTTCAGTTTGAATGCTTTTATAAACAACAGATTTTACATTGTGTTAAAATGGATTTCTTTGGGCTTCCATTCCATGTTTGAGTTAATAAAAACAAATTAAATATCTGCAAGATGAAATTTTTAGAAACATATACATATTGGGCCAGGCAAGGTGGCTCATGCCTGTAATCCTAACACTTTGGGAGGCCAAGGTGGACTGATCATCTGAGGTCAGGGGTTCGAGAACAGTCTGGCCAACATGGCAAAACCCTGTCTCGATTAAAAATACAAAAAAATTAGCTGGGTGTGGTGTCACATGCCTGTAGTCCCAGCTACGCTGGAGGCTGTGCCAGGAGAATTGCTTGAACCTGGGATGTGGAGGTTGCAGTGAGCCGTGACACACCTGACACGCCACTGCACTCCAGTCTGAGTGGCAGAGGGAGACTCCGTCTCAAAAAAAATATATATGTATATATATATACACACATACTATGATTAACAAATTTATTTGTTCTGTATTATACATTCCATATAGTAAGTCTTAGAAATCTCCCCACCTGCATTTCAGTATCATCATCCATCTTGAGTTATCTGAATAGCAAAAACTAGAAAAGATTCAGATCAATTGTAAAGTCTGTCAGGAGTGATAGCCTCTAATCCTTGCTTATTTATAGGAATTAGGTCATCAGATATGTTTTCAAAGTGTGGATTTAAGTGTTCTTTCTTCAGCTTCAATGTATAGAATGCTTTTTTAAAAATGTAAGCTTTACTTCCCCAGGTTACTGGATTACCACTGCAATGAACATCCTTTCAAATTTTGAAGAGAGTGAGAGCACATGAACATGTGTCAAACTTATTTCTCGCTGAATGCTAAACCAGCAAGGTTTTGTACAAAAGTCGCAAACTCATATGCTTCGAGGCACTAAGAAATTTATATAATAAAGAATGATGAGACAATTTGTACTTACCAATTAAAATTAATTAATTTTAAAGAACACAAGTGATGAAACTTTTAGAAAATTAGAGGTGTTATATAACCAAAAAATACTGAAAAAACTTTTTAATGTACAGAAAAAATAAAACATATTTACAGGCATTGCATGGTCCATAGGCTGCTGACTTTATCCCCAATTTCATTTAAACACCTTTTCCTTTGTATATTTTCTTGTATTTACTCTCATCAAAAGCTGGTAAGACTTACATAAGACATTATGAGGAATATATTATGTTATCCAATTTCACACTGTTAATCTTATATAAATACACAAATCTCAGATTATTAATAATCCTGAAAGTCTGACTAACGTCTTCCAATTCAAAATAATGTTGTCCTTTAATACTCCATTGTAATTCATTTATTACTTATTGCTTTGGTCAGAGTTTCATTAGCATTTGAATGCAGAAAACAACCTCATTCAAAAATTCTACTTCTTTTAACAACGATGTGTGGGTATATTTTTTATAAATACCACCTCAGTTAAAAGAAATGTTACTCTAGGCTTGGCGTGGTGGCACACACTTGTAATCCCAGCTACTCTGAAGGCTGAGGTAGGAGGATCGTTTGAACCTGGGAGGCAGTGGTGCTTGAACCGAAGATCGTGCCACCGCACTCCAGCCTGAGTGACACAGCGAGACTTTGTCTAGAAAAAAAAAAAAAAAAAAGATATGTTACTCTAAATCAAGAATTTCTGAAATGCGGTCCCAAAGGAGACTCTCATATAGTAAAGAGAGCCAAAACATAATATTTGTCATTCTTGTACTTCGCATGTTATGTTGTGGTCTATGATGTTAGCGTCTCCCGTTTTTTCTTGTTCAAGCCTTTTATTTTTTAATGAATAAATACAATGCTTTATAAAGTAAAAATCAGTAAAGTCTACTGCAGTCATACAAATGCATGGTAATAAATAATGCGGTACAAAAGCACTTGGCAAGCCTACCATATTTGTGATTGTTTATGAACTGCATGGTGGTAGGAAGTGCTTTTTAAAAATTGTTTTTGACTTTTATTTTAGGTTCAGTGGGTATATGTACAGATTTGTTACATGAATAGATTGCATGTTGCTGAGCTTTGGTGTATGAACATTCCCATCAGCTAGGTAATGAGTGAGCATAGTACCTGATAGTTTTTCGAACCTCACCCCTTCCCACGCTCCCTACTCTAGTAGTCCTCAGTGTCTATTGTTGCCATCTTTGTGTCCATGTGTACTTAATGTTTATCTCCCACTTATTTTTTTTAAATTTTATATGTTTATTTATTTATTCATTTATTTTTTGAGACGGAGTCTCGCTCTGTCGCCCAGGCTGGAGTGCAGTGGCGCCATCTCAGCTCACTGCAAGCTCCGCCTCCTGAGTTCACGCCATTCTCCTGCCTCAGCCTCCCGAGTAGCTGGGACTACAGGCGCCCGCCATCACGCCTGGCTAATTTTTTGTATATTTAGTAGAGACGGGGTTTCACCATGTTAGCCAGGATGGTCTCGATATCTTAACCTCGTGATCCACCCTCCTGAGCCTCCCAAAGTGCTGGGATTACAGGCGTGAGCCACCGCGCCCAGCCTACCTCTCACTTATAAGTGAAGTCATGTGGTCTTTGGTTTTCTGTTCCTTAGCTAATTCCCTTATAATGGTCTCCAGCTGCATCTATGTTGTTGGAGAGAACACGGCTTCATTTTTTTTTATGAGCGCCTAGTATTCCATGGTGTATATGTACCATATTTTCTTTATCCAGACCACCACTGATGGACATCTAGGTTGATTCCATATCTCTGCTATTGTGAATTGTGCTGCAATGAACATAGGAGTGCTTATTTCTTTTTGGTAGAACAATTTATTTTCCTCTGGGTATATACCCAATAGTAGAATTGCTGGGTTCAATCACACTTCTGTTTTGAGTTCTTTATGAAATCTCCAAACTGCTTTCCACAGTGGCTGATATAATTTATAATTATTTCTGTCAATCAGTGTCTGAGTCTTATAGTGGGAGGACAATTCTCAGGCTGCCAGAGCCTTCTTTGGCTGCATGAAAGTAGAGGCTGTGTACCTGAGAGATTAAGCCACTCCAGTGCCAGTCCTTAGTCAATGCTGATTCCAGCAGGAATAAATACACTTGAATTCTCTCCCGTACTGATCAATTGACCATGGGGTGTGAGACTGAGGGTCTCCAGTGCTTTTCTCCATGTGCAACTGAACCAGAATTGCTTTTGATGGGATTTTGCTTGATGGACTTTTAGTCTGTGCCTATTTACTTAGTCTTTTTTTTTTTTTTCATGACTTTCCCAGGTTTTGTCAGGAAACAATTTCTAATAAATCAGGCTTATTTGATTTCTCATTTTAAATTCTGCCTCTTGGGAACCCAATCTAAACAGCAAATAAAATGCCTATATAAATAAGGCATGGATGACAAAGAGTTCAGACAAGTAGTGACATCTAATTGTTTTTCTTCACTTGTATTACATCTTTGTTTCCCTTAATTCAGGCGCTATGGAAACAATCAAAGTGAATGTATCAACTACAGTCATTCCTTGGCCTCAGGAGGGCGTTGGTTCCTAGGTCTCCCCCCTCAAGGGGTATCAGAATCCACGGATGTTCAAGTCCCTTATATGAAATGGCCTAGTATTTGCATATAACCTCCTAAAATATGCTTTAAATCATCTTTAAATTACTTATGATACCTAATGCAATTTAAGTGTTATGTAAACATGTGTTATACTTTTTCATTTGTATTTTTTTACTGTTGTATTGTTATTTTCTATGTATTTGTTTTTAAAAATATTTTCATTTGCATATTACTCAATAAGTGGAGCAACAATGTTAGGTAAATCTTTCTAGAAATCCCATAATTTGCAATTGCAATTAATGAAATAAACAAATAAAATAATACTAAAATTTTTATAATATCAATGGGAGCAAGATTATTTTGTATTTCCACCAAGGTATCTACGGCAACCATGAAGTATGTTGCTCATATCTCCCTTAAAAAAAAGACCTTTCCAGGAGCCATGTAGTTACTTGATAGCTTCAAGCTGTAGCACTCATGCCAAAACAATGAATGTGTGATATTTAACACTGAAAGTGCATGGCAAGGATACCAGATTCCAGATCATTTTTAGCCAAGAAGAGAGTGGGCTCCATTAATAGGAAATCTTTGTTCAGAAGTCCTCCAATGACCTAGCTGAGAAATTCTCACAGATGCACTGCATTTCCTAGGCTCCTCCTAGCAAATCCTCTTTTTTTCCACCTCTCTTTTCATGAGTTACATATCTGCATTATAATCTAAAGGCTTTCCCTACCCACACCTATGCCCTCCCCTGCTTACAAATACAGGTGTTTCTCCCTCAAAACCTTTTGCACTTCTAAATCCTTCTCAGATATTTCAAACTGTCTGTATTAGTCCATTTTCACAATGCTAAGTACATTCCCGAGACTGGTAAATTTACAAAAGAAAGAGGCTTAATTGGACTCACAGTTCCATGTGGCTGGGAGGGCATCACAATCATGACGGAAGGCAAGGAGGAGCAAGTCACATCTTACGTGGATGATGACAGGCAAAGAGAGAGATTTTTCAGAGAAACTCCCATTTTTAAAACCATCAGAACTCATGAGACTCATTTACTGTCACAAGAAAAGCACAGGAAAGACCAACCCCATAATTCAATCGCTTCCCACTGGGTTTCTCCCATGACATGTGGGAATTGTGGGAGTTACAATTCAAGATGAGATTTGGGTAGGGACATAGCCAAACCATATCACTGTCAGAATATGGAATTTAACTACAACTGCTTCTATACATATAGGTCACTTTCCATATGCAATCAGTTTCCTCCCTTGTTCTATTCTGTTACATTAGAAAATTTAATCCTGAATGAAATGTTGGCAGCAAATATTTGGTGATATCAAATAATTTCATATATTCAGATAAAACATGGATTCACAAATTGTGGTGATTGTTACACTGATGTGTTCCTTATATATTCTGGCTGATGCTAAGTCAATAAGCACATCATCATCGAAGAGAGAAAGTTCAATATTGAAGCTTGATATCATCCATGAATAGAATCTTAACGCAGTTTTTGGTTGTATATGATTCAGAAAATAATTTCTAATTTTCTTCTGTCCCATTGAAGAATTTGGACATGATTTTTAAATATGCCCTACAGCATGTCATCGGTTCCTTTGTCTAAGATATAAAGAAAATCATTAAGGGTTGAGAAAGGGTCAGATTTCAAGCAATCGAGCTGTGTGTAGAAAGAAGTTCCTTCTTAAGATGTTTTATCTTCTTAAGAAATCTTATTAAATAGCTTATTTTAGTATATTTCCTTTAACTAAAGAGTTTTCTCCCTACATTTCAAAATATTTTATAATACTAAATCATGTGTAAATATATCCAAATTCACTGTTCCTCTTCAATAAATTTGAAAAGAGGGAGGGAGAGAGACAGACCAAATTATATTCAAACAGACTTTTTACTCAAAGACTAGGCTTCTTGTATAATTACCTTTTCCTACGCTGCTCACAATATATGTTTTTTCTCCATACTGAAATCGTCAAAGTTTTTTTATATATAGACTACAGGAGAAAAAAAGCTATTTCTATGTGAGCTTTATAATAGTGGTAAAAAATCCATTACTTAGATTATTAAAAATGATTAAAAGGTGCTCTTTTTAGATTAATATTATTTGTCTGTATAATTAAACTAGGAAGGAGTATTTTAATATATTTAAATATATAAAACACTAAAAACGCCAATCATATTTTCTTCTAATATGTTTGCATTTCATTTTAGAGAGCTCACATTTTACTCTAGGCACCTTTTATTGCTATGGGAAAAACTATCATAATTGTAGCATACAGTAATATTTCATATTTTAGGAATTCTGATTTTAATCATTTAAACATCTGTCAATAATAATGTAATTTTAAGTGGGTTTATGTATTTTAAAAGCAGTTGGGCTGAGAGAGCTATTTAAATGTAATCTTTCTTTCTCTTTCGCCCTCTCCTTAAAACCTTATTTGTGACTCTAAAAGTCAAACTTCATGTTTCTTAATATTAACAGAGGTTTGCAGTATTATCCTCTTTTCAACAAGGAAAGTGTTTTTCAATGACTTCACAGATACTGCTTTTGGTTCTGCAATATGCTTTTTTAAAGGCCTTCACATTTTTATGAAAGCAATCATAAGTATTTTAGTGTTATGAAGATCTTAATTACCAAGGAGTTTATATTGCTTATTAACATAATAATCAAAAAGAAAAAATACAGTAAATGGAGCTTGTAAGGTAAAAATGGTATAGAAAAGTAAGATAAAATTATAATTATTGTATCAATTACAGTCAGTAAAATGTTATTAAGCACTTACAATTTATCTAGCCTTAGGCTAGTTATAGACAGTAAAAAGAAAAATATGGCATACTAACAGACCTCAAAATACATGTTTAGAAAAGTTACAAGACGAAACACTAAATGGGAAAGGAGAGACAAAATTTTAAGAAATTATTAAAGGAGAATAGGAAAAAAAAGGCCTTCTCTTCTTTAAGCATTCTTCCACCCTTTCTAAGTGTGCTATAACTCTCAATATTTCATCATTAATATAATATTTTACTGGAGAATCCTTTAACAGTACATGTTTTCCTTTATTGAATTATCAAAATAATATAAAATTGTTTTAATTCTACAAAAATAATCACAATGATCAAGGCTCTAATATTTTAATTTGATCCATACAATGTTTGAGAACTTAGGAGCATTTTTTTTTTTTAGGTTTGGCAGGAGAATACCTTACCCTGATTTTTCTCCAAATATGGATACGATAAGGTTAAACATTTGCTCAAAAGTTTGTTTGATAATTTAAGAAGAAAATTTAAATAATTCAAGATGATTTGGAGACAATAATTAAATCTCTAAGTATGTTTCAGATCAATGTCATCCAAATAACACACTCTCTAAAGGCCAGGACATATCTTCAGTAATTAGTTTATGGCCTATCAAATAATTAATGTCATGTGTTTGTTAAATGGTTGCATACATTAATGACTATATTGTTGAAGAGCAGAGTTGACCTTCTTGATATTACTCTTTAATTCTTATCAATAAAAACTAAAATGTGTGGTTTTTTCCATAAATTTACTTCTTATATATTTATTATATAAGAAGGCAATAACATTTTCTTTAAACTCGTTTCCTTGTCGCAAAAACTGCCCTCCCTTTTAATTTGCCTAAATCGATTTCTTGTTTCAGTTGCTAAATTTAGTTTTCTGGACTGTGTTTACCTAATACATGTTCATTTTATCGCCTTAGATTTTTATATTATATCACCCTAAGTATGTTGAGGGTTTCTAATTATCACAAACTACACAAGCCAAAAGGAGAGTTAAAAAAATGAGAATGACTTCCCTGGAAGTATCAAAAGGCTAGAAATATAATTTTGAAAGTGAACAAGCACTTGGTGTTACCTGATTAAAACATCATTCTGTAACACAAAACACTGAGATCTGTGGAGACTTTTCCAGTTTTTGTAAACCAGCTCTAGGCTGAACATGGATTTAATCCAAGGCCCTCTTCCCCAAGTAGTGCCCACTCACATTCCATTAACCTTTTTCCACTTTTATCATTCCACACTGACGTGTCCTGGTAGTATTGCTTATTCATCTACCCCTACCTACGGTCATCTGGAAAATTAAAATTAATTTTTTGTAAATCTTCTTTACATATATATGAAAAAGAGAAAGAGATTTTGTTTCATTTACTAGAATTTCAAAGATTATTGTAGATTTGAATTTGTTTTACAAAAAGCCATTTAACTCTTTTCCTCTCTGATGATAAATTTCAGTTTCAGTGTTTTATTTCATATGTTTCTATCAAGCTTCAACTTTTTTTTTCAAAGTTATAGATTTTGAGTCACGGTCAAACAGTCGAGGCAACATGAATGGAAACTTAAATCTTTTTTTTTTATTTAAAGAGACAAGGTCTCACTCTGTCAACCAGGTTGGAGTGCAGTGGCATGACCATGGCTAACTTTAGCCTCCAACTCCTGGCTTCAAGTTATCCTCCCACCTCAGCTAATCAAGTACATGCCACTATGCTCAGTTTTTTGTTTTTTTTTTTTTTTGGTAGAGACATCTCACTCTGTTCCCCAGGCTGGTCTCAAACCTATGAGCTCAAGTTTTCCTCTCATCTCGGCCTACCAAAATATTGGGATAACAGGTGTGAGCCACCCTGCCCCGCTGGTAAATTTTTTATGAACAAATAAATAATCTGTAAAATAACTTACTATTCAAATTAAACGAATCATAAAACTAAAGCTGCTATATAAGCATATAATATCTCTCAGAGAAAAATAGTATAAATAAAAAGAAGAATCATATTTACTATATTTTGTTAGGCTGTCTGTAATTTCGTTGGGCTTTCAAATATGTACATATTTGTATTTAAATAATTAAAATTGTAAGGAAATGAAAAAAAAATCAGGCAAACACTACCCCAAAGGGGGGAAAAACCTATTGGTATTTTGTATATTTATACATCATTTCTTTCTAAATATCTGTTTACAAAGCTAAATTTAAATTGCAGCTACATTTTAGTACTCTGAATTTTTACTGTGCGTTATATTTACTATGTGTTATATTAGAATGGAATTAACAATGATTCATAAATTTAATTATGACTTATGGAGGTTTCATCCTATGGTGTACCATTATTTGAGGGTGCCTTATTCTCCTCTGGCTTAATGTTTCTCTGTTAGAATCTCTAATAGTGACTCTTCTCACTTCTTGCTCTCACTAATTCATGAATTTGAAATAAATAACCAGGTCTCTGTTGTTCAGCCACTTACAGGATATCTTTCAAGATCTACCAGTCTTCATACATTATTTATTGTAGTCTTCTCTTTGGCATATGGTGAAAAGGTCCAGCCATTTTCTGCAGAGGTCCGCAAATGTCCAAGTAAGAAAGTGCACAACTAGTTAAATTTGTTTAATCTGTTTAATGCAATAAAGATGTTTTGATAATAAACATTATAAAGAGATAATTTTGATTTTAATTTTCTCATCTTCTTTTTTCTGTTTATCAATTGGTTCCAAATTCTGGTAGGGAAAAGTACAAATTAAGCTTTTAAAAAATGTAGCAATCATGGCATGCTTATAAATTCCTCTTTTGTAATTGTTGGTTAGAAATGTTCTTTCTAATGTTTGATTATTATAAATAAACCTGTAGTAAAATTTTGCAAATAAACCATTGTTATATATGTGAAAATACTTAGAGCAGAATTTCAGAAAGAGTATATTACATCAAGAAGTGTGAGGATTTGAAAGATTCATGATAAACAGTATAAAATTACTTTTTAATTCATTAAAACACCGTTTGAAGAGGCAGATTTAATATCCTTATCTATGTTGGTGTTCACTATTTTTGAAAACCTTGAGAAACTGGTCAAATATGTAATTTTGTATCTGCATTGCATTGGTTAGTGACATTGTAAGATATCAAATAATTCATTAGCAATTTCTTTTTTGTGTCTTAAAAAGTCCTTACAAAAAAGAAAATAACTGTATAATTTGTTCCCACCCTGTCAACTTTCACTTCTCATTCCTATTACTCTCATCTACTCATTATGAACAGTGAGCTTTTTAAATGTGTACATAAAAATATATTTTTTAATATTTTTATTTCTTTTTTCTGCCAAAACTTTTAGAATAAATTATGTAGAGCTCATATCCTATTATTTTTATATCATAACATCAGCCTTTTTATGCTAGTACATTTACTTTTGCAAATTTTAAAGGTCTTTAAAATCAGCACTGTCTTCATTTTACCATCATACCTTGTACATAATATTGTTTCTTGTTATTCTTTGTATTTAGATAGATATAAACAACTCTAACAATTTTTTCTAAGGAATTAAAACATTTCCATATATATATATAGCAGGGGAGGGAAGGTAGTAACTTTTCCTCACTCATTGCAAAGCTTATGTTGAGATGCCTATGATAAAAGAAAGATTAACAAGAAAGTAACATACAAATTTATTTAATGTAAGTTTTACATGAAACATAAGTCTTTTAGCAACAAAAACTCAAAGAAATAGCTAATCCAAAGAAACTTTAGGATAAAAATGTATGTTTATTCTTAGGTTTGGTGAAGAGTGCACAGCCATGCAGAAGTATAATTGAACAAGGGAGTATGATCTGATGGTAATAAACTCAGGTTGGGAAGACTTAGTAAACCCGTTTGTTCAGATTTTTCTCTATGTATCTCTGTCTTCAGCGATAAGGACATTTCTCTACATAAAAAGAGAGCATCTCTGGAATGAGGTTCTTATGACCTACTTTAGCGGAAGGTTGGAGGATTCTTTTATGGCTTGGGGTAGAATGTTGGGAGTTGCTCAGAGAGAACTTCCTGGTTCTGTTGTTTTCTCAAATGCCAAAGGTGCCATATTTGGGGGTAGCATGTCTGGAACTCTATCATTATTGTTAATTTATTTTCAAAAAGGTGGTCCATTAAATCACAACCTCCCGTGATTAAGATTTTTCCCTTTTTAAGATTTAGCAAATGTATTGTGAAAATGATACTCATTACTTATATGTTCTTCTAATATGCAGTTCTTTTTGAAATGCTTATTTCATTGACAAGGTTTTTTCAATCCCTGTTATTACTCATTTAACGTTTTCAAATACATTATTAACATCTATCTTTACTTCTTAGTTGTTCAAAATATTATCTCAATTTTATTTCTTTGAACATTTTATATACACATTTAAAAACGGTAACAATTTGTGCTTTCGCTTTAAGAATTTTTGAATGTCCCCTATATTTGTGACATTTTTCCCAAAACTACATATGATACATTGTTATAAATAGAATTTGATTATAGTTGTTTTGGGCTCTTAATTTTACATCCAACTTTTAAATTTATCTGGAGTATAATTTGGGTAGTTATCTGATGAGTTTATTTTTTAAAAATCATTAGTAAACAATATATTGCCTACTTATATGAGAATGCTACTCAGCATACATTCAATTCTTATATATATTTTAGGGCTACATTCTTCTGTTTTATCAATTGTCTACAATCAATTCAGCATATTTAACTAATAAGTTCAATTTATGTTAATTATGCTTTCCTATTTCACAAAGTTCCTCAACTTCCTCTACTCACACACATTACTTGCCCCATTGTACTTCTAAAATTATTTCTTTGGTGTATTTTCATAGAATTTGGAAAATATTGGAATCTTCCTATGGAGATATTCAATATATTTTGTAAGTTTTATAATGAGGGCTTTGTTACATTAACAGAAAAAATGTATTATAACCTACAATAATTAAAACTATTTAGGAATTCAGACAAGAAAAGATAAGCCAGAGGAATAGTATATTAAAGTTGGAAAAGTTCCAAAGAACAAAATCGTTGTTTTAACTATTAAAGAACATTTTAGACTCAATTTTTTAAAAAAATTACTGAATACTACCAGTATTTATCAAACATTATTTTTCTTTTCCACAAAGTTTATATAGCATAAATTATGTTATTTAATATGTTATATTAAATATAGCATTTAATATATAATATTATAAAATATAGAGCTATACATTATATAGCTATATTTATGCTATAAATTATATAGCATATACATTTATATAACATAAACATACATATGTATATACATCATATAGCATAAACACATACATTATGTGTATATACAGTGTATAGCATATGCATATACTTTTATATATACATTGTATAGCATATGAATATACATTATACATGTACATACATTATATAGCATATACATATACATTATATACACATTATATACTGTATACATATACATAATATATACATTACATAGTGTATGCATACTATATACATTACATAGTGTATACATATATGTTATATATATTATATAACATATACATATACCTAATATATGCATTATATAGCATATACATATACATTACATATATGCCTATACATATATAGCATATATATACACATTATATATACATTATATAGCATATACATATACATTTTATAGTATATACTTTAGGCTATATAAAGTCCGTGCTATATAAATTATATGCTATATAATGTATATGTCATATAAGGTTTATGGAAAACTAATTTTTGATAAATTAGGTCATATTCCGTAATTTTTTTAAAAAATTGAGTCTCCCTTCTTACCTTCTTACAAATAAAGCCAGAAGAATTAAAATCACTAAACAATGATTTAGAATTAATACCATAAATATTCAAAATAATTAATTAAAAGGTGACAAATTTTATAACCATGTATATTACATATGAGTAGCAAGGAGTTAATGTCCTTAGCATTTGACCTATCAGACATAACTACGAAAACAGCCACCACAAAGGAAAATTCAAAAGTAATTAACTCAATCAGAATATAACAGAATGAATGTCAGTTTCACTACTGATTAGCAAAATGTAGATTTCAAGTCTTATTTTCACATGTCAAATTTTAAAAGACTTTTGGGTGGTATTCATTATTGTTTTGAATGTGAAAGTATAAGTTTATGGGTTTACAGTATTGGGTAACATTTTTCCAGAGAGATTTGTAATTACTGATAGTAGAGATTAGGAAGAAAATATATTTTATAAAAATAAAAGAAAGTTATATATTGGTAATCTGTGAAGTCATCTGTAGAAACAGCTGGACTCTTGAATCGACAAACAAAAGCAGTTTTAGTTTTTCTTTTTATGTTTCACCTTCTCTGCCAATTCATTTTCTTCCACACAAAAAACTCCTGTGTAGAACATAATTTTCCTGATCAGCATCTGGCATCTGTTGTGAATGTATACTCAAATTATTCAGGTATTAAAATTGTCATGATCATATTAATAAGTGTAGTTTTTTTCAAAAAATCTAACACCCATTTAAGATATAAAGCTCTCAGCTGACTTAATTTGATAGAAGAACAAATGAAAGCTCTCAGCAGAACTTCTTCAGTTTGATAAAAGAACAAATGAACAAATGAAAACCTACAAAAAATCTACAGCTAACATTATCCTTAATCATAAAAATTTGAACTCTTTCTTCATTAGATTGGGAATAAGGTAAGAATGTCTTCTCTCACAGCTTCTAATCAAAATTGTACTGGAAGTTTTAGCGAGTGCAATGGGGTAAAAAAGAAAAAGAAAAAATGTACATGAAGTAGAATTGTATTTCTTTTTAAAAAAACTGACATCACTGCTTATGTATAAATTCCCAAAGAATCAGAAAAGACAAACACACAAACAAAAAATTTCTGTAAATAATAAGTAATTATAGTAAAAGTATAGAATACAAGGTTGCTACAGAAAAGTCAATTGCTTTTCTGTGTACTAGAATTAAAAATAAAATATGAAATTAAAAACAATATCATTTACAATAGCATCAAAAATTTAATACTTAGGTATAAATTTAACAAAATAAGTAAAGAATACAAACTACAAAAAAACTGAAGAAAGAAATAAAAGTTTTAAATAAATGAAGACTTTCTCTTCATGAATTGCAAGGCTCAATATTTTTAAGACGCCAACATATTTATTCTCATTCTTACCCATAGGTTCAACACAATCCCCATAGAAAGCACAGCAAACCATTTTGTAAATATCACCAAACTGATTCTAAAGTTTACATGGGAAGTAAAAGGCCAGTGTAGCCAACAATATTAAAGCTAAATAACAAACTTGGAGATTCCACCTGACTTCAAAACAACTACAGTCATAAGTAATGCGGCGTTGGCAAAATAATAGATACATAGATCAATAGAACAGAATAACAAACTCAAAAATAGACCCCTACAAATATAGTTTGCTGATCATTGACAAAACAAGTAGCTATAGCAATTAAATGAAGGATAACTAGTTCAACAAATGGTACTAGAAAAAATTTACATCCATATAGGCAAAAACGTATATATATGGGCAAAAATATATATATGGACAAAGTCTTTTTACCTTTCATAAAAATTAACCCAAAATAGATCATAGACCGAAATTTAAATGCAAAATTATAGAACTTCTAAAAGAAAACATAGGAGAATATCTAAGTGACTTTGAACATGATAGTAAGTTTCTAGATATAATACCAGAAGCATGAACGATGAAAGAATGAATTGGTATGTTGAGTTTTATTAAAATTGAAAACTTCTGCTCAGCAGAAGACAATATTAACACAATGGAAAGACATGTCCCAGACTGAGAGAAAATATTTGCAAAACACATATCTAAATGAGGAATTGTAACAAAATATACAAAAGACTCTGAAAATTCAACAGGCTCTACTTCCAGAAACCAACCTAAGAGAAGGCGAAGTTTTCCTTAAACTTTATATCTGTCTCTTCTTTTCTTCATTGGTCTGAATTCATCCAATTTACATCAAATTGTTATGATGAAGCCACCTTCTCTTCTCAAAGTAAGATTTTCATGAACTACAATAAAATGAAATCTTAGAAGTACTCCATTTTTAAACTGACTAAAATTCAAAAAGAATAATTGAATTAACAGTGTTATCTTACCAAAAAAAGATTTGAGTATGTCTTTTTCTATTCTGAGTCTATATACAACCTGAACATGGGATTAAATATATACATCCACATACTGTGTGATTTTATGTATGTATGTATGTAAATGTATGTATGTATACATTTATAAATACAGTCACAAAATTTAAGTGCAATTTACATGTAATATAACATAGAATAGATTTTGTTTATTATTTCTAGGATATCACTAATAAATTAGTATAGTTTAATATTAGTATTATGGCAACTATGAGTAAAAGTTTGCTGCAAAGTTTAGAGAAAATAATTTTCAAAATTTTACTATTCACTTCAGGTTTTTGTTTGTTTGTTTGTTTGTTTTGTTGTTTTGTTTTGTTTTGTTTTGAGACAGAGTCTCACACTGTTGCCTGGGCTGGAGTGCAGTGGCGGAATCTCAGCTAACTGCAACCTCTGCCTGCCAGGTTCAAGCGATTCTTCTATCTTAGCCTCCGAGTAGCTGGGATTACATACAGGTGCCTGCCACCAAGCCCAGCTAACTTTTTTTTTTTTGTATTTTTAGTAGAGACAGGGTTTCACTATGTTGGCCAGGTTGGTCTCGAACTCCTGACCTCGTGATCTGCCTGCCTTGGCTTCCCAAAGTGCTGAGATTACAGGTGTGAGCCACTGAATAGAAGTGGAAAGAAAAAAAAGATGAAGAAATGAAAGACAGAAAGAAACAAAAAATGTAAAGAAGGAAGGAAGGGAGGAAGGAAGGAAGGGAAGAAAGGAAGGAGGGAGGGAAGGAGGAGGGAAGGAAGGAAGGAAAGAAGGAAGGAAGGAAGGAAGGAAAGAAGGAAGGAAGGAAAGAGAAAGAAAGAAAGAGAAAGAAAGGAAAAAGGTGGGAAAGTTTGAGACTTTATGCTTCAGTAATGAAATGACACCAACAAGCCAGAAATACAATGTTTTTTTCCCAGTATGGTGATATATTCCTTTTGAAGATTGTTTTGCTGTGGACAGAACATAGTTTAAATCCTGAGTACACAGGAGACAGCAGTGGGTATGTGCTCTTCAGTTTGACAACTCAACTTCAGTTTTATACAGCTCAGTACATCTTTATTAGTACATCAACCACTGTTATTGCTCAGAACAGAAGGAGCTGTGCTTAAGTATTCATGAGAGATAGAATGGTTAAGTAGAAAGATTCTATAAAATGTAGACTGTTGAAGTGGCATAAGGTTTTGTGATTTTCTTCTTCCTGCCTCTCCCTGGCCCCTACTCCCAACTCTAATGTCAACTACAAAATTAGGTTGTTTAAAATATTATGTTGTTTAAACTAATGAAAGTATATTCTTTAAGTGCTAAATATATGCAAGATATTGCGCTAGGGCCTGAAGTTGCAGAAATGAATAAGACATAATTATTTTTCATTGAAGATAAGTTTTCTTTAAAAATCTCCCTGGGCTACATTTTTATGGAGCTACTAGTTTTTAAAACATTTATTTTATTTTTCAATCCATATAGACGCTTTTGTTTGACTTCTTCATTTTCATTAAAGATATTCTACCAAACCTCCTGTTCCACTGTTGAACAACTACATTACTTTCTCTTGAGTGGAAGATATATTGAAGTTATAATCAAAATATTTGTGGATATTACAACCTTGGATCTATCATACTCTTTTTAATCTCAATCTTGGAACGTGACCAGGCAGAGATTGCATTCCTATTGAATGAAAATTATTACAAATTCACTGTTCTCCTACAGAGCTATTGAATGCATCTGCATATTGTCAAAATCTAGGAGGCAGGGCTTGGACTTGGTATACATTATATTCACAATACTATGATAGTTGTCTCTTCAGAGAAAGACGCTCATGAAAAGTTAGGTACCTTAGTCACTCATGTGACTAATAGAGGCTTATGGTAAGTTCAATGCTCAGCCTAATCTGTGAAATCCCTGGGAATAAATTGATATTAAGCAACCAAAAATGGTCTTCAAATTGTGAGAAATAAGTTGCTACCTCTCATAGGCACTGTGAATAAATAAGAAGCTCAGAGGCTAGCAGATTACTCTGGTTTTGGCAAAATAATATTCCTCAGACAGGAATCCTACTGAACCCTATTTACAAGGTCATTGGAAAGAAATCTGTAACAAAGTGGGGCAGAAACAATCATGAAGTAATTGACAGATGTAGTGGTACAGGCAGCCTCACTGGGACCTTGAGATCTAGCAGCTCAGATAATTTTAGAAATATCTGCATTCAGAATGTATTTACACTGGGAGACTAGACTTTGGCAAAATAGTGCTACTCTTGAGCTTTAAACATGAAATTTTTCATTTGAAAGACAATTGCTAGCTTGTTACTGAGCATTGGTCAAAACTCTCCACACCCATAAACACGGAAGAGTATTAGATAATTCTTAGGACAGAATTTTCAATTATATCTTGGGTGATATTAGAGAGATGTTCAAATAGTCAAGGAGCAGCACATTAAAGCTCACTCACAATATGGAAATAGTATATTCAAGGGCATGCTAAAGAATGAATTTCAAGAGTAGTAAATTGCATGCTTGAGAAGATAGATTCACTGCCCATAGGGCCAACTGTTGAGCCCTAAGAGGACCTACACACTGCCACTGCTATAGGTCTGAATTATATAATTTTCTTCTATCCAAGGTAAAAGCAGCTC
This sequence comes from Homo sapiens, assembly GCF_000001405.40. Lineage (NCBI taxonomy): Eukaryota > Metazoa > Chordata > Mammalia > Primates > Hominidae > Homo > Homo sapiens. Next base: position 31,879,148 of record NC_000004.12, on the reverse strand, counting down.
CCTAGTTCACAGATGGGGTTGTTTGAATTAAAGACTTGGTTGTACTTTTGAAACCAGCAGCATTCTGATTGCATGCAGTAATACTTGCTGGAAGAAGGTAAAGGAATGATAGTTCAGGAGGCAGAGATACAAGCTGTTTAATAATAGAAAAAATAACAGTAAGATCTCATTTTTAGGAGATTATTTGAATTTTTACAACTCTTGGGCTGAAGCCAATAGACTTGCTATATTATCGGGCAAAAGAACGTCTGTAATAGGACAAAAAAGAAACCCCACATAAGGTTTCTCTGAGTAATTAGAGGAAGGAATAAAGTAAGTAATGGAGATACCTGATAATAGTACCAAAATGTAGAAAAATAAAAATAAACATAATCCACTTCCCAGCTTGGACAGAGATTGGAACACTAATGTTGGTGTCTAAATCAGATTCCTAGAGTCGTTACTGTATTCATGAAATAATTGGATATGCACTAATAATTGGACATGCACTAATGGTCATGGACATAACTAATTCCTCTTGTCCTGAATGAAATGGCTAATATAAAGAATGCACTCAATGTTAACAGGATAAGAATCATTTGGAAATGGAGGTGGATAAAATTCTCCAAGGATATAGGCCAGTGAATAGCCAGCAAATGGATTACATCAGATCATTAATGGTAGTCCCATGTGGCTATAAGTGGGTATTAACCAAGATTGACCCCTAATATACTCTAGATGTCACTTATCCAGTAACAGAGGCAACCTTGCAAATATAATTAAGGGTTTATAATTGCACATTATTAATTCAGCCTTCTCACCCAAAATATATTTCTTCTGATCAGGATATACATTTACTGCAACCCAAGGACAGAAATGAACAATGAAACATTATTAAATGGGCATTCTTTATCCCTTCTCCATCCATAGAGCAAATGAACTGTCACTTAAAATACGTGAAATAAAAGATGTAGTTAATTCAACTATTCTAAATTGAATATGGAAGAAATATATATAGGTAGAGTACTACCCTGGAAAGATTTCTGGGATTAGAAAGTGTGAATAAAGAAGTAGGAAAAATGCAAATATACAACTGAATCTTTTTCCACCTCAGAGTGATTTTTTTTTTTTTGTTTTGCCTTAACAGTGGACTTGGGCAACATTTAAGTTTGTGAGTACTCATAGAGTACTCATAATGCAGATGATGCAGTATAATTGGTCTTAACAATATATATTTTTAACACTACTTGAGAAGGATAATAATTTCATCCCATATAGCCAAGTTGGGACTGTGAATACAGGTCCATTATCATGTGACAGAGACAGTTAAACTCTATGATACCTGCTCAGGTATAGAGTCATGTAAAATAATTAATGCATTTCTTCTTATTACCAGCTTTGTGGGTAGATAGTACATCTGACAAATCAGAGAGCCTGAAAAAGGCAGGCAATGGTGAGGGTCAAATGGAAAATATAAAGAAACAGGCAAACATCAGAGCAGACGGCAGAGATGCCTGTAAGTAGATTTCAATCCCCAGGGAGAGATGCCATCAGGATAATTCCATGTGACTAGGTCAGAGCAAGAGAATATTATTCTTAGCTATCTCTTTCAGATCAGTCATTTACTAATGACTGGTATTAGAAGAAACTTCCATATCGATTTCTCTGTAGAAAGATTGTTCTGCTGGTTTATAAACTCTTTCTAAATCCTCTACTCATATAATCTGAACAAAAGATGTGAAACAGTATCCCCTAGTGACTCCGTTTATGGGGAGCTGACTATTTGTCTGTTCATGGTTCTTAGGTTATGCCTACTATTCTGGTAATTTTTCACTTGACCTGAAAGTAATATTTACCTATAAATCAGATACGGTGGAGAATACTGTACAGCATGGCTTATGTACCCTGAGTAGCCACAAATTAAACAGCTACACCGTGATTCTTATCCAGGAGAAGTTCCTAGGGAAAAAAGAAGAATGTGACCCCATATAATCCCCTTTTAAATAATTTGAAAACTCTTCCTAAATAGACGCATGATATTTGAATAGGAGAGAGGTCTAATCTAAGAAATACTATTATGAGAACGTCTCTGGGTTTGTATTTTTATGGTAAATAAACTCATAATTTACAGCTATATAGATGGGGCATGACTACTTGTAAAATGCCATAGAAACTATCCGACTATCTGAGTATGAAATGGAGTTGTATCTCACCTGAGGTAGATGAGTTACAACTTAACTCTCTGAAAATTGTAGCCAAGGAGCACACAATAACATTGCCAATAAAATATGATTTCCCTGATTATTTGACTTAAAATTGCAACTTACTTCTAAACACATTTCTGGCCAGTCCAGCCTTCTCTAACGTGTTTTTTTTTAATAGTGCTCATTATTTCCTAACACGGTATGTAATTTACTAGTCGTTGTCTATTGTTTATTGCCTCTTTCCAATAAATTATAAGATATATAAAACCAAGATTCTCTTTTAACATCATTGATGTATATTAAAATTCTTCAACAGTGACGAGCATGTAATAGGTGCACAAAAGTATTGAATGAACAGTTCAAGGTCATTGCTATAATGTGGATCTGGAGCTACTATTGAATACACTTGAGATGAGACCTTGGGGATTCTGAATAGGGTTAAGAGTCTGTGCTTTTGAGAATTTTAGAAGTAAGAAAACAGAGAGAGAAGAAGAGAAAAGATGAGAGAATAGGAGAGGAAAAGGAGAATTATTCATAGGAATGAGAAGAAGGAAAAAAAAACATTAAAATTAGATTATGAGATAAATTCTTCTCTTGATTTATTTTAGTTCTTGGCCCTATGATCCGTGATTGCTTGGTATCCCCTGAAGGAATTTTCTGAGACCCCTCTGTATCACAACACTATTTTATATATTTTCCCAGATAATTAAAAAGCAAATTTTTAGTTCTTGACCAGAAAGGCCTAATAAGTAAGAATGAATCCCCTAAAACCTACTGTACAATATTTTTCTCTAGTTCAGCAATAGTATGAACAATAGAGTCGAGAAATAATTTTGATGACAAAGATATTCTTGATTTTTCCTTAAAATGAATGCAAGGTATTGACATTTCAATTTTTTTTAAACTAAATGCTTTTGGAGACCAGGGATATGGGCATTGTTCTCATTTCAATTTAAAATTGTCAAAATAAAAAAACTGTGGGTGTTAGGAGTTGTCTAGTAACACATTGCTAGTCTACAACAACCATAATTTGAGTTGACTGCATTCTCTTTTTGACCTTGCAGAAACAATAAATGTTAATGAGGCACTCTTATCTTTGTGTGGAGAGTTGTGGATATGTAAAAAAAAAAAAAACCATTAAAAATTCACCTGCTGACATCTGTGGTACTCACAAACCTTACGCAACAGTAGAATGCTTTACCCTTAATGATGCACAAAAATATTCCTGTGTTGACACAATATAAACTTGTAGTTCCAACACCTATATATTAAAAAAAAAAGGTAAAGAAAAGATTCTGAATCAGATATAGAACTTTTCACATATTTTTTCTGGCTGATGTAAGGAGTCTTTGAGAAGAACTAAAAGTAAAAGATTGTGTGATGAAGAATATTGAACAAGAGAGTTGAAATTTATATTTTATTCAGTACTCAATAATTAGACTGCAAATTATTTTTTAATTTGTTTTTAATATTAAGGGAATAACATTATAATAATTTATTTTGGGAAAATGTGTAATATCTATTAAGGTGGAGCAAAACAAGTCGGGTAGACTAATGTAGAGTAAAACTGAGTGAGAATGAAAGAGTGCTACAGGGATATATTAGTAAAAGGGAATTTCATTAAATAAACCAAATAAGTGAAATAATCCAAAACATTCGTAATTGAATGGTCTCTTCTTCTTCTTTTTATTTATTTATTTATTTATTTTTTGAGATGGATTCTGGCTCTGTTGCCAAGACTGGAGTGCAATGGTGAGACCTTGGCTCACTGCAACCTCTGCTTCCCGGGTTCAAGCGATTCTCCTGCCTCAGCCTCCTGAGTAGCTGGGATTACAGGTGCCACCCCTACATCTTGCTAATTTTTGTATTTTTTTTAAGTAAAGATGGGGTTTTGCCATGTTGTCCAGGCTGGTCTTGAACTCCTGACCTCAGGTGATGCACCTGCCTCGGCCTGCCTCCCAAAGTGCTGGGATTACAGGCTTGAGCCACCACACCCGGCCAGCTTCTTTTCTCTATCCATGTGTGGTAGGCATAATAATAGACATACAAAGATTTTTACATCCTAATCCTATGAAGCTATGAATATGTTATGTCATATGGCAAAGGAAAATTATAATTTCAGATAAATTTAAGGTTGTTAATCAGCTAAGTTTATGATGAGAAGAGTATCTGGAATTATCCAGGGGCACTCAATATAATCATAAAAAAGTATTTTAAATTAGAAGAGGAAGGAAGAAGAGAAGGTCAAGATAAGTGGATGTGATAACTCAAACTACTGTTCCTGATTTTGAAGATGGAAAAAGGTAATTTTTAACCAAGGAATTTGGACACCAGTGCCAGCTGGAAAAGGCAAGAAAACAGATGATCTACTAAAGCCTCCTGAAGAAATACAGCCTTGATTCTAGCCTAGTTGTGCTTTGTACATTTGATCTCCAGAAACTATAAAATAATAAATTTGCATGGTTTTAAACCATAGTAACTTTTACATCATCCATAAGAAACTATTATACTAACTTTTACTTATGAATGTATCATTCAAAACCAGAATTGTCTTCTGGACTGCTTTCTTCCTGTCATTCTTCCTGACGCTCAGGATGGGATAATTTGTTTACCTTTTCTTCTTTTTTCTTAAGTCGCATCCCTAATTACCAACGTTATTGAAATTTCTTATACCATCTCACATCGTTTCTGAGATAAGTGATCTTAATTCATGTCAACATTACTCCATTCTTTTTAAGGATTTTATAATAAAAAATGTATTTAATATATCTATCAGAACTTAATGAATAAAAATTTAATAAATCTATCAGAATTTATTTAATAAATCTATCAGAACTAAATGTCTCAGGCATGTTGCACTTTGACATCTATCTTCAGGATACTGCCAGAGCACTCTCCTTTAACCATTTTTACTCTATTTCCAAAAAGTAAATCGATTTTTATTAGCTACACATTTTGTTTAAATACTCAGCCCACCACTGTAAGTCTCTGTAGCAGGCAGAATCTTAGCAGGGAGCCTAAGATTCCCACCCCCTGGTGTAGGCACTCTATATAGTACCCTCACATTAGGTGTAAACCTGACTTGTGAAAATGATGGGAAATCACTCCCATGATTGTGTCACCTTACATATCAGAGGGGTTTTTCATAAGTAATTAACATCTCTAATCACCTGACTTTGAGTTACTCAAAATGAATGTTATCCTGGGTGAGCCCTTAATAAATGTTAGAGAGATTTGGGAGGAGAGATCCTTCTATTGGCCTTGAAGGAGCCAACTCCCATAATGTATATATAAAGACTTATGGCAGGGAATGACTAGAGATCTCTAGGACCTCAGAACAGCCCCATTTGAGAACTAGCAAAAAACACAACCTTCAGTTCTACAGCCAAAAGGAACTAAATAATCACTGTCAATAAAAAGTAAGCATCAAAAAAAAAAAAAAAAACTCTGAGTCTCAGACAAGATCAAGCCTTACACATTGATTTTAGCACGGTGAGACCTTCAGCATGGAATCCAGTGAAAATATGCCAGACTTCTGATGCATGGAAACTGTGAAATCATAAACACGTGCTGTTTTACATTGTTAAATTGGTGATAATTTGTTATGCAGCATTATACAACAATTATGCACTCATAGTATTTTGCTAACATACTTCTCCTAGTTTATTTTCTTCTCTTCCTTTACACAACTATCCATTGCATGGACCAAAAACACATGATAAATGGAGATGTGGTAAGAATCACCACTCCTGAACTCTTTGAATCTTAATAATAGAACTAATCTCTGCAGTCCCTCCAGTACTATGGTATTGTTTTTGGTTTGCTATTTTTTTAGGTAGATGCAGTTCTAGCAGTTTCCACTTGGCCTTTTTCACCACAGTAGCCCTCACTCCTCAGGCCAGGAAACATAGCAGTCTGTCCATTGCTGAGTATGTTTATTCCAATTATGCATTTTGGAACTAGAGACATCACCACCAGATGGATTTGGGGACACACTGGGCCTGCTATGAGATGGACTTGAACTAAAACTCCATTTATCACCTGATTTCCATAAGCCCCTTCTCTAACTAGTGGACTATGGTGATATTTGGACCTCCTAGCATTAGTTTCAGTTTAGAGCCTGTGCCCAGCAATCCCCCAAACATCTCATTATTTCCTTTTCCCCAGTGCAGTCACCCTGGTAAAAGGCTGTATGTCCCTCAGGAGAAGGCTGAGAAAGAGATTAACAGTATGCATTTCTAGCCATTTATTGAGGTCCTTTCTCAAAGAGACTTGACCTCCTTTTCATACAAGCTGTTCTGGGTCTGTAAACTGGTTCAAATCTGGGAACTGATTCAGGGAACATGATTCTTTTTGATGTTTCAAGTCAGACTTCTGTTCACTTGACCTAGAATTCTTCCACTTTCACAGATTAAATAAGAATTTATTAGACTGCCCATCTATTTCTCTCCTGGGGACACGATGCCATAGGTCTCCAGGAGCCAGACGATTTTGATTACTCCTTTAAATTGTTCATTACAGTAACTACATCTACCTTATCTCTTACAATTAAGTGCCGCCACTTGATCCCTGCCACCCTGGTATCCAATTATTCCAACTGCATTTAAGGATTCCAGCTCTGTAACAGCAGCCTCCACCTCTCAATATTGCCACATTGGGGATTAAGTTTCAATTTTAGAGGGGAAAACATTCAAACTGTAGTATGAGACAATTCCACAAATCTCATAATTAATTCACAGAAACTCATCCTTAAGACTGTTATTCTAGAACCACTCTCAGTATCAAAAGCTATAACAGTCAAAATTCTCAAGAGCAATTGAACTAGTAGGATATAGATAAATATGGATATAACGTATACAGATTTATTTTAAAGAATTGACTCGCATTAATGGGAGCTGGCAAGTCTAAATTCTGTTGGAAGACTGGTAGGCAGGAAACTGAGGCAAGACTTAATGTTGCATTCTAAAATTCGAAATACATAGGGCAGCCCAACAGTTTCCAACAGGTTGGAAACTCAGGCATAATTTCTATGTTATGGTCTTGAGGCAGAATTTCTTCTTCTCTGAAAAAAACTCAGCATCGTGTCGTTTTGTTTTGTTTTCCTCTTAAGGCTTTTAACTGGTTGGATGAGGTCCATCTATATTGTTTATGGTAATCTCCTTTATTTAAAATAAACTGCTATAGATGTTAATCACATCTATAAAATACCTCCCCATTACTTGGATACCATAGCCTTGCAAAGTTGACACTTCATATTTAACCATTACATTTAGCAAAGATATTCTGTAACATTAAGCCAAATTTATAGTTTATAGGAGTATAAAATACAGTAACTGCTGATAGAATTTGATGTACTTGAATTCATTTATGGATGTTTGCAATTTTACCAACATTATTTTTCTACCATAAGTGCATATGTCAACACAATAAAAATATAAATAATGCCTCAGCATTTTCATAAAAATAGTTCAGCCCTACGGATCATTTCAATTGGTTGCAAAAAACCCAAAATGTACATAGAACATACTTCTAGAACCACTACTCTAGTAAATTAGCATTCATTTATTTCCAGAAATTTAGTTAGCACATTTATAGGGAGATAAATATGACGTCTTAACCTGTCCTTGCTACTATAACAAAATGCCATAGACGAGGTAATTTATAAACAACAAATTTATTTCTCATAGTTCTGAAGGCTGGAAAGTCCCAGATCGAGACACCAGCTAATTCAGTTTCCGGCAAGGGCTCACTTTCTGCTTCCAAGATAATGCTTTGTTGCTGCATAATTTCATAGTAGAAGGGACAAATGCTGTATTCTTACATGGCAGAAGGGTGCAGGGTAAAAGGGGGCTAGAGCACTCTCTTCAATCTGTTTTATAAGAGTACTAATCCCACTTATGAGAGTAGAGCACTCATGACTTAATCAGTTTCCAAAAGGCCCCACCTATTATCATATTGAACATTAGGTTTAAACACAATAATTTTGGAGGGACACAGACTTAGAAATTATAGCAAGTGGGATGTGACCTGGATTCTATCTTTCCTTGAAAAAAAATTTGCCACTTTAATTCTTTTCCCCAGTTAGTAATTGGGAAGAGTAATCAAATGATATCAAGAGTTTAGTGTAAATAGTATTATATAATTAGTTTTAACTCTTTTTTCTCCTTTGTGTTTTATTAAAGAAATAATTACTTTTTTATTGTGATCATTTAATTTAGACTTTTGTTTTTATGTTCCAGTAAAAGAATATTAATCAAGTGTTTGAAATAAAAGTGTAACTTTTAAATGTAAATATTTGCATTTACTATTAGGCCAATATTTTATTAACATATTTGTATAGCACAATAAGGTGACTACAGTCACAATGATGTATTGTACAATTATTTATTGTACATTTTAAAATAACTAAAAGGAGAATAATTTGTTTGTAGCCCAAAGGATAAATGTTTGAGGTGACGGATAACCCATTTACCCTTATGTGCCTATTATGCATTTTATGTTTGTATCAAAATATCTCATATACTCCATAAATATATACTATGTACACATGCCTACTATGTACCCACAATACATTAACATTTAAAATATGTATTTTTACAAAACTGGATGACTCATAGGTTATGTGTCAAACTAGAATTCAATACTTTATTTTCAAATTAATCTGCTAGGTTCTGAATAGTAGTATAATTTTAATAGTAGCAGAATTCATTATTAATATGTTAATTTAATCATATTTTATTATTAAAAATTGATTCCTAAAAAAATTATGGGTTATAATTTATGAGGAAATGTCTTCTATAATAGTCCCTTTAGTGAATGTAATTTCTTTTAAGATACATTTTAAATTCAGGGTATCAGATAAACAGAACAAATAATTACTAACAACCACACACACAAATATAAATATACATATATAGACATTTATACACACAACACATATATAGACATGTATACACACATATATAATTTTATATATTTTTTTCTTTAAATATATAAAGCATTTTCTTTTTCTTAGCCAATATAGATAAACTTCTACCCGTAATATAAAGAGATAGTATGTAATGCCCGGTTAAGGCTTTTGTCTTTTCTACTCACTTGTATGAACTGCCCCCCCTGTTCTTTAAGGGTTATTCATTACACTTTTAACTAAGGCTTAAAGACGCTTTTAGCCAGAGCTGAAATTAATAATATGTACCATGTAATGTGCTTTTGCTACAATAATGTGAGTGCTACTTCTAATAGTTTTAATGTAATTTTAATGAAACAAAATATGTTTTACTCTCACAATGTTCTTATAACTAAACTGATAATTTATAATTATTTTCTAGTATTTTAGTACATTTACAACAACAATTTGGTTGAATAGACCTCTTATTATCCTAGATCTTATTTAAATTCTTTGTGAATAAATCTAAATTTAATGTATTGCAATCTTGGTTCAATTGCTGGCACAGCTAAAAATGCAATTCATAAAGACATACGGATGTAAATAAAAGTAAAATATTCACTGTACTTGTTAAATCATGCTACTTTTTTCTAATTAATCCACTAATTATATAAAAAATAATTATATAACTTATAGTTAGTTATTTTCCACAATTCTTATTGTTAAGGAGGTATAATTTTAATTGTAACATGATATATTTTGATTTTTTAATATTTTCTAGGAGTAAGCATGCCATCAGCAGGCATGAGGGAGATGCAAAACTTTTGGCAGCAAAATCCCATAATAAAGGTATTATTTAAAACATCCAATTTTGAATAAATGTTTAGTCACTCTTAAATTTTGGTTTTCACTGGAATAAAATATATATTTTTTTAAAATGTTAGGTATTTACATCTTTTCTTCTGTTTCCCCAGAGGGTAATATCCATTTTGTTTTCTCTTTATACAACCACAGTTTGTTAGGAAAATGGAGGGTAGCGCCAGGAGCGGTGGCTTATGCCTGTAATCCTAGCATTTTGGGAGGCCGAGGTAGGTGGATTGCCTGAGCTCAGGAGTTCGAGACTAGCCTGGGCAACAAGGAGAAACCCCATCTCTACTGAAATACAAAAAAATTAACCTGGCGTGGTGGCAGGAGGCTGTAGTCTCAGCTACTAGGGAAGCTGAGGCAGGAGAATTGCTTGAACCCAGGAGGCAGAGGTTGCAGTGAGCCGAGATTATGCCACTGCACTTCAGCCTGGGCAACAGAGCAAGACTCCATCAAAAAGAAAAAGAAAAAAAGAAAGAAAGAAAAGGAAGGAAGGAAGGAAGGAAGGAAAGAAGGAAGGAAGAGAGAGAAAGAGAAAGAAGAGAGAAAGAAAGAAAGAAAGAAAGAAAGAAAGAAAGAAAGAAAGAAAGAAAGAAAGAAAGAAAGACAGACGGAAGGAAGAAAGGAAGGAAGGAAAGAAAGAAAAAGAAGAAAGAAAGAAAGAAAGAAAGAAAGAAAGAAAGAAAGAAAGAAAGAAAGAAAGAAAGAAAAAGAAAGATGGATCGAAGGAAAGAAAGAAAGAAAGAAAGACAGACGGAAGGAAAGAAAGAAAGAAAGAGAAAGGAGGGAGGGAGGGAAGGAAGGAAGGAAGGGGAAAGAAGGGAGGAGAATAATGGAGAGTAAATTCATCATTCTATGGAGATAGATTCCTATTTAAGTCCATTGGTTAAATCAAAATTGGTGAGAAATAGTTTCAGTAATCTCCTTTCTTATATTTTTTTGATTGGTCTTTGGTAAGATAAGTGAACAATTCTGACTGCTGAGATATAAGAATAATTCTTTTTTTTCCCTCCTGCCTGCTTCAAAACAATAAATAAATAATTTACTAAATAAATTAAAACTTTCTGAAATAATGAATTACTTATTTTTCTCATTTTTTATGCCTGGAACCAGATGTAAATGCTTCAAGGCACAGCAAATATCTTGTGATAATTATGCTTCATCAGGAGGAGAAAGAAAAAAATCTCCACATTAATGTACAGCAAACAAAAAAATAGAAAGTGGTTGTGTCACCCATGACGTTGTTGTGCAGTTACACCATGAAAAGCACAAGCACTCCTCCTGAAGATATATTTTATTTACGTATCTGTAAGCTTGATTTATCTGACTTGGAATTAAAAAAGACATTTCCTATTAACAGAGAAAAGTATCACTAAGGGACACGCATCATCACAGAGATAGTCAGCAAATTTGGTATACTTGTATTTTTATAAAGGACAACTATAATGATGCATCTCCATCTTTGACAATTTTTAAAAAGTGGACTTGCCAGGAGATTATTAGTGAACTTCGGGTAGGTTCAAAAAAGCATTTTGGTCATTATCAATCTCAAAAGGAACTACAGTTTAGTAAATGTCATCTATGATAAAATAATCTGTCATTGACTTAACAGGACATGAAAAACAAAAATACATCACTATCTCATGGAATAGATAAAGAAATAAAGGCTCTGTTCTCAGACTCTATGTAGCCTGGAACACATTATTTTTCTTTCATATGATTTATGCAATATATGTTATATATAACTGTCATACATTCAGAATCAAATAAATGTCCTTGTGTATATTTAATATGAATAAGGTTTGCTGTCTTTTGTATTTTTAGTTAATAAATTAAGTAAAACTAACTTCATTGAACCTTTATGTTTATGAATTTGCCAAGCCCTACTAAAGAGTGACAAATGCTTTTAAACATATATATCTCCAAAGATAAATTTCATAGCAATAAAATAATAGCAACAACATTTTGGAAGGGAAACACAACTTGAGATATTATTGATTTATCACTCTCAAAAAATTTATATTCTAAGCCCCAAATAATGAAAGCTGAGAATAACTCATATATGCATCTCAGAATCCTCATATGGCCCAGGAATTAGGGGTATCTGACTGGGTGAAAGTAAAGGTAAAAAGAATTGCTAAGGGAGAAATAACATTTATTAAAAATCTGTTTAATAAGGAGTTACAAGCTCAAATACATGATTCTTCTGTTTCTCCTACACACTGACAGAAAATGAAAGATATATTCTCTGGATGGTGTTAAATTTTTTTTAAAAAATCTCTTAATTAGAATAGAGTATCATTTCAAAAACAGTTAAGAAATTGGAAATTTATCTCAAAATTTGATTAGCCCATAAGAAAAGTTATCATAATACAGGCAATGGACACTCCACAAGGAAACTACCAACCTGGTTAAATAAAATGAATAGTATAATTGGTACTGAAGTGGCTGCAGTTATGCAATCGGTTAGCGCTCAGTACTTATACGAATAAATGAGACTGAAGATTCCAGGAGGACATCTGTGCAGTGGGCACACAGGACAACCCAGAATAGATTGTATAGAAGAACTATCTACAGTAACAGGAAATTTAATGCCACATCATGGATTTGAATGTATCAACAGGTTGATCTAAATAATTGGAGTAAAGGAATATGTGAGTGAATTATTAATAACTTTTGGAGTAGATATTATTATTTGCCTTCCCCAATGTCAATTCTCATCATTATTCTATAGCGGTAAAATCCTCATATTTTAGCTCAGTAAATGGTTGCCTGACTTGCATACATTTCCCACCACCATTTAGCAGCTATATGTAAACCATATGACCAAGTTGGTACAAATAAGATTCATATGGAAGATCTAAGTATAATTTTTGGAAAATGTCATTAAGAAAAATATACGTCCTTTTTTCGTTTTGCTAGCTGAAATAGCAATGTGGTGATTGTACATATGACTACATAAAATAATTTTTTTCATGTGGCTTCATGCTGCAGAAAAGTGTGATTGACAGGTTATATATCCCCACCATGTAGGGCACTACACCAGCCTTGGATCACCGACTTCTAGATTTTTAAATGGGAGACAAATGAACTTTTTATGGTTTAAACTGTAGTATGTTGTATATGTTGTCTTTAGAGACCATAATACTATAATAGAATTTGTTACTATAATAGAAATTGTACATGACACATGAAAGAACTTAAAATATTTGTTGTTGTCCTCCTGCTAGTGGGCTAGCATAGAGTATGAGAACTCAGATATTTGTGGTTGTTTAGATGATGCTTTTAAATCCCACAATAAATTGAACATTTTCCTACTTTTTTAGTGCAAAATATTGCAGACTCATTTTGTATTTTCCTTCACCCAACATTAGTATTAACCATTTAACCAAGTAACCTTGGTCTAGATATTGGAAGATGGTATTTTGAAACTAAGATGAGGGCTCTCAATGAGTTGCTCATTACTACTGGATGTACAAGAAGATGAGGATATATCACCCTAAAACATGCCATTTAGCATATTGATTATTTTCTGCTAAGGGCAATTAAGAAATAGCAAATGTAGGAAGAGGTGCCTGAATTCCAGCTTTCTACCTAAAATCAAATAATAACTTTTTCTTTAGAAAGATGCCCTTACCATACTAGAAAACAAAGAACATTCTTCTCACTGGAAGCAGGGGTCCATGCCAGTATGAATCTGTACAAGCAAACCTACTAAAATAAATCTTATCTTTCACTAGTTTCTTTCATATATTTTCTACTCACTTTCCCACAATTTATTTCCTCTAGCCCAAACTCTTTTTTTACTTCTGTCTTGTCATGTCTCCACAATTTATCATTCTTTGCTAAAATGGTGTATAATCTCTTAGGTCTATCTGCTTCTTTAGGTATTCATTTCTTATATAAGAAGACCTCTGTGAATATGTAAAAATATTAGCATAAAATGAAACTTTTTTTTTCTTGTTAGTCTATTTTTTGGCAATTTAATTCTCAGGTTTAGCCACGCAACCTAAAAATGTAGAGGAACGTGTTCACTCTCTACAATGTCATTGCTTCTAGTTCATTGCAAAGAACTAGACAATAAATGCATGTATGCTTTTATATACACACTTATACACCTCTAAATTTATCTTTTTGTCTATCTATAATAAAATAACACCTATGATGTAACACTTCATCTTTTATTCTTTCTCCTTTTCATGGGTTTATCCTTTTCTTGCAAAAACTTGGCTGTAATTATCTTTAGCACATTTGTTTTGTTAAATTCACTTATAAATTTGTTTAATAAAAATAATCTCCCATGCGAGCCATGCCCATGCTTCCAACTCCTCCATGGATCTATATCATTGGACAGTAGGACTTCAAGCCAGCACTTTGCATGGGTGCCCAACTGCAGCTCATGCTCCTGCATGGCTCACAAACTCTTCCGCACAGCTATGCATAATTAGCTGCCATATTAATGCCTTAGGAAAGAAAGAACAGGATAAGGAAAGTTGGGAGGAGAAAAGATAAAGTTATTCAGATTGGTTTCAAACACATGGGCTCAAGTAACCTATCCACCATGGAAGACTGTATATTCTGAAATTGTAGGATAGAATGTTTTATAAATATATGTTATGTCCATTTGGCCTAGAGTACAATTTACGTCCAGTTTCCATGTTGATTTCTGCCTAGATGATCTGCCTAGTTTATACGATCTGCCTAGTTTGTCTATAGGGTGTTGAAGTCCCTCACTATTATTGTATTGCTGTCTATCTCCTTTCTTAGGTATAGTAGTTTTTGTTTTATACATCTAGGTGCTCAAGTGTTGGGAGCATATATACTTAGGATTGCTATATCCTCTTGTTGAATTGATTCCTTTTATCTACATGTAATGGCTCTCTTTGTCTTTTTTTTTTTTTTAACTGTGGTTGATTGAAAGTCTGTTTTATCTGATGTAAGTATAGCTACACCTGCTCCCTTTTGGTTTCTGTGATCATGAAATAATATGTTTTTCCATCCCTTTCCTTTGAGTTTATGAATGTCTTTACCAGTTAGGTGGGTTCATTTTAAGCAGGATATGGTCGAGCCCTGTGTTATTTTTTTTTAATCCATTCTGCCGATCTACATATTTTAAGTGAAGTATTTAGTTCTTTACCTTCAGCATTATTGTCGATATGTGAGGTTTTCTTCCTATAACAATGTTAATTGTTAGTTACTTTATAGCCTAATTGTGTAATTGTCTTATAAAACCTGTCTACTGCAGACTTTTGTGTGTTTTAATGATGTATCAGCCTTTCATTTCCTTACTTAGAACTCTTATGAATATTTCTTGTAGGCCAATCTAGTAGTGACAAATTTTCTTGGCATGTGCTTGTCTGAGAAATACATCATTTCTTCTTCATTTATGAAGCTTCATTTAGCAGAATATAAAATTCTTGGCTGACAATGTTTTTCTTTAAGAAGAGTAAAAATAGAATCCCAATATATTCTCACTTGTAAGGTTTATGCTTTAAAGTCCATTGTTAGTCTGATAGGATTTCATTTATAGGTCACTAGACATTTATCTCTTGCTAATTTTAGAATTTTTTCCTTCATATTGACGTTACATAGTCTCATGACTATATGCTTTGGTGAAATTCTTCTTGCGATGTAACTTCCAGTAGTACTCTGACCTTTTTGTATGTTGAGGTCTAAATCTCTAGCAAGACCAGGTGAGTTTTCCTCAATTATTTTCTCAAGTAGGAGATCAAAATATTTTACTTTTTTTCTCCCTTAGGAATAACTATAACTCAGAGATTTGTTTGCTTTACATAATCCCATACCTCTTAAAGGTCTTGTTCATTTTTATTTTTTTTCTTTATTTTTGTCTGACTGGGTTAATTTTAAAAACATGTCTTCAAGATATGAGATATTTTTCTCCTTCTTATTCTAGTTTATTGTTAAAATTTTAAATGCATTTAGTAATTTATTCAATGAATTATTATTTCTAGAAGTTCTGTTTGTCTGGTTCTAAAAAAAAGTCTATCTCTTTAGTAATTTTTTAATTCATGTCGTGAATTGTTTTTCTGATTTTTGTGCTATTTCTCAACTTTCTCTTTGATCTCATTGAGCTTCCATACTGTTCATATTTTGTGTTATTTATTTCATTTTGAGATAGAATTTTCATTTTGTTTAGAATTTATTGCTAAAGCACTAGAATAATCCTTTGGTGGTGTCATCACCCCTGTTTTTTATATTGCCAGAATTGTTACACTGGTTTCTTCTCATCTGGAGACTTAAAAAAACAGTACTAACATTAAAACGTAAGAATATTAAATATCATTGTAACAGTAGTAAGAAGGAGGGTATCTGAGGGACCTATCCTCATGGGTGGGATTGACTGTCCCTTTTTATTTTTTAATTTGCTTTTATTTGGATGAGACTCCCCATCCCCAAAGAAGAAGTGACAGTAATGTACATTGAATGGGGTCATTTGGCTTTGCTTCTGGGTGCTTTCAGGGGGTCAAGGCTCTGTATGAATTCCTTGGTTATAGTTAGGCTTAGTATGGTGGCTTTCTCAAATGCCAATTGTAGTAGTAAGCTATCATGTGGGTGAGTGGGATTGGGGGCCTCCTAAGCAGTTGGAGTGTTGTGAGGGAAGTAGCTGAAGTTATGCAAAGCTTGTCTCATTCCCGAGTGCTGTGCAATACTGTCAGCAGATGTTTTAATGGGCTATATAGAGTCAACACCTGGTCAATAGGTGGTTTTTGAAGGAAACAGCCAGGTGCAGTGGTGACTGTGGGATTTATGTTTGACCTCTGTTGATCAGAAGAAGTACTCATATGTGCCAGGAGATGGGCAGAGACATGGAACTTCTGGTGTTTTCTCTCTTATGTTCTGCCAACAGGGTGAATAAGAGAGAAAAGCTGTGTGAGGGCTTGGTCAAAAAATCCTGTTTTTAGGTTTTCTAACAGCAGGCAAAGGGGGACACCCAATGGAGGTCAGAAAGTAGTTCCCTGGCCACTAAAGCAAAGTTCAGGGAGGAACACCTCTGCTACTCAAAAGAGCCCTTATGGGGAGAGAGGGGCAGCCCAGGCTCCACAGCGAAATACATGGTAGTGAGAGTCGCTCAGCTCCCACATCCTTGAGATGACAGCCTGCCACTGACAGCAAGCCAAAACAGCCAGCTGAGTCTCAAAAAGTCTATGCTCAAATTGTGAATTTGCCCCAGACTCTCTTCCTGGGAAATGAATCCCAGCTCCCAGCCACACTCCTATTGGTCCAGGCTACAAAGCAGGTGTTACTCAATTCCTATTCCTGTAACAAAAACCCACTCTCTGCTTGCCTCTCAGATCTGGCCACAGGGATTCATCCCCCAACAAGATTAGATTGCTGATCTCAATTGGGAGCCTCTTTCTCTCTGTGACTACTGCCTGAGTTAGCCAAAAGATTTCTGCAAGATTCCCTATGAATTAAGAAAAAATGGCTTTGTTGTATTGGCACCAGGCTCTGAGAGTCCACCTAAAACACCCCTAATGTCTCTCCCATAGACTCCCTTCTGCTCACCAAGTCAGATCCAGGGCTTTGTAGAATCAAGGAGCTCCCCCATGACCTGAATTGCCTGGCTCCCCACTAGAATTGTCTACTATGAGGTCAGTCTATCCCCCATTTAATACTCTGAAACCTTGCAGTTTTTCACCAAACCAGTGGGTCAGGCTGCTGCCCACTGGTCCTTTCAAAGTATTCCAAGTTTTTCCACCTTTCCTGTTGAGCTGTAACATGTCTTCTTGGATAAAAGTTTGCAGTATGAATCTCTGCACACTATTTTGCTTGTTCCAATTGGATGAGGCATGCTAACAAAGTCTCCAATACGTAACCTTAAAGCAAAATTAAAAACTATAAAAATAAACAAATTTATACTTTAAACAATGGAATCAGAAGAAACAGTACTCCAAATAAACTGAAAACCACCACAGTTTTTTTAAATCACCCAAAAATAACTTTTAAAAATGCAATGGTACACAAAAATTTGTAAATAAGATGATTGCTATGCAACCTAGAAGATATAAATTAAATGTAAACATAATAGATTTTCCCAAGGGAGATCATAGAAAAAAATAAAAATTTAAATATAAATTTATAAATTAATAGGTCACACATTATTGAATAAAATACATTATAGTTTTATTAACATTAAGATATACTTTGGTAGAATTACTAACTTTCAGTTTTGGGGAGGTCACTTAGATTAAGTAACTGTTTATGTTAGATTTCTTCAACGTTTGACACTCAAATTCAACGAAGTAGAACAATTCCAACTAAATTCTTCAGAAAGAAAATGTTACCAGGGAATTATAAGTAGTTGAGTTGTACTATTCTAAGATCAATAAGAATTCTGGAAAAACAGTACCCATGAGTCACACTTGGAGGGAAAGAAATATTTGATGATAACATACTGAGAACTGAAAGATGTATCAAAACAAAGTTCTAACTGATGGAGAAGCCACAAGAGGAAAGTGTTAATAAGTCAATTCATCTGTATATGAGTATACAAAGTGAAGAATATGAGGAATTATGGTTTTAAAATGTTAATTTAATGCTACACACTTTAACACTGTAAACTTGATAATAAAGAAAAGAAGTGAGTTAGAAATGGATGAGAAAAATTATATGTGCTAATTATCTCAAATTAAGTAAGGACCTAATAAATGACTTTAAATGTGTAATTTTAAAATAAGTAGAGCCTCTAGAAGTAAAACAAACAAATGAACTCTGTTTTTTGAAATAGAAGTTTTTTATTTAATGTTTGTGTTTTTATCATCAATGAAGCAGTGAATTTAAATGACCAGCATTAAGTTGATTTTGCTAACAAACAAAATGAAAGTTTTTAAAATAAAAGGTATTTTAAAACATAAGGTATTTGTTTTTAAAATAGAAGGTATCTTAGGAATACTATAGTTTGGATGGTTGTCCCCTCTAAAATTCGTATTGGAATTTAATTGTCATTATAAAAATATTAAATAGGGCCCTTTAGAATTTAGGCCATAAGAGTCATCATGGGTGAAATTTATGCCATCATAAAAAGGTGAGTTTGTCTATTCCTGTTCTTTCTAAAATTCCAAGTTTCTGTTCTGGCAGCACAAAACAGACTGAAACAGAAAATTGGTACCAAGTAGTGGAGCTGGAAGCGGTTGGAAGAGCAGGCTGGAAAAAGCCTACATTACCATAAACAGAGCAATAAGGAAAATTCCGATGAAAGCTCAGAAGAAAAGAAATGTAGGAATAGCTTAAAACTTTTTAGAAATTATGATTACTTAAGTGATCAGAATGTTTTAGTGATCAGAAGACTTAGTGCATTGTCTTCATCAATAAATATCTGGTTTTCTAATACTTCAGTAGGCAAGTTATGATAATCACCAATATTTTTAAACTAAGTGTGTTAGAATGGCAAGAATAAGAGTCATAAGGACTTTTATTCATTCATTTTATTCAATCATCCATTTAATGTATAATATTAATTTGGCAAAATTCTCAGTCGCTACTGTTTCGAATATTTATTTTGCTTCTTTCTCTCCTTTTTCTCCTTCTGGTACTTTCATTATACATGTTTTACGTCTTTTGTACCAGTCCCACAGTTCTTGGATTTGTTCGTTTATTTTGTTTCTGTCAATCTTTGTTTTTGTTTTCAGGTTTTGAGATTTCTTTCAAAATATTCTCAAGCTCAGATATTCTTTCTTAGCCATCTTAGGACTGATAAGAAGCCCATCAAAGGCATTCTTCATTTCTTTTACAGTTTGTTAAATATCTAGAATTTCTTTTGGGTTCTGTCTTAGGATTTCCTTCTGTCTACCTACATTGCCCATCTCTTCTTGCATGCTGTTTGCTTTATTCATTAGTCCCCATTATATATTCATTATTATTGTTTTAAATTTCTAGTCTATAAACTTCAACATCCCACTTATGTCTGGTTCTGATGGTTTCTGTGTCTCTTCAAATTGTGTGTGTGTGTGTATGTGTGTTTTGCCTTTTAGTGTGCCTGCAATATTGTTTTGATAGCTGGACATGATGTAATAAGCGAAGGAACTGACCTTTTGTGCTAGAAGTTATGAGATAAAAGTGTAGGGTAAAGCAAAATAAGTACAGTGTGAGGGAAGGGTTATTATCCTATAGACTAAGATTAGGTTTAAACATTTTAGTGGGCATATGCCCCTGGACTGTGAAGTTTACAAGTTTTTCTCAATCTCCTCCACCACTGCAGGTGGAATAGGATGGCTGCAGTGGGCTGGAGTTGGATATTTTCCTTCCCCGTGATTAGTTAGGCTCTGATCAAACCCCAGAGGATGAGGCTGTTAGTAGATAGTTTCCCCTTAGAACAGGCCTTGTTAAGAGGAACAGAATGCTCTGGTCTATTTCAAAATTGTTTATGATTCCCTCCTCCTGCTAGATGCATGAGTGGTTTTTCCTGTGATATTTACTGTGAGAACCTCATGGAGCTCCTGGAGGTAAAACTCACGGAGTGTGGAGACCCCCTTGTGATTGGGTCTTCCAGGAGGATTTAACTCTCACACTTATCAGCACTAAGGCCGCAGGAATTCATCAATTACATTTCAGGTATTCCTATGTAGACACTTGTTCTTGGTGGTTTCTGATTTGGGGTATCTGCTTTGGTAAGCTGTGAATACTTGTATTCACCTGTCTATCTCTCCAGTCTTCGGGGCAGTGATTTTCTCTGTGTCCTCACCTCTCGCTTGGAGCCAAGAGGCGTTTATCAGTCTCCTTAGCTTTTAACTTGTTGTTAGGCGCAGTGATGACTTTCAAGCTTTTTACACGCAGGAAAATAGATGAATGTGTTAATTTCCTACATCTTCTTAGTTACATGTTATTGAATACCTCCCAGGGAGCAGTGTTTTAGGTGCTGAGGATACAAAAATGTGAAATGTACAATTGCTGCTCATAAAGAGTTTATTGTCTAGGTATGGAATAAAAAAGAAAATTTAAAAAATGAAAATGTGAAACCTAGCACAATGAATGCTATTTATTTTTAAGCCCTCCATGACATATGAGTTTTGGGTTGAAGCTGAGTATGTATTATATCTAAGCCATACATAAATTCTAAGACTGAGAATGATTATTCACATTTTATAGACGAGATAGCATGGACTTAAATTATACTATTTGTAGGTCCTCAAAGATAAGAGTGATTCTCTTCAGTTGATAATAGGCAAAAGAGTATTACAGTTAAGGGACTGTATATGTGATTTAAAGTAGACCCGAACAAAAGTGAAGTAATTCAAGATAAATGAGAAATTATGATCAGTTGGAGGATAGACGTGGGGAGAAAATATAAGTATGTAATATATTGTTGCTTAATTTCCATGTTTTTGTGTAGTTTTGAATGATCTTCTTTGTATCAATTTCTCTTGTTATTGCACTGTGGTCTGACAGTGTACTTGGTGTAATTTCAATTATTTTTTAATATATCGTGACTCGCTTTATGGTTGAGCCCATGGTTGATCTTAGAATAGTTCTGTGTATGGATGAGAAGAATGTATATTCTGTGGTTGTTGGGTGAAATACTCTGTAGATGTTTATTGGGTCCAATTGGTCAAATGTTGACTCTAAGTCCACAATTTCTTTGTTGATTTTCTGCCTTTATGATCTCTGTAATGCTGTGAGTGGGTGTTAAAGTCATCTACTATTATTATGTGGCTGCCTGTGTCTTTTCATAGGTCATGAAGAACTTGTATTATGAATCTGGGTGCTCCTATGCTGGGTATCTATATATTTAGAATAGTTAAGTCTTCTTGTTGAATTGAACCCTTTGTCATTATGTACTGCCTTTGTTTATTCTTCCTGATTATTGATTTAAAATCTGTTTTATCTGTTGTGAGAATAGAAACTCTTGCTCTCTTTTGTTTTCCATTTATTTTTGGTAGATCTTTTTCCATCCCTTAATTTGAGCTGGTAGAGATCATTACATGTGGGATGCATCTCTTAAATACAGCAGACTGTTGGGTCTTGGCATTTTATCCAGCTTACCATTCTGAGTCTTTTAAATGGGGTGTTTAGACCATTAACATTCAGAGTTAGTATTGACATATGAGATTTTGATTCTGTCATCATGTTTTTGGCTGCCTGTTTTGTAGACTTGATTGTGTAGTTGTTTTATAATGTCTGTGGGCTATATGCTTAAGTGTATCTTTTGAGTTAGCAGATTTTGGTGCTTTGTTTCCATGTTTAGCACTCCTGTAAGGACCTCTTTTAAGAGTGGTTTTGTGGTAATGAATTCCTTTAGTGCTTGCTTATCTGAGGAGGACTTTATTTCTCCTTCACTTATAATGCTTAGTTTGGATATGATATACTTAGTGGGAAATTCTTTTCTTTAGCATGCTGAAAATAAGCCCCCAATTTCTTCGGGTTTGTAGTGTTTCTGCTGAGAAGTCTGCTGTCAGCCTGATGGGGTTTCCTTTGTAGGTTACCTGCCTTTTTCTCTAGCTGCCTATAAAGTTTTTGTTTTGTTTTGTTTGCATTGACTTTGGTTAATCTGATGACTCCATACCTTAGGAATGGTCATCTTGTCTAGTGTATTGCAGGAGTTCTCTATATTTTCCGAATTTTTCCTCCTCTAGCAAGTTTAGGGAAATTTTCATAGACTGTATTCTCAAATACATTTTCAGGTAACTTATTCTCTCTCCCTCTCTTTTGGGAATGCCAATAAGTCATATATTTGGTGTCTTTACAAGATCCTATCTTTCTCAAAAGTTTTGTTCATTTTTTAAAATGCTTTTTTTCTTTAGTTTTGTTTGACTGAGTTGGTTCAAAAGGCTGTTCTTCAAGTGCTGACATCCTTTCTTCAGCTTGATCTATTCTGCTCTTGATGCCTGCAATTGTATTGTAAAATTCTTGAAGTAAATTTTTCAGTTTCAGAAGTTCAGTTTGGTTCTTTCTTAAAATGGCTCTTCTATTTTTCAGATCCTGGATTGTCATACTGGGTTTCTTTGATTGGGTTTCAACTTTCTCCTTGATTCCACTGACCTTCCTACAATCCAGGTTGGGGGTTACCCACCCTGTTGTTTCAGGTGTGTCCCAGGACAACAGAAGGCTGGAATCCTGGCATAGTTCAGACAGAAGCAGGACCACTGAGATAGAAGCTCTAGCAGGTGTGCCTGTCTGGCTATGAGCAGTGGGGGTGGGTGGAACAACCTGCTCTACAGTCTGCGTGTTTCCTGTGGGAACAGGAGGCTGCACTCACTGCCAGAATTCAAACAGAAGTGGGGCTGCCAGGTGGGATGCTGGTGTTGAACCTTTTTTGGTGACAGGGGCCGGAGCGATCTTACTGATCCCAGGCAAAACAACTGCAGCCTCTGTTGGGACTATGGCATTGGTGCTAGTCTGTTCCAGGGACAAAGGCTTGTAGAGGTCACCATGCACCTGAGAGTTGCTTCTGCAAAAACTCTGAGTGGCTCTGTGTCTCAATTAAGAGGCATGTGGGTGGAGGTCAGGAGGATTCTCCAACTCTCAGGCTTGCACAGGTTCCTGGGCAGGATGTAAATCCACTGGAGGGGCTCTGACCCATTCACTCTTTTCCTGTGTTGAGAAGCTTCTTCTGGCTCCATGCTAATCCCAGATGGGCTGCTGCCCAGATTTGCTCCTCTCTGCTCATGTCTCCTTGCTGACTTGATGGATCACAATGTGGTTCCTTAGACAATTAGCTTGCAGGATCAGTTTCCTAGTCATTTTTTTCCCCTCTGTTAGAACAGTGGACAAGAGCTACCTCTAGTCTGCCTTCTTGACCCAACCCAAAAATTGTTTATTTAAAATTAAGGTTTAGGTAGTAGATAAGTCCATTTTACTATTGAATTCTTTAATATTGCCAGCAAAGTGCCATTGAATATTTCTGCTATTACAGATATTAAAATGTTCAATTTATTCTTTGTAATTTTTTTTACAAATTCATTATAATTCCATGTACGTGTTTTATAAATTCACTGTAAAGCCTTACTATTCTGTCCATCATTTTTCCTTGTAAATTCATTATCACTACAAAGTAAACACTTATCTTTTAGTAATTTTCTTCCTTTAGGCTAAAATTTATGTGGAAAAATTTATCACTTTAACCATGTTAGAAAGTACAATTTGGTAGTATTTAATACATTTACAATGTTGTGCAACTATCACCACTCTGCAGTTTTAGGACGTTTACATTATCTCAAAAAGAAGCCCTTTACCCTTTAAGCATCATTTCCCATTTTTCTCTCCCTTCAGCCCCTGAAAATTACTGATCTGCTTTCTAACTTTATAGATTTGCCTCTTATGGATAATTATGCAATATATGATCTTTCGTGTCAGGCTATCTTCACTTAGCATAATGTTTTCAATGATAATCCATGTTGTAGCAAGTATCAGCACTTTATTTCTTTTTATGACTGAATAATATTCTGTTGTATATAGATACAATTTTGTTTATCCATTCATTATTTGATAAACTTTTTTGTTGTTTATGCATTTTGCCATTTTAGCTATTGGAAATAGTGCTTTTATGATTATGATGTTTTTGTTTGAACACTTATTTTCTCTTTTGCGGGGTATATACTAGAGATAAAATTGTTTGGCCACATGTAATTCTATGTTTAACCTTTTGAGGAGCTGCCAAGCTATTTTTCATAGTGGCTATAACGCTTTGCATTCCCACTAGCAATGTGTGAGGGTTTAAATTCCTCTACTTTTAAAAATTATGCCCATCCATGAGATGTAGTATATTATTGTGATTTTGATTCACATTTTTCTAATGACTAGTGATGTTGACCTTTTTACATGTGTATTGGCCATTTATTTTTCTTTGTTGATAAAATGTCTAAGTTTTTGCAAATGTTTAATTTTTAAGTATATTAGTTTGACAGGACTGCCATAACAAAATAGTAAGTAGCTTAAACAGCATAAATGTATTGTCTCACAGTTTTGCTGGCTAGAAGTCTGAAATCAAGGTGTTGGAAGGCGGTTTTCTTCTAAGGGATAGTAGAAAAATATTTATCCCAGACTTCTCACCTTGATTTGTAGATGCATTGCCACAATCTCTGCCTTTATATACTTTTCTGGTTTTATTTTTTTTTTAATTTTTTTAAATTTTTCTGGCTACATAGTAGTTGTATATATTTATGGGGTACATGAGATGTTTTGTACTCCATAATATGTGAAATAAGCACATCATGGAGAATGGGTATCCATCCCCTCAAGCATTTTTCATTTGAGTTACAAATAATTCAATTACATTCTTTAAGTTATTTTAAAAACATATAGCTATTATTGGCTATAGTTACCCTATTGTGCTACCAAATAGTAGGTCTTGTTGATTCTTTTTTAATCTTTTTTGTACTCTGCTTTTATATTTAGATGCTGTTCTTCTTGTGTGTGTGTATCTGGGTCAAAATTTCCCTGTTTTTACAAGGACACCAATCACATTGGTTTAGGGACCCAGCATACTCCAGTATGATCTCATCTTAACTGATAACATCTATATCCACTCTATTTTTAATAAGGTCACATTCTGAAATACTAGGGGTAGGCTTCAACATGTAAATTTTTGGGTGCATAATTCAACCCATAACAGGTAATTTATCTTTTTGCTTTTTTGTTTTGAGTTGTAACTGAAATATACATATAAACAATTGTCTATCTTCAACTACTATATCTCTCCCAATTTACTGATTGTGAAGTGTCAGTGTTTTTTTTCAAGTTTGTTTTGGATTTTCAGATCTTTTGAAATTATATGTGAATATTAGAATCAGATTTTCCTTTTCTAAATTTTAAAAAGCAGTTGAATTTTAACAGAGTTTGCACTAAATCTGTAGATCACTTTGGGAATATTGCCATTTTAACAATATTAAGGTGTCCAGTCCATGAACATGGTACATCTTGGCATTTATATAGATATTCTTTAACTTTTTTCAGCAATGGTTTGTTGTTTTCATTGTTCAAATCTTGGATATCCTTGGTTATATTTATTTTGTGTTTTGATATCATTGTAAATATTTTATGTTTTGATATCATTGTAAATAATTTGTTTTTTGATATTGTAAATATATTGTTTACTTAATTTTCCTTGTGCTTTGTTATTTGGTAATGTATATAAATACAACGTTTTATGTGTTGATAATGTATCTTGCAACTTTGCTATACTTATTTAGTGTCTCTAGTAAATTTCCTTATGGATGTTTAAGTATACTGTACATAGAAGATCAAATTATCTACAGAGATAGTTTTACTTCCTGATTTTAGTTTATTTTTCTTGCCTAACTGCTTTGATTAAACCGCCCAGAAAATATTAAATAAAAGCTGCAAAAAATAGGCATCTTTATATGGTTCCTGGTCACAGAAAGAAAGCTTTTAGTGTTTCACCATTAAGTGTGATGTTTCTGAGAATTTTCATAAAACTATTTTTTCTGTGGAGAAAATTCACTTTTATTTCTAAGCTATCATGAAACTTCTGTATCACTTGACATTTTGTGTTTTGATTGTCTTTTATTTAATTAATGTGGTATATTACACTGGTTGATTTGTATATATTAAACCACTATTGCCTTCCTGGTCTAAACTTCACTTGTTTGTAGCATATAATTCTATTAATATTATACTTAATTTGGGTTGTTTGTATTTTGTTGAAAAATTTTTCATCTATTTTGACAAGATATATTAGTCTGTAGTTTCTTTTCTGTGATATATTTGTCTAGCTTTAGAAACAGTGTAATTCTGACCTTATAAGGTGATCTAGAAAGTATTACAACCTCTTTTTCATGAGTTTGAAAAAGATTGGTATTGAATATTCTTTATGTTTGGTAAAATTTACCAGTGAAGGCATCTAGTCTTGAAGTTTTCTTCATTAAGAAGTATTTGATTACTGATTCCATCATTTTACTTGTTATAGGTCTATTCAGATTTTTATAAATTTCTGGAGTCACTGTTTGTCATGTATTAGTCTATGTATTAGGCTGTTTCCACACTGCTATAAAGAAGCATGCAAGACTAGGTAATTGATAAAGAAAAGAGGTTTAATTGATTCACAGTTCCACATGGCTGGAAACTTACAATCTTGGCAGAAAAAGAAGCTGGCATGTCTTACGTGGCAGCAGGCTAGAAGTGAAGTGAGAGCACAGGAAAAAACTGCCACTTTTAAAACCATGGCATCTTGTGAGACTCACTCACTATCACAAAAACAGCATAGGTGAAACTGCCCCATGATCCAATTATCTCCCACCAGGTTGCACCCTTGAGACGTGGATATTACAATTCAGGATGAGATTCCAGTGGGGACACAGAGCCAAATCAACCCCTGACCCCTCCCAAATATCATGTCCTCACATTTCAAGACCAATCACCTTTTCACAACAGTTCCCCAAAGCTTTAACTCATTTCAGCATTAACTCAAAAGTCCACAGTCCAAAGCCTCATCTGAGACAAGACAGGTCCCTTTTTACCTATGAGCTGGTAAAATCAAAAGCAAGTCAATTTCTTCCAAGATACAATGGATGTAGGAGGCATTAAATAAATGCTCCCATTCCAAATGAGTGAAATTGTACAAAACAAAGGGACTACAGGCTCCATGCAAGTCCAAAATCCAGCTGGGCAGTTATTAAATCTTAAAGCTCCAAAATAATCTCCTTTGAATTCATGTCAAGGGCAAGCTGATGCAAGAGGTGGGTTCCCACAGCCTTGGGTTACTCTGCCTCTGTGGCTATGCAGGGTACAGTCCCACTCCCAGCTTCTTTCACAGGCTGGCACTGAGTATCTTTGGCTTTTCCAGGTACACAGTGCAAGTTCTCAGTGGTTCCACCATTCTGCAGTCTGGAAGATGGTGGCTGTCTTCTCACAGCTTCACTCTGTTCTCACAGCTTCAACTAGTGCCTTAGTGTGGATTCTGTGTGAAGGTCCAACCTCACATTTCCCTTCTGTAGTGCCCTAGCAGAGATTCTCAAATAGGGCTCCATTCCTGCAGAAGATTTCTGCCTGGACATTCAGGAGTTTCTGTACATCCTCTAAAATCTAGGTGGAGGTTCCCAAACTTTAGTTCTTGACTTCTGTGCACCTACAGACCCAACACCAAATGTAAGCTACCAAGTCGTGGCACTTGCATCCTTTGAAGCCGTGGCCAAAGCTGTGTCTAGCTCTTTTTAGTGCTGGCTGGAGCTGGTTACAGCGAGGTTATGGGCCCAGCCCAGGAAACCATTTGTTCCTCCTAGCTCTCTAGGTCTGTGATGGGAGGTGCTGCTGTGAAGGTCTCTAACATGCCCTGGAGACATTTTCCCCATTGTCTTGGCTATTAACATTTGGCTCCTAATGTTACCTAAACATTTCTGCATAGGTAATGACCTATGCAAATTTATGCAGATGGCTTGAATTTCTCCTCAGAAAATGGGTTTTTCTTTTCTATTGCATTGTCAGGCTGCAAATTTTCCAAACTTTTATGTTCCGCTTACCTTTTAAACATAAGCTCCAATATCAGATCATCTCTCTCAAGTTCAGAGTCCCATAGAGCTCTAAGGCAGGGACAAAATGTCACCAGTCTCTTTGTTAAAGCAAGAGTGACCTTAGCTCCAGTTCCCAATAGGTTCCTCATCTCCATCTGAAACCACCTCAGCCAGACTTCATTATCCATATCACTGTCATCATTTTGGCCAAAACCATCTATCAATTATCTAGGAAGTTCCCAACATTCTCACATTTCCCTGTCTTCTGAGCCCTCCAAACTGTTCCAGCTTCTTTCTGTTACCCAGTTCCAAAGTTGCTTCCACATTTTCAAGTGTCTTTATAGCCGTAACCCATTCACTGCAGTTCCAATTTACTATATTGGTCCATTTCTACACTGCTACAAAGAACTGCCCAAGACTGGGTAATTTATAAACAAAAGAGGTTTAATTGACTCACAGTTCTGCGTGGCTGGGGGAGACCTCAAGAAATTTACAATCATAGCAGAAGGGGAAGCAGGCACAGATTACATGGCAGCTTACATGGCAGCAGGTGACAAGTGAAGTGGGAGCACAGGAAAACTGCCACTTATAAAACCATCAGACCTCATGAGTCTCATGAGACTCACTGACTATCATGAGAACAGCATGGGAAAAAGAGCCCCCATGATCCAATTACCTCCCACCAGGTTGCTCCCTTGACACATAGGGATTACAATTCAAGATGAGATTTGGATGGGGACACAGAGCTAAACCATAACAGTCTGATTGTGCTTCCATAAGAAAATATCAGAGGCTTGGTTGCTTAGAAGACAGAAATTTATGTTTTAACTGGAACTGGAAGTCCCAGAATAAGTTTCTCTTTCTAGATTTCAGATAGTTATCTTCTCACTGTGTCCTCATATGGCTTTTCCTTGATGCATGTATGAGAAGAAAGGGAGAGAGGGAGAGAAGGTATCTCTTTGGTATCTGTTTTCTCCTTTTTAAGGACACTAGTGACATTGGATCAGAGCTCACCCTTATAACTTTATTTAACCTTAATTATTTTCTTAAGACTTCATCTCCAAATAAGGACATATTAGGGTTAGGGATTAGCATATAAATTTTTGGGGAACACAATTCAGTCTATAAAAGGTAATTTGTATATTTCTATGAAGTTGCACATTTTATATAGGGTAGTTCATACTGTAATAAAACATTGTTCATACTTTTCTGTGATTATTATTTTAATTCCTGGCCAGTCACGGTGGCTCACACCTACAATCCCAGCATTTTGGGAGACTGAGGTTGGTGGATCACTAGGAGTTCAAGACCAACCTGGCCAACCTGATGAAACCATGTCTCTACTAAATACACAAAAAATGTAGCTGGGCATGGTGGTGCACACCTGTAATCCCAGCTACCCAGAGGCTGAGGCACGAAAATTGCTTGAGTCTGGAAGGTGGAGGTTGCAGTGAGTTGAGATTGTGCCACTGCACTCCAGACAGGGTGACAGAGTAAGACTATGTCTCATAAAAATAATAATAGTAATAATAATAATTCTTTTTAATCCTGTAATATTTATCATATTACCACATTTTCATTTTAGATTTTAGTAATTTTAGTCTTCTCTCTTTTTTTCTTGATTAGTCTAACTAAAGATTGTCAATTTTGTTGATTTCCTCAAGTACAAACTTTGTTTTGTTGATTATTTTGTTATTTATCTCGGCTGTAATCTTTATTGTTTCCTTCGTTTTCCTAACTGGATTTAATTTGCTCTTCTTTTTATATAATTTTAGGTATAAAATTAGTTTATTGATTTTAGAATTTTTTGTTTTATGTATTCATTACAGCTATATATTTTCCTCTAATCCTCACTTTTGCTACGTTTTATAACTTAAAGTATGTTGTGTTTTTGTGTTAATTTGTCCCAAAACATTTACTCTTGTTATTTCTTCTTTGAGCTCGTAGTTGTTTAAGAATATATTTTCTTTTTTTACATAATGATAAAATTTTCAATTTTTTTGTTTTTGATTTCTAGTTGCATTTCATGTGGTTAGAAATGATACTTTGATCTGATCTCTTATAAGTGCATAAAAATTTTATAATCAGTTTTGAAATTGTTGAGAATTGCATTGTGACCTAAAATATGGTCTGTCATGGAGGACATTCCGTTTACATTTGAAAAGAATGTCTATTCCCTTGTTGTGTAGAGGAGTGTTCTTTATGTCTCCTTGTGTTTTAATATTTTATTTGTATATATATATTTTTGAGATGGAGCCTTGTTCCATCACCCATGCTGGAGTGCAGTGGCACAATCATAGCTCATTGCAGCCTTGGGCTCCTGAGCTCAAGCTATTCTCCCACCTCAGCCTCTCAAGTTTCTGGGATTACAGGAATAAACTGCCATGACCAGCTCCTCCTTTTAATTATTTCTCTCTTTGTTAAATTTACTGATAATTTTTACTTGGTAAGACATTTTTCTCTTGTTTTATTTTTTACTTGTTTTGCGTGTGTGTATGTGTGTATTTTGTCCATGGCTTTCTTTAGTTATTTTGTTACTGGTGGAAGGTGTTCTAGTTACCAGTGGTGAATCCATATGGATCTGCAGCAGCCTCAATTCTTGCCTCTTCAGAAGAAAGAATTTGACTGAAGAGCATGAAACAGAAAAAGAAACTGAGGTAAGTTTCAGAGCATGAATGGGAGTTTATTAAAAAGCTATAAAACAGGAAAGAAAGGAAGGTACTCTGGGAAGAAACCCAACCAGGAAACCTGAAGAACAAATGCAATGTTTAACCTTGATTCTAGGACTTTGTAGGCTGGTTCACCTCTGGCATCTTGTGCTCCTTTCTCATGATTCTTCCCTTATGGGGAGCTGCCCACATACACAGTGCCCTCCTTATCATTGCCAAGTGAGCACTGGCAGCATGTTTAGGAAGTCATATTCATATCCATCTAAGGCTTTCTTCCCTTTTCAGGTGGAGTGCCCAGAAAAGCTCATAGTTCATCATTTTTTCTCTTAATGTGCATGCCCAGGCTCACTCAACCAATACCTGAGATTTTACTGGAAGCCCTTTCTGTTTCTCCCTGGAGCCTGCATTCAATTAACATTTTAATATTAACAGCTGTGGATCAGCAGGCGATTGTCTCTCCCTGGTGCAGGCTACCAAATTATCATTTTTAGAGAGGCAAAGCAACAATTGTTGAACCATCACCAGATCGCTTGACATTCCTGGCAGGTTGGTTGAGAGGGAACCCTCTCTTGCCCTGATCGTGCCCATCTAACTACTGGTAACATTTTTGGCATAAATTAAACATTTGATTTAAAGTCTTCATCTGGGAAGTCTAATATCTGTTCTTCCTCTGGCACAGTTTCTATTAATTTATTTCCTCTTTGAATGGACAACACATTCTTGTTCCCTTGCATATATCACTGATTTTTTAAAAGCTGGATATTTTTAATATTTTAAAGTGGCGACTTTGAAAATTATATTCTCCACCTTCTTCATGGATTGTTGTTGTTGTTTGTATGCTAAGTGACATTTCTGAACTAATGTCTTAAAGCCTGTATTCATTGTCATTTGAGGTCACTTAAAGCTCTGTAATGTTTAGCCATGCCTATTGACAACTCTGCCTTAGCCTTCACGTCCTGCTTTTATAGATCTTAAAGATCAACTGAAGCAGGATAGTTCCAGGTTTTCTCAGGTTTTTTTCTGGCATGTCTTCAGCCCTTGGCCTGTGCTTGGCCTCTTGGATTCCCAGAACAGGCAAGAACTTTTAAAAGCCTTCATTCTCTCAAGTATCTCCTTCCCAAAACTCTGTCTTCCCAGGTTTGTTTGTCTATTTTTTCCCCAAATAATTACTTCTTGCCTCAGGCAACAGCAGCTAATTCATTTTCATTTAAATTTCTGACAAAGGTCACCTGAGAAGCTACCTCATCTCTGGGTAAGATCAAAAGTAAATAAAACAAAGGAAATCCTTTGAGCTAATCCTTCAAGGAACCACCAGACAAGTCACAGAACACTACTGCAATTCTTCAAAAAGAAGGTCTGTATTGTTCCCGTTGGTACCTGCAACCTGCACCAGAAATGTGGGCTACTGTCTTCAAGGCCACCATTGAGCTGGGGGGATTGGAGGGTGGTAACAAGATGACTTAAAATACCACAGCGCTATTTGACAAAATTCAGCAGCTTTGTTCTTCTTTAAGTAAGTATCCCACTGGTTGTTGCAACTGTTGATTATAGAGTCATGAAATAGTTCATTCTATTTTTGTCAGTTTATTTATTGCTTTCTTGGAGGAAAAGGATTTCCAACCACATGATTTTCAATAGTGTCGCTACACTTAATATTTTTATTTATATTTTAAAGAACAAAAATAAGCTTAGTAAGGAAACAGAAGGATTTAGGTACAGAGATAAGCCAAAATGACAGAATCTTAATGATAGAGGTAAAATGTCTTTGTAATCAAAATTGCAGTATCAAAGCAAGAGAATATAAACATCTTTTATCTTTTTTTATACATAGCCATATGACCTTTACAATTTTAGATATAATTTTAAAATGTGTGATTTTATTATCACTAGAACTACTAAAGCCATATTTCCCATTTCTTAATTTAATGAAAGTCTGCACAATCTAGACACCTTTTCTTAATGTTTTCATGATATATGTGATGTATATAATTAAGGCCTTTGCAGATGCAAAAGGTTCTTTTCTATTTTCCCTAAAAATGGATGACAGTGTGTTAGAATATAGAACACTCTTACTGCCAACATTTCTCCTTAATGCTCTACAAATGTAGTCCATAATCTTCCGTAATTATTTTGCACAGGAGAAAAATATGTGGAAAAAAAATTATGTATCCTGGTTTAAAGTATGAGTGCTTTTTCATCAATTTCAATCATTTACTTAATATATATTTATTGATTAGTTGCTGCATGTGGAACTGAACTACTAATAGAAAGTTTTCAACCCTCAGGGAGCTTAGTCTGTTGGAAAATAGCTATAAACCTAATCATGATAATATCTATTACAAGTCTTAGGCATATAAATTGATAGAATAGATGGTGGCACATGTTGAATTTTGTGTGGCCTATGAATTAAAAATATTTTTTGTGTTTTTAAATGGTTGGAAAATTTTTAAAGTTTTTTAAATGTTATTTTGTGACACATGACAATCACGTGGCATTCAACAAGTTTCCAGAATTAAAGTTTACCTAAACCTAGCTATTCTAATTTTTCACTTTCATTGGTCAGAAATGTTGCTATGATTGCTTTCATGCTGCAACAGCAGAATCACGCACTTGTGCAAGAGACCTAAGTTTCACAAAGCCTAAATTATTTACTCTGGCCCTTTACAGAAAAAAAGTGTACGGATGCCTGGTCTAGAACAGTGGGGCATTCTTTCTGGGAATCCCATTATGCAAAAAATAGCCAGTAGAAATCTACTGTTTGAAAAAACAATAGATCTAGCACAATAAAATTTATTTATTAAAGCACTTTAATTGGAATTTTAAAATATAAATTATGTTACTTTTCTTAGTTTTCCTAAAATTGGTAGGTGTTTGTAGATACATATGTTATTTGCCATACACATATATATATACACATACACCATATGTATCTTTTTATTTTGTTAAATATATAGATATACATAAATAATACATGGAAATATGTGGATGAATATTTTATATCCGTACAACTACTCAAATATACTATATTATATCCAGACTTTTCAGCTGTCAAAATCCTTCATAACTGTTTCCCAACTTGCTATTCTGACCTTATATTTCACTAGTACCTACTTGTGCCCTTCCTTTAGCCAGACTGGTTTGCTACAGTTTGAGTGAATACTTACTTACTCACACACACAGATGGATATGATATCATCATATTTTGAAAGTATGACTTCGTGTGTTTTATTCATTCCTTCATTCATTAAGCAAGTGGTTATGAACACCTATAATGAGGTAGGCATGACTTCGTACTGAGTCTAAAATGGTAATTAAACCTGATATATTTTCTGACCCATGGATCCTAGCCTCTAGAGATGGTATGTAATATTTACATAAATTAAATAAATGTGTTTATAAATTATGGAATACAGTTGAGGGCCACAAAGAGTAAACACAGTTCTCATAACAATTTAGTTAAAATCTTTCATATTTAATGTATTTTTGAAAGTGAAATTTTATTTAATGACTATAAATAAATGCTTATTATACAGCGTAGCTAAAAGTATGACATTTTATTTAATTATTTATTTATTTATTTATTTATTTATTTATTTATTTATTTGCAATGGGGTCTCACTCTGTTGCCCAGGCTGGAGTGCAGTAACATGATGATAGCTCACTGTAATCTTGAACTTATGGGATCAAGCAATCCTCCTGTCTCAGCCCCCTAAGATGGGACTACAGTGAGTACCACTATGCCTGGCTATTTTTAAAATACATTTTTTGTAGAGACAGAGTCTTGCTATGTTGCCCAGGATGGTCTGAACTCCTAGCATCAAGCAATTCTTCCACAATGGCTTCAAAGAGTGCTGGGATTATAGGTATGAGACACCACTCTTGGCTAGGTATTGGAATTTCATATATGTTCATTACATTCATTATGAGAACAAAAACCAAAACTCATTTTCAGTTCTAAAATTATTTTGTTAACTTATTACATCAACTTAAGTCCAGGAAAATTGTTCCCATAAGATCATTTCCACCAAAAATGAAAGAAAAAAATGGAAAATTATGTGGGTTTTAAAATTATGTTCTAAATCTTAAGACATATCCTGAAATCACAGATAGTGAATAAAAAGCATTAGGTATCACCTCAAGACATCTATTTTTGCCTTAAATTCATGGCTGTTTCTTTACTTTCATGGGGATGTTATTACACGCTACTAAGTTTAACTAGATTGTTATTTTGATCATATGCAATGCATAAATCATTAAATAATATACTAAGGAGTCCTTTTTTTGCCTATCACATTCTTGAACTTTCAGCAGGTAGCTTTTCTGTGTCCTCATATTTAGGCTAAATCTGGCCAAATGTCAATTATACAAATGGGTGAAAATTTTCTAACATGTTAATGCAAACACGTCATTATCCAATGATATAAAACAATCTATTTCATTTTTGTTAGTATAGAAATAAGCCTTAATGCTAATACTGTTTGTCTAAACAAAATTTAGAATTACATTTTAATGCTCTGCCAGCACTTTTGAATTTTAGCAAAGGCCAGTCCATCTCAAAACACAGCACTTTCTGAGATTTTTAAATAGGTGTAATAGTCATCAAAATATGTTTTTACTTGCTATAACAGGTCAAAAGTGATTTATGACTAAAATTAAATCACAACCAAAATTCTAGGTAGACATTAAAATTGAATCTGGATCTTGGCATCTGGATTTCATAATTGGCAAAATG
The DNA here is from genome assembly GCF_000001405.40 of Homo sapiens. Lineage (NCBI taxonomy): Eukaryota > Metazoa > Chordata > Mammalia > Primates > Hominidae > Homo > Homo sapiens. The sequence goes on along the minus strand of NC_000004.12, from coordinate 31,843,392 downwards.
ACACTGAGTGTGACTTCTGATCTGATGCTACAGCACAACATGAAAGTGATGATAAATTGAATGTAAAAGGAAAATTCCTCATTGTTCCTCTGTGTCACCCTACTAAAGAATACATTTACAAACACTAAGTGCATTTGCAAAGATGTGCATGGAAACGCTATTCATGAATTTGAGTGACAGATCTTTGTTAATCCGACAAAAAGTTAATAAAGCCTGCGAGTATAAGACAAAGTGAGTCTTAAGCTATGGTTTGTGGAACAATTTTATTGTTCTTAAAGCTTATCCAGTTGGTCTTCAGTTTACTTTTTAAAAAAAAAAATCTTTATTTTTTTTTTTGTTCTGTTTTAAATTGTTTTGTGTGTCCAGAGTGAAAATTCGCATTAGGAAGAAAATGTGGAATTTTATAAACTAAGTGAAAGAAAAACAAATGTTCTGGCTTTAGGTGCATGTACTATGTAGTTTATTTAAATGTGAAATGATATCAGTACAAATGGTTTTCTCATTTTCACCATAGGAAAATGCAATGTTTCCTGAGACACATGGAGTATAAAATAATCAATCCCTTACTTATAATAAGCATATGATATGTTCAAAGACTTTCAAAATTTTCAATTGGAAAAAAGCCTAGTATTTGCTAGTGCTGATGACACCAGGAAGATAAGCTTCAAACCTGCCTTTGGAGAGAGTCAATAGCAGAATTCTGGATGACATGTGACTGGAAGTAATACTTTTTCTATCATGGATTATTAAAAACAATGAATGCCTCATGAGAAAGAAATAACAATTGAATTGGTAGAGAACCCTAATCCCCGTCGCAGGATGTGTGACAGCGGTGTGGCTCATTTGTTTGGCCACCATGCACACTCACCCATTGTGGGAGGAGGAGCACACAGATGGGCAGGTGTAGGAACTGGGGCAAATGCCCCTGGGCTCCAGCACCATGGCAGTGTCCAGGTGTGGGAGCCTGTGACTCATGATGCCCAAGAGGGCATTTGTTACAGTGTGCTCCTTTAGACTTGCCCTCTGTGGACAGCTTAAGTGTTAACCAGTTCAGTGACCTCTTGGTACCCAGGTCCTTCTCCAGCGTCCAGGAAGAATCGAGTCTCACACAGACTTGAAGGATGATATGTGAGGGTTTTATTGAGTGGTGGAGGTGGCTCTCAGTGGGGTGGATGGGGAGCTGGAAAGGGGATGGAGTGGAAAGATGATTTTCCCCTGAAGCCTGACCATCCATCTTCTCTCTGACTGCCCCCAGCCAAACTCCTCTCGGCATTTAGACATTCCTTTTCTTCTCAATGACATGCAGTTCCGCCTTTCTTCTACTCTTCTGTTCATCTCACCATCTGCTTGTGTGCTCATCTGCTTGTGGAGTCTAGGGATTAGGGTTTATATGTGTACAGGATATGCGGGTGTGGCAGGTCAAATGGCAACTTTTGGGTTCAAAAACAGGAATTCCTGCTCCAATTTAGGGTCATGGGTTTCCAGGCTTGAGAATAGGGCATCTTCAGGGAAATCATCCTCTTTTTCTCCATATTTCCCTGTCTCCTGTCCATATCACAATCATATTTTATATTTGTGATTCCATATTGTGTAATAAATGAATTGTAATTTTCTTATGTGCAAGATCTCATTTGAAAGTTACCTCGCTGTATAGCATCTACACAGTAGTCCACAGAGCAAATTAACTCCTCTGTGTAGTGCCCTATAAGATTGTGGTAAATGTGTGTTTGTTGGGGTGTGGTTATAAAAGAGAGAACATTTTTTCTCTTTTGGTGCCCAGAATTGAGCTCAAAATGTTTCCAACGTGAAAGATGTTCCCATCCTTGAGGGTGGGAGACAAAAATAAGCAAATTAACAAAAACTTTCATTAGTCTTTATTAAGAAAATAAATAATGTATTGGCTAAAAAGAATAGTTTATATCATTTCAAAAGTTGAAATACAAAAAATGAATGATTATTAATTTTTAAACTAATATTGTAAGTATGTGATTACAAAAGGAGCAATAAACAACAGTATGTAATGTATTGAATTAATGAAGCCATAATGTATAGATAACTTGAAATGTAATAATAATGTTATTTATTATACATTGTTAAATAAATATAAATGTACCTTATTTGAACTATTTATGTGTAATTTATTTATATAAACATTATACTACTGTTATGTTACAGAAGTATTGCTTTCTGGGATAATTTTTATTTTTATATATTGTATAATTTCAAATCATAGCATGCACTAATATTCAACTTCATGTCATCATAACTCTTGGGACAGTGAAGTCTCTTAGCCACAATCAGGTGTCAAATTCAGGCTATAAGCTAAAAGACATGGTCACAACAAAGAGCCAAGGTTAAGAAAAGCTGGGGGAAGAAAAAGTACAGAAGGACTAACTCAGAGAATACATTATAAGCCTCCAACATCCAGAAAGGGCCAAAGAAAGAGGATGCATGAATCTTGGAGCATTTGTAAAGAAATTCAGATATATTTGTTTCTTGTTAATCTAGGTTAACTTGGAAAAAATGTTAACCGAATACCAGATCATGTGCCAACACATCTAAAATGTATCAGTTCATTTTTGATAATATTAACACACACATTTCATATATACACATATATTTTATACATCATAAATCAGTGTACATTGTCCCTGAACACATTTTATTGCAGTAGATGCCATTTTTCTGTTAATTAATAGTAAGATGGAATTACACTCTAGAAATTTTTCTTGAAGGTGGTTTCAAACAAATACAAATTCCAAATTTGTTGATTGCTTACGTTAGTGAATATCTTAGTGATGGAGAGATTAGCTAATTTTACATCTCTTTAATGTTAAATTCTTGGTATGTATAAATTCTCATTCTCTATGTTCTTAAAATGTAAAATTTCACTTCCTATCAATTTTTCCAATATATTGTTTGGATAGTTTTTAATAGAGGTAAAGTACATGGAAATTAAAGTGGATTATAATCTTAGTTGTTATCAATATTTTTGTGAGGTAAAACAAGACAGTTAAATTACACAGTGCGGCTGGAACTGGGATTCAGAATTAACCTATGTTGATTGTTGTTTTCTTTTCACACTTCCATATATATTTGTATCAGTTGAAGTACATAGTGGCTAAAGAGCCTCCACCAAAAATAATTTAAATCTATTCGATAAGTGGTTTTCAGACATATAGAGGCATGTGCGACAGGCGCTGGGGGTTGAAGGATGAGATGACAGGGACAAAATTACGATGATAGACTAAGAACCTCTTTATTATAATTTTTTTTTTTTTTTTACTTTAAGTTCTGGGATACATGTGCAGAACGTGCAGGTTTGTTACACAGGTATACATGTGCCATGGTGGTCTGCTGCACATATCAACCCTTCATAAATGCTTGTTCTTGTGAGTAGCCTCAAAAGTAGAGCTTCGGGGTAAAGAAGCAGCAACACGCAGTAGCAGAACCTAATTCTAGTAAATGCAAGAGCAGCGGGTATGGCTGCCCACTGAGTCAACAGGATGGTGGCAATTGCTGTAATGGCATCTTGGTTTGATGAAAATTAGCAACGAAAGTGGTCTAGGGAACAATTTAAACTGATTTAAGAATGCATGTAAGACTACCTGTTAGACACAAAATTAACTGAATAAAAAGTGTTACCTTTCTTTAGACATAAGAGGGTAACGATGTAAACACAATATTGGTCCTGATAATACTTTGCTGTCATCTGCAATTTTGCTAATGTTTAGAGACATTTGCAACTCAGTAGTTGTATATAGCAAGTATATGTGGGCTAGTTTGATTAGAACAAAATGATAATATCCTAATAATCACATAGTAGGACAGGCTTGTTCTTATAAAACCTGCGATCTTTTATGAACTTACTCTTAACTATTTTACTGAGTGAATTTTTTAACAGCTTCTCTCTTATTTTCCCAGAATTAAACCTTTCTTTCCAGTCCTCCTAAAAGCCTACATCTCATGATGAGAAAATACGGAACGAACTAAGCAATATTTAGGAATCATGATGACTGTGACATATGCAGTGATGCCCAACATTACAGATTTAAAGACAGACTAACAGCCATACCACTCTCAAGAGCCTCCTTTACCTTGTTTAAAATATATAGTTTTATCTGTTTATGCTGAAATGAAACAATATGTAATCTTTCATGTGTTAAGTTGCAAAAAATGATGTGATAAAAAATAACATGATAGCTGACATGATGGAAAAAAATCTTAATTTGAAGTCACTTGTCTCTTAGGCTTAATTCTAGGTGTGTGGATCATGCCATGGGATCAATAGGAGGACAGTAGCAAATCTTGTCCTGTAAGTTCCATAGTTACACTATAATATTTTCACCAAAATATCCATTATTTTCTCTAGTCTTTGGTCCACACAAATGCTGTGGAGATGTTCAACTTTCCCATCATCTTCACTATTTCACATTTGGTGACTATTCTGACCACCTCCTTTCTCAACTATACATATTTGTATCATTTTGCCTACTATGCTATGCTGAAAAAAAAGAAAATGCTGTTTAAGGCTTAGTCTGCAGATACACACTTTGCAGGCAATTCTGTGCTAGAGTGTTGCTATCCGTCACCACCTGGCTCCACCTGGACCATCATGAAAAAGTATCTTTATCTCCCAAATTCCTCCATCCTGTAAGACGTGTCTGCAGATGCTACTTTCCCAACTGATGTCTTCACTCTCTCAAGTATGAAGGAGACTATTCCAGTCTTGGAAGGTGTGGGGAAGGTAATACTTTCGCTCTTTCTGTATCCTGATAAATATTTTGTCTCTGCCATTATTTCTCTATATTTCTTTAGGGAACTAGGCTCTTAAAAATATAAATTCAGAAATAGACTCCAATTTTCTATGCTCTATTCTCTTGAATATTTTTCCTAAGGCCACAGTACAAGATGGCCTAGATGATTTAATGAATAAAGGACAATGGGGATAAAAGGAATGCATCATTCAAAAATATGAACTTGGGTCATATGTAGTACATATTAATATTAGGACTGAAGAGGAAGAAAAGAGGAAAGCAGTTAATAATTATTGGAATAATTGAAAAATGAATGGCAGAGAATTATTAAATACAATTCAAAACCCTTGGGAAATATGACTTGAAATAGGAGTAGATAGAATGGGCAGTAATAAATACAAGGAATAAAATAGAGAGAAAGAGGTGTGTTAAATTAATAACGATTATTTATTGACCAAATATATTTTGTTTGTTTTGCTTTTTCTATTTTGTTTTGATCACTATCCTAGAAGTTGAAGCATTAGCAAGACACAATTTCTTCCCCAAAACAGTTCAAAGACCAGTGGTAGAGCAAAAGAAGTAAAATAACAAAACACATCATGAGGTATAAAAACCTTAGTTAAAAGGAATTCTCTGCCGGGCGCGGTGGCTCACGCCTGTAATCCCAGCACTTTGGGAGGCCGAGGCAGGTGGATCACGAGGACAGGGGTTCGAGACCAGCCTGACCAACATGATGAAACCCCGTCTCTACTAAAACTACGAAAAATTAGCTGGGCATGGTTGCGGGTGCCTGTAATCCCAGCTACTCAGGAGGCTGAGGCAGGAGAATTGCTTGAACCTGGGAGGCGGAGGTTGCAGTGAGCCGAGATCGCACCACTGCACTACAGCCTGGGCGACAGAGCAAGACTCTGTCTCAAAAAAAAAAAAAAAAAAGGAACTCTCATAAAGTTGATGTTGTGGTGACGATGACAGGGTGTGTGTGTGTGTGTGTGTGTGTGTGTGTGTGCGTGCGTCTAATGGTTTCTGAGTGAAAAGGTACTTGTGTTGCATATTAAATGAAGAGAAGGTATGTAAACAATAGAGAATATGGTGTATGTACAAAACTCAAAGTTTTTACTCAGGAGTCTACACTAGTTTACATTGCATGAAAAGACAATAAGTGAAATTCAAAAAGCGAGGAGGGATTAAAGATATTCCTGACAAAGGATAAAATGTGAAATATGAAACTTCTAATGCTAGCTATGATCGAATAGCTAGTACTGTGCTAGTCTTCACACTGTGGACAACTCTATGATTGGATACATGATATGAAACAAGTTTTTGCGGACATTAGATAGTAGGCAGCACAAAACTGTGATTCACGAGAGAAGAAAAACAAATGAGGTAAACCCCAATCCAGATATCCCAAAAGAGAATAGCTTCAGGAATATTAAAATCATCTTTCAAGGTGACAACAATTCCTGCATTTTCAAGACTTTTTAGAATAGAGCTGTATAATTTTCATGATGTGAAAAACCTTGTTCATATATTCTTTTAAAGCATTTATTCTTTTATTCTGATTTAGTAATCACTAAAGACTTGCAGGGATTTTTGGTAGAACACCTAAATCACACTACCTTTGAGGCAGAGGCAGAAAAACCTGTGTTAACTGAGATATAAGTAATACCTGTGATATAAGTTTCAGTTAGACTAGTTTATAAATTATGGTTTTATACTAACCCTGCCTCCTTAAATATATATTCTTTTCAGACAAAAACACAAGGAAGCATATTTACAGCAAAACATACAAGAAAATGTTTAGTATTTTAGCTTAATCTGCCCACTGGTAGACTCGAGTGATTTTTATAGTACTAAGAAAAATGGATCCAGAACGTCAGATTTGAAATCCCTAGAAGGGTTCCAAAATGTCAGTTGGATCTTAAGCTATGCTGTGTTTCTGTGTAAGCTCCATAAAGGAATTGCTGGACCTGTGTATTGATGAGCCACCTGTAAGAGTTTGCATTCTGCATGAAAGATAAACATCTACTTGGGGTCCTATTCTTTGAAAGAAGACACTTGGTTAACTGAGGAAACCTAAAAGTATATTTTATTAATTTTGATCAGGGTAAAACCCATGACAAAATTTTCTTAAAATTTTCTTTCCATTCTGTACAATTAACCAAAGAAAAATAAAATCTGTCTCACAGTCTTCCTTAACTTTACGATTCCTGCTATCATCAAATGTGATTATAATATCCATGAAGATGTTTTAACCTCAAAATAATTGACCCCTTTCACTCTCATTACATTCAAGTTAGCTTTCTGTGAACTGCAGATCTCCAGAGCTGTAATGCTACACGTGCATATACAAAGAAATTCCAATTTGTGATCATCACCTCACATATTCCCAGCTTGCAATGTGATAACTCTCACTACATGTTTATTTGGTTTTATTCACCATTCATTCTTTCATTTATTTATGCAATCTACAGGAATCAGACCCTTACTGTATGATATGCACTCTACAAGTTGGACGCTAAAAATATAAATGTATTTGACCACTGGGCGCCATGGCTTATGCCTGTAATCCCAGCACTTTGGGAGGCCAAGAAGGGCGGATCACCTGAGGTCAGGAGTTTGAGACCAGCCTGGCCTGCATGGTGAAACCCCAGCTCTACTAAAAATTAAAAAAATTAGCCAGGTGTGGTGGCGCGTGCCTGTAGTCCCAGCTACTCGGGAGGCTGAGGCAGGAGAATCGCTTGAACCTGGGAGGTGGAGGTTGCAGTGAGCCAAGATCGTGCCATTGCACTGCAGCCTGGGTGACAGAAAGAGACTCCATCTCAAAAAAAAAAAAAAGAGAA